>NC_000011.10:1878181-2181212 GCF_000001405.40 Homo sapiens | reverse complement strand
AGGCCATGCTGGGGTGGGGACAGGGGCCATGTGCTTCCCACTTGGAGGGGGCTGTTCCAGACACCTCCCTGGCCGCCCCTGGCAGGGTCTCGGCTGTACTGGATGTGAGGACCGTGGGCCTCCCTTCCCCCAGACTATGAGAGCCTCCAAAATTGGGACCGTGCTGTTTCCCTTTCCGTGCTGTTTCCCAAAGGGCACCCAGGAAATGCTTGCTGCGTGAATCAGTGAATGAGTGAGTTCATTCACCTGGGGGCTGGGTGGGGACGATGGAGCCTTCCAGCCTCCTGGGACCTGCCCTCAGTGTGGAAAGTGAGGAGGCATCTGTCTTCCTGAGGAAAACCTGGGCTTAGTCCTCCCTCTGGCCCAGGAGGGGACCGGACCCCACAGCTGGAGGGAGCCGGCTTAGCTGACAGCGAGTGTATTAAAAACAAGCTTTGGAGCAAAGCGGACAAGCTCAGGTGTTGGTAGAGTTCATCCCAGGCCCCAAAGTAATCACATGGCAAACAAGCCCTGTCTAAATATCACGGCGGCTGGGGCAGCGGCACGCAGCGGCCTGGAAATGTCAGCCGGGGGTGGGGGCTCCTCCGAGCCCCGGGATTAGCAGAGGTACCTGAAGTGAATGCGCCCACCTCCTCCTTCCTGCTCCTGCTCAGGACCTGGGCTGGGCCAGCCCGGGGCACCTGGGGAGGGGCTCAGAGGGTCTCACTGGGGCCAGGGGCTCTTCTTTCAGCCCCAGCCCGGGCTGGTTCCCATGGGGTAGCAGGCTGAGGAGAGTGGGGAGACTGAGCTTGGCCGGAGTGGGGCGGACGCACTTCCAGGCCCAAACCAGCAGCCCACGGGTGGGGGCAGAGAAAGCTGCCCCCCTGCAGGCCCAGTGAGTCCTCGAGAGAGGGGGCCACCCGGCCATGGGGGGGTGGTGATGTTGGTTCGGGGAACCTAGGGCATCTGGACCAGCCCCTGGACAAGGCGGTCACAGCAGCCACTGCCTGAGCAGGCCACCTGCGGGCTTCCCTCCAGGTCTGCCCATCGGCTCAGGGCTTCCAGAGCCCAAGGGAGCAACACGTTTCTCCTGAGCACGGGTGGAGGGAAAATAAGGATGTTTACGATCGAGTTGCCCATGGAAGCGTTACCAAGCCCCCTGGAGACTCATCTCACCGCAGTGGGACCTTTGCATTCTCTCAGGCGGTGGGGGTCTCTGCCGTGTTGTCCGTAAAGTGTCAGCGTGGGGCCAACTGGGGACCTCAGCAGCCACGTCCAACCCTCATCTGAAACAAGAACTAGAGGCCTGGGCTGCTCCTCCCTTCCCGCCCTCAGGAGCACAGGGTGGCAGGAGGTGAACTCCATGGGCGAGGGGCTCTTGCTCTTGCAGGCCCCCAAAGTCAGGCAGGTGCAGAAGGGAAGGACAGGATTCAGGGACAGGAGACACACAGGGGGTCCCCTCTGTTCCAGGATGCTCCCAAATCTGAGCCCAGCTGCCCCCAGGGTGGAGGGTGTGTGGACAGCCGGCCAAGAGGGGCGGGGCCACAGAAGGCCCTGGCGAGGCCGTGGGGCCAAGCAGAGGAGCCTACAGTGGCTGGCCAGACGGGTCCTAGGTGATGCAAGGGGTCCTCCGCACCCCTGTTCTGTTTCCCCGGCTCTGACCCAGTGTGCGGCCTCTCCTCCATGTCTGTATGTGGCTGCCTCCAAGGCCCCTCTCCTCAGGCCCTGTATGTCCAAGCTGGGCCTCCTTCCTCTGATCGCCCTTGGGAGAGGTGGCATTGAGGTCACCTCCTCCCCTCCCAGAGTCTGCATCTTGTGGGCAAATGCCCCAGTGCCTCCCACCATCCTCCATGCATGCAGCTGCCTGCCCAGGTCCCCTGTGAACGCAGCCCAGGGCCGTGCAGGCCACAGGCGGGGCTCCTCTCCCCAGGTGGGGCCTCCAAGTCTACACGTGTGGCTGGGAAGGGGAGTCACAGCACAGATGGAATGAAGCACATGAGCCCTGGGTGTGGACCTGCCTCAGCTCAGAGCAGCGGTGGGACCACATCTTCTCCCTGCCACAGGCCAGGTGACTAGCACCCAAGCCCGTGGCACTGGCACTGCTGGGGGGCCAGGGCGGGCTGTGGCCTTGCAATGAGATGTGATTTGCTGTCAAAGCACAGCTGCCGCCTCGGTGAGTGACTAATGAGAACTGAATGCCGCTCTTATTGCTTTTCACTCGACTAATTTGTCAGAGGCTGTCAAGAGCCAGGGGGAGGGGGCAGAGGGTGGGGACCGGAGGTCTGATTGAGTCACCGGCATGGGGGCGAGGCTGGGTGCCCGGAGGGGTCTGCAAGAAACCAGGAGCACCTGGCAGGAACTCAGGGCCGGTGGGGACCTTGGCCATGATGTCGTGTGAGAGTCCGGAGGGACACAGGAGCTGGGGTCACCCTGTTTGTTCCATATCAATGGCTGGTCAGCTCTTCTAAGCCCCTACTGTACACACACATGCACATGCATACATAGGACACACACACACACTTACACAAACACACGCATGCATGCATGTGGACATAAAATCATACACTCACATGAATAATTTTAGAAGCATGTACAACACATGTACACGCAGAGAAGCACTCCCACACATGCTTCCTGGCACACACACACACGCGCACACACACACACCCTTGAATGCACACTCTGTCTCCCACACAGACACAGACCAGCGAAAACTCCAGGCCAAGCTCTGGTGCGTGGGTTCCCAAGCCTGGCTGCACACACAACCAGGGTGCTCTCGGCAATTCCAGCATCTCCATACCCCTGGAGCCTCTTGTCCTGGTGTGGGCTTCCTGGTGATGTGGGCCAGCCAGGTATGGGTGGAACCGTCCTACTCCCCCTCCAGCCCCAAGCCTGAGCCAGCCTGAGTCTGGCATGGAGCTCCTGGAGCCAGGTGAGCAGTGAGGGGCGCTGGGAGCTGGGGAGATGCCCTGTGGGTAGGAGATGCGCACCCCGCCCACCCGGATGCCCTTCCTTCCAGCTGAATGCCTGGCTGCCAGGGACCACGGTGACTTCTCTTGCTTGGCTCTGTAACCTGCCCCCTTCGTACCCTTTCCCTCCCTCTGCCTCCACCTCTGCCCGACTCGGTCCCACAGGACCCTCTGGCCACTGGATCCCCTTCCCTGGAAGCACCCCTCACTGCTCACCTGGCTCCAGGAGCTCCATGCCAGACTCAGGCTGGCTCAGGCTTAGGGCTGGAGGGGGAGTAGGACGGTTCCACCCATACCTGGCTGGCCCACATCACCAGGAAGCCCACACCAGGACAAGAGGCTCCAGGGGTATGGAGATGCTGGAATTGCCGAGAGCACCCTGGTTGTGTGTGCAGCCAGGCTTGGGAACCCACGCACCAGAGCTTGGCCTGGAGTTTTCGCTGGTCTGTGTCTGTGGGCCTTTGGGGGTCCCACACACACAAGGGGCTCAAGGCTGACCCCTCCTCCCACAAGGGCCTGCAACTGCTAATCCCTGATGCCCCCCACTGTGTGGATGGCAAAACTGAGTCCAGGGCCCAAGGGGCTGAGTCAGGACCCTCTTTTCGGCCCCCTACATGGTGGGTCTCAACACTGAGGCAGTCCCTACAGGCAACAAGGATGGAAGGACAGCACTGGCTGTCCAGGCTGGAGGGACTCAGAGAGGAGGCCACTGGGGGACTGCCTGGAGGAGGAGGGCAGCCCGGGCCTGAGGGCCTGGCAGGATTTGGTGGGGAAGGGAAAGTGGAGCCCCAGGTGGGCAGCAGCAGTAGCAGAAGGGGGGCAGGGAGCCGTCTGTGGGGGACAGGGAGGGTCCGGCTGCCTGTCCAGGGTGTGGAGGAGGAGAGGCAGCCCACAGGCTCAGAGCCCGAAGGAGGCGTGGTGCCTGCTCTGCCGGCCTCGCTCTGGGCCTGACTTCCAAACACCCAATTATCCCTAAGTGCATCCGATCGACTGGCAGGGCGGCTGTTCCGGGGCCCACCTCGTCCATGCGCTCCGCCCGCCCTGCTGTGGGGCTCCATCTGATGGCCTCATTAGGGCTAATTGCTCTGGCATTTGGGTCTGACAGGGACGGCGGATTCTGTCCTGTGTTGGGGCGTCTTGGTTCTTCCAGCTTGGGGGATGGAGGGGAGCTGCTTCCTTACACGGCAGAGAAAGGCCCTGCACCCCAGGCGGGGCAAGATGGCGTGAGGGGAGGACGCAGGACTCACTGTCCCCTGCCTTCTTGGGACAATGGGAACTGAGGGACAGCCCAGGGTGGCATGACACCCCAAATCCTCAGGAGGTCCCCCACTGTCTCCCAAATGTGAGTGGGGGTCTGGGAGGCTGCAGGCCGGTGTCCCTGGGAGCCAGGCTCTAGAGGGGGCATCTCTGGGGACCCTGGGGACCCCGGGCTATAAAGAGAACTGCGGAGTAGACATGGGCGGGGGGGCAGTGTGTGCTCCAGCATGTGTGTGTGTGTGTGCATGTACACGTGTGCACCTGTATCGCCTGTGTGTGTGCATGTGATGTGTACACGTGTCATGCATGCACGCACATGTGTAGTGTGTGCTCGTGTGTGGTGTGTGCCTGTGTCATGTATGAGCACACTTGTATATGTTGTGTGTACTGTGTCATATATGAGTGTGTTTGCCTGTGTAGTGCATGCACATCCGTGTGTGCATCTGGTGTGTCCGTGGGTCATTACGAGTGCATCGTATGTGTATCGTGTACATGAGTACACTTGTATGTGTGGTGTGTACAGGTGCCATGTAAGTGTGCTTGTACATATATGCATGCATGTGTCATATGCATCTGTGTGTGCATGTGTGTGGTGCACACATGTGTTATGTCTGAGTGTGCCTGTATGTGTGCTATGTACACGTCATGTGTGAGTGTGCTTGCATGTGCAGTGTGTGGATGCTGCTTGTACCTGTGGTGTGTACCTGTGTCATGGGTGCTCACACGTGCATGGAGTGTTGTGTGTGTGCTTGTGTGCCCCATGTGTGCATGTGTGTGTGCCTCACACAGATGCCTGCATTTGCCTAGGCACTTGCAAGAGGACACCATGCTGGCTCTCAAAGATCACAGGGCCACCTGAGCCCTGTGCACACCACAGCCAGGCCATGGCTAGACCCTGCAGAGCCACAGGGCGATGCCTGTCAGCCAGGGGACCCAGAACACCTCCTGGGCTCCTCCCCAGCACATGGCTGGGCTCCTCCAGCAGGCCTGGATTTGGGAAGGGCCCGTGGTGGGCAAGGCTGGTGCTGGGGAGCAGGCCTGGTGGCCTCAGAGACTCGCCCTGTGGGCGGAGCAGCCTCACAGCCAGGTCGAAGTCAGCACTCTGACCCTGCCCCACGCGGGGAGTGGGCACCAGTCCCAGGGCACAGACGTGCTGGGTGATTAATCTGGGTGATTAAGCCTCGGGCTGAGAGGCTGTTGAGAGAGAACACGCTCCATTGTGGAGCTGGCTCAGCATTCCTTACGGCCATGGTGGCAGGGGCTGTAACCACAGGGACGGCGGAAGTGGTGGAGGGTGGTGGGGTATGGAGGGAAGCCCAGAGGGCTCCGTGCAGGAAGGTGGAGCCTGGTGCAATGGAGGGGACAGCAAGGGCTCCTCAGACCTCTGCGGGGCCCCCACTCCCCTGGTCACCTGTTTTGTCTCTGATCTGGCCTGGGTCGGCCCTCACTCCTGGCCCCACCTCATAGCCCCCCCTGGTGGGGCTCCGCTCCAGCCCTTCTCCTTCCCAGGGGCCAGTATGCTGGCCCCAGGGGTCTCTTGGGGCGTGACCTCGGCCTCCAGAGAACCCTGTCCCAGCTCTGCCCTTCCCTCTGGGGTCTCTGTAGATGGGACGCTGGTCACAGCAGCCTGTCTGATTTGTTCCCTGTGGCCTAGGTTCCTGAGCCCCACAGTGCCAGGGGATGGATGCCACCGGATCTTTGAAAGACCAGTGTCAGGCCGGGCGCAGTGGCTCACGCCTGTAATCCCAGCACTTTGGGAGGCCGAGGTGGGCGGATCACGAAGTCAGGAGATCGAGACCATCCTGGCTAACACAGTGAAACCCCGTCTCCACTAAAAATACAAAAAGTTAGCTGGGCGTGGTGGTGGGCGCCTGTAGTCCCAGCTACTTGGGAGGCTGAGGCAGGAGAATGGCGTGAACCGGGGAGGCGGAGCTTGCAGTGAGCCGAGATCGCGCCATTGCACTCCAGCCTGGGTGACAGAGCGAGACTCGGTCTCAAAAAAAAAGAAAAAAAGGAAAGACCAGTGTCTTGGGAGTTGGGAAACCTGGGCTGGAGACTCACTGCATGACCCCTGAGAAGTTGCACCTCAGAACCTCAGTCCTCGCATCTGCAGAATGGGTCTGTGAACACCTCAGCTGCCCGAACGTGGATGCCGCAGGCTGACCCAGCACTGAGCTCTACCAAGACCAGGGGCCAGCCGTGTGCTCCCTCCAGGCCTGTGCCCAGCGTGGAGAGGCCTCGTCCCGTGGGCGCTGGAGTGGAGCCTTCCTGGTGTTTGTGGACATCTCTGGAGAGGGCCAGAGGCAGGTGGGTGACACGGGGCATGGCTCAATCATGGGTGGTCCAGACTGGAGAGGTACCCTCGGGCTGGGAGCGGGGAGGCTGGCCAGGGTAGACTTTTGGGGCCTCCATGGATACCCTCACCATCTGGAATCGGAGAGGGGCACGGCACAAAGGAGGGCGGGGCCAGGGCCAGGACTGGAGTCGGGGGCACCTCTGTGCCAACAGGGGCCTTGGATCTGGGGTACAGCATGGTTCCCCGGCCCTGAAGGGGCTGGCGTGTGGGACAGGCTTCCCAGGAATGGATAGGCAGGGATGGATGCTGCCTGATTGGGGCGGGAGGCTGGAGGCAGGGCAGGTGCAGGCACCTGAGGGCAGCACTCACCTCCACAGGGGTCCAGGGGCCTCCCCAGCCTCAGCACCTGGCCTGGGCTCCTGCCTCCAGAGAGCCTGGCCCCAAGGAAGAGTCTAGTAAGCTTAGTTCCCATCGGGCTTCCATGAAAGCACAACTGGCCCGGCAGGAAACCGAATTAAAAAGCAATATTTGTATCAGTGGAAGACATTTGCTGAAAGGTTAAATCCACATCCGGCAGTGTGGGCCATGAGCCTCCGGCGTGGTGTTCATCAGGCATGTCTCTCCTCCTGGCCTGGGCACCTGAGCACTGGGGCCGCCCTGGGCAGAGCTGGGGCGGGGTGCTGGGGGGCCTGGAGCTGCCTCACCGAGGGATCCTCAGCAGCCGACCCTGGGGGAGGCAAATGAGACTCTTTCTGGGGACCTTGAGGGGAGCTCGGGGGAGCCATGCAGAGCTTCACCAGGCCTGGACACTGGGCATGGAGGCTGGGCCACCCAAGGGCCATCACCAGGGACTCAGGTGGGTGGGCCTCAGCCCTGGGTGACAGAAGCTCACGGGCCGCAGGGCGAGGCCAGAGGCTGAGCCTTCAGGCTGAGGTCTTGGAGGCAAATCCCTCCAACGCCCTTCTGAGCAGGCACCCAGACCTACTGTGGGCAGGACCCACAGGAGGTGGAGGCCTTTGGGGAACACTGTGGAGGGGCATAGCATCTCCGAGAGAGGACAGGGTCTGCACTGGGTGCTGAGAGACAGCAGGGGCCGAGCGGTAGGCTTCCCTGCCCCCAGGGATGTTCCAGAGGAGCGCAAGGGAGGGGCATTAATATCGTGGCAAGAAAGGGCAGGCATTGCAGAGTGAGCAGCGACGGAACTGGGTTTTGTGGGATGCATAGGAGTTCACCCGGATAAGAGGTGGGTGAGGAATGACACTGCAAACCGGGGATCACGGAGCCCCAAATCCTTCTGGGCCAGGAAGTGGGAAGGGTTGGGGGGTCTTCCCTTTGCTTTGACTGAGCACTCAGCCTGCCTGCAGAGGGCAGCGAGGAGCCACGGAGGGGTGTGGGACAGGGATGCCATGGCTGAAGCAGTTTTAGGAAAGGTCCCAGGGGCTATTGTTGAAGAGAGAACGGGGAGCGGGGAGTCCCACAGCTGACAGGAGCAGAGTGGGCCCTGAGAGATGCCAGCTCTGGCTGCCACAGTGACCAGCCGGGGTAGGCCTTCGAGAAGTCAGGGAGCGTCTAGGGCTTCTGGCTCCTGCTGGGCCCAGGGTGTCATCTTGGGCTGCCAACACCAGAAAGCCCAGCAGATACAGGAAGCCCCAAGCCCTGTCGGAAACGGTTCTTCTCCAGGAGGGACAGCGGTGGCAGCGTTCAGCCGCAGGCCATGCACTCTGGGGCCACGTCCTTCCCTCTGTACAGTCCAGCATTGTCAAGGCAGGCTCTGGCCATCTCTGCTGACCCCAGAGGGATGGGGAGGCCTCCCCTTCCACCAGAAGGGCCAGAAGCCACCCTGGGCAGGGGCATCACTCTCCCTGGGTGGGGCAGCGGCTGGGAGCAGGAGGTGCCAGTGGGCGTGGGCTGGATGCGGGTGCCTGCGGGGCGGACATGGAACTTGGGGGAGGCTCTAGGCTGGGGTTGTCCTCAAGGGAGTTCTCAGGTCACCCCAGGGTCACCCTCAACCCGGGGCCTGGTGGGGTAGAGGAGAAACTGCAAAGGTCTCTCCAAGGGGAAGGCATCAGGGCCCTCAGCACTGAGGGACGTGCGTGCTCTTTAAAGAAGGGGCCACAGGACCCCGAGGGAAGCCAGGAGCTAGCAGTGGGCCATAGAGGGGCTGAGTGGGGTGGGTGGAAGCCGTCCCTGGCCCTGGTCGCCCTGGCAACCCTGGTGGGGACTGTGATGCAGGAGGTGGCAGCCATTTGGAAACGCGTGGCGTCTCCTTAGAGATGTCTTCTTCAGCCTCCCAGGGTCCTCCACACTGGACAGGTGGGCCCTCCTGGGACATTCTGGACCCCACGGGGCGAGCTTGGGAAGCCGCTGCAAGGGCCACACCTGCAGGGCCCGGGGGCTGTGGGCAGATGGCACTCCTAGGAACCACGTCTATGAGACACACGGCCTGGAATCTTCTGGAGAAGCAAACAAATTGCCTCCTGACATCTGAGGCTGGAGGCTGGATTCCCCGTCTTGGGGCTTTCTGGGTCGGTCTGCCACGAGGTTCTGGTGTTCATTAAAAGTGTGCCCCTGGGCTGCCAGAAAGCCCCTCCCTGTGTGCTCTCTTGAGGGCTGTGGGGCCAAGGGGACCCTGGCTGTCTCAGCCCCCCGCAGAGCACGAGCCCCTGGTCCCCGCAAGCCCGCGGGCTGAGGATGATTCAGACAGGGCTGGGGAGTGAAGGCAATTAGATTCCACGGACGAGCCCTTTCTCCTGCGCCTCCCTCCTTCCTCACCCACCCCCGCCTCCATCAGGCACAGCAGGCAGGGGTGGGGGATGTAAGGAGGGGAAGGTGGGGGACCCAGAGGGGGCTTTGACGTCAGCTCAGCTTATAAGAGGCTGCTGGGCCAGGGCTGTGGAGACGGAGCCCGGACCTCCACACTGAGCCATGCCCACCCCCGACGCCACCACGCCACAGGCCAAGGGCTTCCGCAGGGCCGTGTCTGAGCTGGACGCCAAGCAGGCAGAGGCCATCATGGTAAGAGGGCAGGTAGGTGCCCGGCGGCCGCAGTGGACCGGAGCCCAGGGCTGGTGCCAGCTGCCTCTGCTACTCCCCAGCCTGGCTGGCAGCCCCAGGCTCAGGGTCCATGCAAACCCCTGGGACGCGGCGTGGATGTGGAGGCCTGGGCACAGCGGCATCCCCTGTGCCTGGTGTTTGAGTCCCTGTTGGGGGAGGGTGAGGTGATGCCTGTCCCTGTGTGTGCCCCTCTTAGGCCGACCTCTCTCGGGGGTCGTGTGGGTCTCTGTGTCTTGTTTCATCTTGAATCTTAACGATCGGAATGTGGAAACAAATCCATCCAAAAAATCCAAGATGGCCAGAGGTCCCCGGCTGCTGCACCCAGCCCCCACCCTACTCCCACCTGCCCCTGCCTCCCTCTGCCCCAGCTGCCCTAGTCAGCACCCCAACCAGCCTGCCTGCTTGGGGAGGCAGCCCCAAGGCCCTTCCCAGGCTCTAGCAGCAGCTCATGGTGGGGGGTCCTGGGCAAATAGGGGGCAAAATTCAAAGGGTATCTGGGCTCTGGGGTGATTCCCATTGGCCTGTTCCTCCCTTATTTCCCTCATTCATTCATTCATTCATTCATTCATTCACCATGGAGTCTGTGTTCCCTGTGACCTGCACTCGGAAGCCCTGTGTACAGGGGACTGTGTGGGCCAGGCTGGATAATCGGGAGCTTTTCAGCCCACAGGAGGGGTCTTCGGTGCCTCCTTGGGCACTCAGAACCTTGGGCTCCCTGGCACATTTAAAATGGGTTTTTATTTATGGACCTTGATTGAAATGTGGTGTGAGTTGTAGCAGTGTCATTTCCAGGTACCTTCTCAGGGACACAGGGCGCCCTCCCCCGTCCTCCCCCGCCCTCCCCTACCCTCCCCCACCAGGCTCCCCATCAGGCATCCCCTCCCCAGGGCGCCCCGGGGCCCAGCCTCACAGGCTCTCCGTGGCCTGGAACTGCAGCCCCAGCTGCATCCTACACCCCCACCCCAAGGGTAAGTAAGAGGGGACTCTGGGAGGGGCTTCTGCTGCTCCCCTTCATGTTCCACAACCCTGGAAGCTCAGGATGAAGCTGATTCTTCTCTTACAAGGGGCCCAGAGCCTTCTTGGGAGTTCAGCTCCAAGGGATGAGCCCCAGGTGTCTGCCAAGTCCCCCTCTGTCCAGGCCTGGGACGGCTCTGGGATCGAGGGGTCAGAGGCGCTGAGCCCAGGGAGAGACACCTGCGCCCAGAGCTATGACAAAGGGTGGAGGGATGACAAGGCAGCCAGGAGCGGGCGCCTGCGGGGTGGCACAGAGGGGCAGGGCCCGAGGACAGGTGTCCTGATGGGAGTGTGAGAAAGGGTCCCCTGTGCGGCAGCCAGGAGGGTAGGGGGGTTGTTCACTGGGGCCCTGTGGGGGCAGCTCCTTCCTGAGCTGCCGTTCCCTCCCCGGCAGCCGATGCCACTGTCCATCAAGACATCGCCCTCTTCCCATCACTAATCCAGTTAGCGCCTGGCCTGGGGATGAGTGACACAGCGTCTCTGTCTGTCTGCTCGCCACAGAGTGGGGAGCAGGCGAGCACCTTCCCAGCCCCCACTCCTCCCCCACCACCACTGCTTCTGACTGGGCTGCCCCCATCGGGAAGGGCGTGCAATGCCCGCAGGCACCTCGGCTAGCATCTGCCCCAGCAGGCACACAGTAGGCGCTCAAAAACGTGCTCTCATCCCCTGCCTCTGTGTGCCATCAGCGCTGCCCGACTGTGGGACCAGCTGTGGGTGGAGGTCCCCGGGTCTCAGCAGGTGGAGGAGGCATGGGTGCCCCTTGTCCCCACAGTCCCCGCGGTTCATTGGGCGCAGGCAGAGCCTCATCGAGGACGCCCGCAAGGAGCGGGAGGCGGCGGTGGCAGCAGCGGCCGCTGCAGTCCCCTCGGAGCCCGGGGACCCCCTGGAGGCTGTGGCCTTTGAGGAGAAGGAGGGGAAGGCCGTGCTAAACCTGCTCTTCTCCCCGAGGGCCACCAAGCCCTCGGCGCTGTCCCGAGCTGTGAAGGTGTTTGAGGTGAGCTGGTGGCCTTCGTGTCCCTGGGGCAAGTTCACCTGTGGGTGGGGCTGTGTGGGCTGAGTTCCTGACCCCTCTATAGCAGAGGTGCAGCTGCCCAGGCCCCCGAGGCCGGCACAGGATGCAGCAGGGGAGTCTCAGGCCTCAGCTCAGCCCCCATGGCATCTAGCCACACCCCCGTGTTTTTGAGGGATCCTGAGCCCACCCCTAGGGCTGAGGCTACCAAGCCCCACTGTGCCTCTTGCCTTGCCCATCCCCTGGATCCCCCTCACCCACCATTTCCCACGTGGGGGGCTCCCAGCAGGGCAGCACAAGAGGCAGGGGCAGGGCAGTGTGCCCTCTCCCACCCACCCAGCACAGTGGCTCAGGTGACCACTGATTGCATTAGTCACTCCGGCCCCACTGTGCCCCGGGAGGCAGGTGACCCAGCTCCCGGAAGAAGCTCCCAAATGACATTAAAGCCAGACTCCCCGCCCCCCAGCTCCCAGAGCCAGTTTTGTGGCCCGAGGGCCACTGCGACCCACCGCCCTTGTTGCTAGGCAACAGGAGGTGGGGGTGGAGCGGACCCTTCTGGCCAGTGTCCTGGACGCTCAGGGGCCAGTGAGACTCAGGGCCCATCCTACAAACCTGGATGAGGCCACCAGGGTTGGGGGCACCTTCTGACCAGTGGCTGAGGAGCCGGACTGTGTGGCATGGCCTTGGGACACACACACCGAGCCGCCCAGAACCAGGTTAAGCCTCAAGCGGTGACAACTCCTGGTTAGGCACGTAACACAAAATCCAACTTGCCAGTGGCAAACCCTGGCCTGGTGGCCGACAGCTGACCTGAGCCTGGAAGAACGGGATCTGTGTGCTGCTAGCACAAAAGTCAAGGGCAGGGCCTGGCCAGCCAGCCAGATGTGCCTCCTCCCCGCCCACCCCACCCTCTCTCTCCATCTCTGTCTCTTTCTCCTTCTCTCTCTCTTCCTGCTTTTGCTCCCTAAGACGTTTGAAGCCAAAATCCACCATCTAGAGACCCGGCCCGCCCAGAGGCCGCGAGCTGGGGGCCCCCACCTGGAGTACTTCGTGCGCCTCGAGGTGCGCCGAGGGGACCTGGCCGCCCTGCTCAGTGGTGTGCGCCAGGTGTCAGAGGACGTGCGCAGCCCCGCGGGGCCCAAGGGTGAGGCGGTTTTCTGTCCTTGAGGGCCACCAAATGACCTTGAGAGGCTGGGGTGCAGGGGCTCCTGCAGGGGGACCCTACAGTGACCACGTGGTGGTGGCCTGGTTCCCTCTCTGCGGGCTCCACTCCGCACCCCGTTTTGCTACACATCCGTGTCCGGGCCTGGGGCCACTCCAGGATCCCCCCGCAGCTCTCACAGCCCCGGCTGCCTCTGCCCCCCGGAAGTCTTGTAGGGGAGGCTGCTTCAAGGTGGGTGACACAGCCCCACGGCTCCGAGCTCACCAAGATCTCTTCCTCCATCACCCATAAAGTCCCCTGGTTCCCAAGAAAAGTGTCAGAGCTGGACAAGTGTCATCACCTGGTCACCAAGTTCGACCCTGACCTGGACTTGGACCACCCGGTGAGTGGTGCGCCCCTCACTCAGGCCTCCTGCCCCTGATCACATCCCCTACCCTTAGCCCAACCCTGGACAGGAGTCTGTCGGCTCCAGGAGCCTCCGTGGCCTGTGCCCCCACCCCAGCACAGCCTCCTGACCCGTGCATCCCCTCTGCCCTCAGGGCTTCTCGGACCAGGTGTACCGCCAGCGCAGGAAGCTGATTGCTGAGATCGCCTTCCAGTACAGGCAGTGAGGGGCCCCTGCGCTCGGGACCCAGACTCCGTCCTGCAGGCTGACGCTGGACCTGGGGGGTGGGAGGGAAGGACAAAGGGGAGGACCCATCTTGTCACCAGCATCAGTGCCTCCTGCCAGGCAGCTCTGCTCCAGGGCTTTCCATGTCCCCAAATCCCAGTGGGGAAACTGAGGCCCAGGGGGGCTAGAGCAACCTGCCGAGGCCACATAGCCGGCTCACGGCACAGTCAGCTGGGGTGCACCCTCCTGTCCATCCTCCAACCCAAAGGCCTCGCTGCACTAGGCGGGTGTGGACCTGTGCCCAGTGAAGCTCCCTCCCTCCCTCCTGCCCTTCTCACTCCCCGAGGGGACCTGCTGACCACTGGCCCCCTCCCCAGCGGCGACCCGATTCCCCGTGTGGAGTACACCGCCGAGGAGATTGCCACCTGGTGAGACCTCCGTGCAGCTAGGGGCTGGGGAGGAGCCCGGGGGATGCCTCCTGGAATCCTGGCGTGTGAGGGCCGCCTCCAGGGACCTTGGCACAACAGGAGAGACTAAGGCCGGGAAGAAGAGGGACTTGCAGGGCTCAGAATGTTGGGTTGGGAGGAAGAGGCTACCCATCCTGTCGGGCCATCCCCAGTGTGCTGAGGGACCGCCCCTCATGGCCCCCTATCCCCTGGGATTCCCTAAAGCCACCAGCAAAAGCCCCTCCCGGGGGCCTGGGTCTTCAGGGGTCCCCAAGAGGCCTGCGTTGGTAGGGGCTCAGGCAGGCAGAGGCACCCACAGTTCAGGAGGGGGGTTTCGGGCACTGGGGTGGGGCATTAGAGGGCCCTGAGCCTGGCTGCCCGCAGGAAGGAGGTCTACACCACGCTGAAGGGCCTCTACGCCACGCACGCCTGCGGGGAGCACCTGGAGGCCTTTGCTTTGCTGGAGCGCTTCAGCGGCTACCGGGAAGACAATATCCCCCAGCTGGAGGACGTCTCCCGCTTCCTGAAGGGTGTGCCCAGACGGGAGGGGCGCAGAGCCGGGGGGCCGGGGATGGTCAGCCAAGCGCCCCACCCCAGCGCGGCTCCAGCCCGTCCCGGCTCGGCAGTGACCCGCGTGGCCCCTTGCAGAGCGCACGGGCTTCCAGCTGCGGCCTGTGGCCGGCCTGCTGTCCGCCCGGGACTTCCTGGCCAGCCTGGCCTTCCGCGTGTTCCAGTGCACCCAGTATATCCGCCACGCGTCCTCGCCCATGCACTCCCCTGAGCCGTGAGTGCGCGCCCTGGCCGCCAGCCCGAGGGTGGGGGGTGCGACGGGCGGCCCCTCAGCCCCCTTCTCCCTCCTACGCGCAGGGACTGCTGCCACGAGCTGCTGGGGCACGTGCCCATGCTGGCCGACCGCACCTTCGCGCAGTTCTCGCAGGTACGCCGCGGCCTCGGAGGGAGCCGGGGTCACCCAGGGGCTGGCTTGGCGCCGGGGGCGGGCGGGGATCGATGTGCGGGTGGGTGAAGTGTGCTGCCTGCTCCCGGGCCCCGCCAAGGAGGCTCGGCGCCCCGAGGGTCGCGCGGCATAGGGCGGGGCTGGAGCGGAGCCTCCCACGGCCTGTGCTGCCACCTGCCGGCTACCTGGGAACGGCGCCCACGGGCTTAGGAATGTGGTCAAGGAGGGCTGCCTGGAGGAGGAGGCCCGGTGGAGGTGCGGATCCTGGGCGGCCAGGGAAGGTCTCTGCCGCCAGGGAAGTGTCCCAGAGACCCCTGGAGGGGCTGCTGACACCCCCGGTGCCCCCACCTCGAGCATGACCCAGGGCTGCCTCTCCCCATCCTTCATCCTCCCTGCTCCACAGGACATTGGCCTGGCGTCCCTGGGGGCCTCGGATGAGGAAATTGAGAAGCTGTCCACGGTGGGTTGACCCCTCCCTGCAGGGCCTGGGGTGTGGGTTTGGGGGTCTGAATCCAGGCCTCACCCTCTTGCCGTCCAGGCTGAGGCCTCTCCTTCCACCCACGAATTGTGACCCTCACCCTGGCCTGCCTGCATCCTGGCCTGGCCTCCCTGGGGGTGGTATCCTGGTCACGGGTGACCAGGGGCTGCCCGGTGGGCGGCAGCTGTCTCTGGGCTGATGCTGCCCGGCTTCCCCGCAGCTGTACTGGTTCACGGTGGAGTTCGGGCTGTGTAAGCAGAACGGGGAGGTGAAGGCCTATGGTGCCGGGCTGCTGTCCTCCTACGGGGAGCTCCTGGTGAGAGTCTCTCCTTGCTGCAGCCCCCAGCAGAGGGGCAGGGCTGGGGGACGGTGCAGGGAGGGGACAGGCTCCCAGTGGGAGGAAACTGAGGCCTGGACCTCCAGGACTCAGGCTCTGTTTGGGAGAAGGCTTGTCTCTGCCCAGTCCTCACCCCACATTATCCCAGGCCTCCGAAGGCCCGGCGGGGGAGATGGGGGTGACTCTACCCAAGGAACCCACCCAGCGTCAGGCCACGGTGCCCCAGTTCCCTCGGGGACCTGGGTGCAGTGGAGTCAGTGATGCCATTGGCCTCCTGCCAGCACTGCCTGTCTGAGGAGCCTGAGATTCGGGCCTTCGACCCTGAGGCTGCGGCCGTGCAGCCCTACCAAGACCAGACGTACCAGTCAGTCTACTTCGTGTCTGAGAGCTTCAGTGACGCCAAGGACAAGCTCAGGTGGGCTAGGCTGCTAGGGCAAGCCCCCCATGGTGCCCCCAAACTGGGCCAGCCAGGCCTTCCTTCTGGCCTTGAGCAGGGCTGGACCTGTGAGCCCAGGTCACAGATGAGAAAACCGACCCCTGGTTGCAGCAGCCCCCACACAGCAGGGACACCATCCGTGAGAAGGACCCCAGCGTCTGGGGAGGGGCAGACCTACAGGACTGGGGGCTGCTGGGTGGCCGGGTCAAGGCCAGTCTTGGAGGTGCTGACAGAGCCTGAGCTTTGTGAGGACGTCCTGTGGAACCTGTCCCGGCCCCCTGCCCTGGGATGGGGAGAAGTCAGGGGGATAGACAGAGTCAAGGTGGGGGACAGGGCGGGAGTGGGGTCCCCAGGGCTGGGGGCCTTTGGTGCAGTGACCAGAGTGTCAGGAGAGGGGAGCAAAGCCCTCTAGCCTCATCCTCATAAAAGGTCTCATCATTTTCCCTCCAGCCTCTTATGCACTGGGGAAACTGAGGCCAGGGGCTATGTGTCCAGCGGACAGGGGTGCTGAATTCCACCCACAGGCTTAGGGATATGGTCAAGGAAAGCTTCCTGGAGGAGGCCCAGTGGAGGTTCAGGGAGGGATGGGGTGCCCGGCAGTCTCTAGTGGAAAAGGCGCCTAGCCTATCTCCCCCATGAACCCCCTCACCCAGCCCTGGAAGAGGCCTCAGTGTCCCGCCTGTGACCAGTTGGCTCAGAAAAGCCCTGGGAGCTCTGAGCCACTGTGAAGGTGGAAACGCGGCCCCTGGCCTCCCCTCTCCTGGAGGCTGCAGACTCTGCCCGCCAGTTGACGAGGGCTCTGCCGCTCTCCTCCCCAGGAGCTATGCCTCACGCATCCAGCGCCCCTTCTCCGTGAAGTTCGACCCGTACACGCTGGCCATCGACGTGCTGGACAGCCCCCAGGCCGTGCGGCGCTCCCTGGAGGGTGTCCAGGATGAGCTGGACACCCTTGCCCATGCGCTGAGTGCCATTGGCTAGGTGCACGGCGTCCCTGAGGGCCCTTCCCAACCTCCCCTGGTCCTGCACTGTCCCGGAGCTCAGGCCCTGGTGAGGGGCTGGGTCCCGGGTGCCCCCCATGCCCTCCCTGCTGCCAGGCTCCCACTGCCCCTGCACCTGCTTCTCAGCGCAACAGCTGTGTGTGCCCGTGGTGAGGTTGTGCTGCCTGTGGTGAGGTCCTGTCCTGGCTCCCAGGGTCCTGGGGGCTGCTGCACTGCCCTCCGCCCTTCCCTGACACTGTCTGCTGCCCCAATCACCGTCACAATAAAAGAAACTGTGGTCTCTACACCTGCCTGGCCCCACATCTGTGCCACAGAGACAGACCCTGGGATCCTCAGACTCCCACACCCCCACCCCAGCCTCACTCAGAGGTTTCGCCCTGGCCTCCTTCCTCCTCTGGGAGATGGCTGGCCGCCCTGGCCAGGCAGCTGGCCCCTCCGGGCCTGGTTTCCCCGCTCACCCTGAGGCCCCGCCCAGCTCTGAGCCCCAAGCAGCTCCAGAGGCTCGGGCACCCTGGCCGAGCTGCCCCATCTCCGTGGGGTGCCCTCCCAAGGTGGGGAGCCACGTGACAGTGGGAGGGCCTCTCTCAGGCCTGGCAGGGAGCAGGGGTCACAAACTGTGCTGGCTGGGGGTGGTCTCAGAGGTGGGCCTGCAGGCCTAACCCTCCCTGCTGACAGGGCTCCCAGCCCTTGAGAGAAACAGGGATGGAGGAACAGCTGCCCTGATGCCCTCACCCACCCGGAGCAGGCCCTGCGAACCAAGGGGAACCTCAGTGTGGCCCCCAGCATGTGTGCTGATGGGGAGGGTCTGGCTGAGCTGGTGCCCAGGCAGATGGTCTGGGCCTGTCTCCCCAGCGAGGCAGGATGGGGGCTGGATTTCAGACTCTGTAAGATGCCCCTGGCTTACTCGAGGGGCCTGGACATTGCCCTCCAGAGAGAGCACCCAACACCCTCCAGGCTTGACCGGCCAGGGTGTCCCCTTCCTACCTTGGAGAGAGCAGCCCCAGGGCATCCTGCAGGGGGTGCTGGGACACCAGCTGGCCTTCAAGGTCTCTGCCTCCCTCCAGCCACCCCACTACACGCTGCTGGGATCCTGGATCTCAGCTCCCCGGCCGACAACACTGGCAAACTCCTACTCATCCACGAAGGCCCTCCTGGGCATGGTGGTCCTTCCCAGCCTGGCAGTCTGTTCCTCACACACCTTGTTAGTGCCCAGCCCCTGAGGTTGCAGCTGGGGGTGTCTCTGAAGGGCTGTGAGCCCCCAGGAAGCCCTGGGGAAGTGCCTGCCTTGCCTCCCCCCGGCCCTGCCAGCGCCTGGCTCTGCCCTCCTACCTGGGCTCCCCCCATCCAGCCTCCCTCCCTACACACTCCTCTCAAGGAGGCACCCATGTCCTCTCCAGCTGCCGGGCCTCAGAGCACTGTGGCGTCCTGGGGCAGCCACCGCATGTCCTGCTGTGGCATGGCTCAGGGTGGAAAGGGCGGAAGGGAGGGGTCCTGCAGATAGCTGGTGCCCACTACCAAACCCGCTCGGGGCAGGAGAGCCAAAGGCTGGGTGTGTGCAGAGCGGCCCCGAGAGGTTCCGAGGCTGAGGCCAGGGTGGGACATAGGGATGCGAGGGGCCGGGGCACAGGATACTCCAACCTGCCTGCCCCCATGGTCTCATCCTCCTGCTTCTGGGACCTCCTGATCCTGCCCCTGGTGCTAAGAGGCAGGTAGGGGCTGCAGGCAGCAGGGCTCGGAGCCCATGCCCCCTCACCATGGGTCAGGCTGGACCTCCAGGTGCCTGTTCTGGGGAGCTGGGAGGGCCGGAGGGGTGTACCCCAGGGGCTCAGCCCAGATGACACTATGGGGGTGATGGTGTCATGGGACCTGGCCAGGAGAGGGGAGATGGGCTCCCAGAAGAGGAGTGGGGGCTGAGAGGGTGCCTGGGGGGCCAGGACGGAGCTGGGCCAGTGCACAGCTTCCCACACCTGCCCACCCCCAGAGTCCTGCCGCCACCCCCAGATCACACGGAAGATGAGGTCCGAGTGGCCTGCTGAGGACTTGCTGCTTGTCCCCAGGTCCCCAGGTCATGCCCTCCTTCTGCCACCCTGGGGAGCTGAGGGCCTCAGCTGGGGCTGCTGTCCTAAGGCAGGGTGGGAACTAGGCAGCCAGCAGGGAGGGGACCCCTCCCTCACTCCCACTCTCCCACCCCCACCACCTTGGCCCATCCATGGCGGCATCTTGGGCCATCCGGGACTGGGGACAGGGGTCCTGGGGACAGGGGTGTGGGGACAGGGGTCCTGGGGACAGGGGTCTGGGGACAGGGGTCCTGGGGACAGGGGTGTGGGGACAGGGGTGTGGGGACAGGGGTGTGGGGACAGGGGTCCTGGGGACAGGGGTCTGGGGACAGGGGTCTGAGGACAGGGGTGTGGGGACAGGGGTGTGGGGACAGGGGTGTGGGGACAGGGGTGTGGGGACAGGGGTCTGGGGACAGGGGTCCGGGGGACAGGGGTGTGGGGACAGGGGTGTGGGGACAGGGGTGTGGGGACAGGGGTCTGGGGACAGGGGTGTGGGGACAGGGGTCCTGGGGACAGGGGTGTGGGGATAGGGGTGTGGGGACAGGGGTGTGGGGACAGGGGTGTGGGGACAGGGGTCTGGGGACAGCAGCGCAAAGAGCCCCGCCCTGCAGCCTCCAGCTCTCCTGGTCTAATGTGGAAAGTGGCCCAGGTGAGGGCTTTGCTCTCCTGGAGACATTTGCCCCCAGCTGTGAGCAGGGACAGGTCTGGCCACCGGGCCCCTGGTTAAGACTCTAATGACCCGCTGGTCCTGAGGAAGAGGTGCTGACGACCAAGGAGATCTTCCCACAGACCCAGCACCAGGGAAATGGTCCGGAAATTGCAGCCTCAGCCCCCAGCCATCTGCCGACCCCCCCACCCCAGGCCCTAATGGGCCAGGCGGCAGGGGTTGAGAGGTAGGGGAGATGGGCTCTGAGACTATAAAGCCAGCGGGGGCCCAGCAGCCCTCAGCCCTCCAGGACAGGCTGCATCAGAAGAGGCCATCAAGCAGGTCTGTTCCAAGGGCCTTTGCGTCAGGTGGGCTCAGGATTCCAGGGTGGCTGGACCCCAGGCCCCAGCTCTGCAGCAGGGAGGACGTGGCTGGGCTCGTGAAGCATGTGGGGGTGAGCCCAGGGGCCCCAAGGCAGGGCACCTGGCCTTCAGCCTGCCTCAGCCCTGCCTGTCTCCCAGATCACTGTCCTTCTGCCATGGCCCTGTGGATGCGCCTCCTGCCCCTGCTGGCGCTGCTGGCCCTCTGGGGACCTGACCCAGCCGCAGCCTTTGTGAACCAACACCTGTGCGGCTCACACCTGGTGGAAGCTCTCTACCTAGTGTGCGGGGAACGAGGCTTCTTCTACACACCCAAGACCCGCCGGGAGGCAGAGGACCTGCAGGGTGAGCCAACTGCCCATTGCTGCCCCTGGCCGCCCCCAGCCACCCCCTGCTCCTGGCGCTCCCACCCAGCATGGGCAGAAGGGGGCAGGAGGCTGCCACCCAGCAGGGGGTCAGGTGCACTTTTTTAAAAAGAAGTTCTCTTGGTCACGTCCTAAAAGTGACCAGCTCCCTGTGGCCCAGTCAGAATCTCAGCCTGAGGACGGTGTTGGCTTCGGCAGCCCCGAGATACATCAGAGGGTGGGCACGCTCCTCCCTCCACTCGCCCCTCAAACAAATGCCCCGCAGCCCATTTCTCCACCCTCATTTGATGACCGCAGATTCAAGTGTTTTGTTAAGTAAAGTCCTGGGTGACCTGGGGTCACAGGGTGCCCCACGCTGCCTGCCTCTGGGCGAACACCCCATCACGCCCGGAGGAGGGCGTGGCTGCCTGCCTGAGTGGGCCAGACCCCTGTCGCCAGGCCTCACGGCAGCTCCATAGTCAGGAGATGGGGAAGATGCTGGGGACAGGCCCTGGGGAGAAGTACTGGGATCACCTGTTCAGGCTCCCACTGTGACGCTGCCCCGGGGCGGGGGAAGGAGGTGGGACATGTGGGCGTTGGGGCCTGTAGGTCCACACCCAGTGTGGGTGACCCTCCCTCTAACCTGGGTCCAGCCCGGCTGGAGATGGGTGGGAGTGCGACCTAGGGCTGGCGGGCAGGCGGGCACTGTGTCTCCCTGACTGTGTCCTCCTGTGTCCCTCTGCCTCGCCGCTGTTCCGGAACCTGCTCTGCGCGGCACGTCCTGGCAGTGGGGCAGGTGGAGCTGGGCGGGGGCCCTGGTGCAGGCAGCCTGCAGCCCTTGGCCCTGGAGGGGTCCCTGCAGAAGCGTGGCATTGTGGAACAATGCTGTACCAGCATCTGCTCCCTCTACCAGCTGGAGAACTACTGCAACTAGACGCAGCCCGCAGGCAGCCCCACACCCGCCGCCTCCTGCACCGAGAGAGATGGAATAAAGCCCTTGAACCAGCCCTGCTGTGCCGTCTGTGTGTCTTGGGGGCCCTGGGCCAAGCCCCACTTCCCGGCACTGTTGTGAGCCCCTCCCAGCTCTCTCCACGCTCTCTGGGTGCCCACAGGTGCCAACGCCGGCCAGGCCCAGCATGCAGTGGCTCTCCCCAAAGCGGCCATGCCTGTCGGCTGCCTGCTGCCCCCACCCTGTGGCTCAGGGTCCAGTATGGGAGCTGCGGGGGTCTCTGAGGGGCCAGGGGTGGTGGGGCCACTGAGAAGTGACTTCTTGTTCAGTAGCTCTGGACTCTTGGAGTCCCCAGAGACCTTGTTCAGGAAAGGGAATGAGAACATTCCAGCAATTTTCCCCCCACCTAGCCCTCCCAGGTTCTATTTTTAGAGTTATTTCTGATGGAGTCCCTGTGGAGGGAGGAGGCTGGGCTGAGGGAGGGGGTCCTGCAGGGCGGGGGGCTGGGAAGGTGGGGAGAGGCTGCCGAGAGCCACCCGCTATCCCCAGCTCTGGGCAGCCCCGGGACAGTCACACACCCTGGCCTCGCGGCCCAAGCTGGCAGCCGTCTGCAGCCACAGCTTATGCCAGCCCAGGTCCAGCCAGACACCTGAGGGACCCACTGGTGCCTTGGAGGAAGCAGGAGAGGTCAGATGGCACCATGAGCTGGGGCAGGTGCAGGGACCGTGGCAGCACCTGGCAGGGCCTCAGAACCCATGCCTTGGGCACCCCGGCCATGAGGCCCTGAGGATTGCAGCCCAGGAGAAGCAGGGAACCGCCAGGGCCACAGGGGCAGAGACCAGGGCCAGGGTCCCCCTGCAGCCCCTTAGCCCACCCCCTCCCAGTAAGCAGGGCTGCTTGGCTGGCTTCCTTTGCTACAGACCTGCTGCTCACCCAGAAGGGCCCACGGGCCCTGGTGACAAGGTCGTTGTGGCTCCAGGTCCTTGGGGGTCCTGACACAGAGCCTCTTCTGCAGCACCCCTGAGGACAGGGTGGCTCCGCTGGGCACCCAGCCTAGTGGGCAGACGAGAACCTAGGGGCTGCCTGGGCCTACTGTGGCCTGGGAGGTCAGCGGGTGACCCTAGCTACCCTGTGGCTGGGCCAGTCTGCCTGCCACCCAGGCCAAACCAATCTGCACCTTTCCTGAGAGCTCCACCCAGGGCTGGGCTGGGGATGGCTGGGCCTGGGGCTGGCATGGGCTGTGGCTGCAGACCACTGCCAGCTTGGGCCTCGAGGCCAGGAGCTCACCCTCCAGCTGGGGACCTGGCCACTGGGGCAGCCCTGTTCCTGAAGCTCTGAGCTCACCCCTTCCCCATGACCACATCAGCCCCCCTCCACCCAGAGATGTCACAGCCCCCAGCTAGCCCCGCCTCCAGAGTGGGGGCCAAGGCTGGGCAGGCGGGTGGACGGCCGGACACTGGCCCCGGAAGAGGAGGGAGGCGGTGGCTGGGATCGGCAGCAGCCGTCCATGGGAACACCCAGCCGGCCCCACTCGCACGGGTAGAGACAGGGGCGCCCTGCTGGAGCTGAGGTATGTGAGCTCGCGCGGGGCTGGGCCAAAGCGGGGCCCGGTGGGCCGGCTGGGAGGCTGCCCACCAGTCAGCCATCGGCCAAGCTGTTGCCCTGGCTGACCCTGATGGCCAACAAGGCCGTAGGGAGTGATGGGCAGAGGCCCCTTCTGGGAGGGGAGGGTCAGTGCTCTGTGGGGGACCGTGTGTTGGAGTGGAGGGCAGCAGGAGGAGCCCTTTGGTGTCCAGGGACTCCTGGAGCTGCCCCAGCCTTCCAGGACTTGCAGGGCAGCTGGCACTGGCTGGTGCTGGGGGCTGAGGAGTGTCTTTTGAGGGGCCAAATTTTCTGTGACTTCTGTCCTGGGGGACCTCTGACCTGAGGCCTCAGGAGAGGGCAAGGCCGCCCACCCAAAAGAGATGCAGCCATGGTTCGCGGTGCCCTCGGCTGCCCTGGGCCAGAGCTGGGGCTAGCTTTCACCTTGTTGAGACCCAGGACTCTGTCCCCCAAGCCTGTCTTCGCCAGCGCCTTGACCCCACCCCTCATATACTGTGTCCTGGAAAACGTGGACACGGGAGACCGCAGCCAGGGCGAGGTATCGCCCCTCCATCCCCCCAGGCCCAATGAGAAGCAGTTGGCCAAGGTGATCCAGGTGGCAGAGGCAGCATCAGACCCAGTCTCCTGTCAGGCACCACCTTGGGTGCCGGTCCCCAGATGCCCTGGCGGGGAGTGTGCATGCTCCCGGAGCCCCCAGGTCACCCCATGTGAGCCAGGCCCACAGAGCTTGGCTCTGCAATGCCTGCTGGGCTGCTGCCCATGCTCCACCCCTTCTGGGAAGCTAAAAGACAGCCCTTCAGTGTCCAGAGACCTGCCTGGCCTTGGAGCCTCGGTTTCACATGCCCACCGGGCTGGCAGGGGCACTCAGCTGCCTCCAGCCCCGGCGGTCACCCTGGCATTGGGTCCATCTAACTGCTCCCCAGTCACAAGGCAGCTGCTCCCCAAGTCTCCCCAAACCTGCTGGCCCCTCTAGAAGCCTCTGTCCATTCCTGGAGGACCGAGGGCAGCCTGCATGCCATCCCGCACACAGCCTTCTGTCTGGGCGTCCTGCCTTCACACATGCTGCACAGGGAGGAAACTCTTATACCACATTCCTTAAGCAGAGACTGAAGCCTGGAGCCAGGCACATGGCACGTGCTCCCACCCACCCAGGACACACTGCGGTGTGGCTGCCTCCAGGCTGGCCCCCTAGATTGCGTCTGCTCCTGGCATGGATAACTGGCGCCTTTGCCTGGCCGTTGGGGCAGTGTTTGCCTTCCCCTGTCGGCAGCAAATATTTACTGTCCTCCGTCTCCAGGACTCTCCAGGCCTGAGCAGACCCCGGGGGGATGAGTGTGGACTCAGCGGTGCTGAGGGTAGCCCCCTGCCCTTCGGGTCCTGGTGCCCAGCAGGGGTCCAGCCCAGGGAAGAGACTGAGGCCAGGACAGGCAGTGTTTAAGCCTGAGTTTCTGGGAAAGGTAGCCCTGGGCAGAACTTGGGCCGAACGTTGGCCAGTGTCTCTCTCCAGCCAGGCTGTGAGGTAGCTGTTTCCAGGATGGGCACCTTTCCACACCCAGCAATGTGGCCAGGAGCCGCCATTCACGGGTGCGACCAGCAGATGGCATCAGAGCCTCACTTTTGATGCACTCCGGCCACCAGCCACGGGTCCAGGTTCTGGCCACCACCCAGGGTCTGAGCAGCTGCATCCTGCCCCTGCCGGGCACTCCCGGGGGCTGTGGGGCCTGTGGGGGCCCTGCCAGACACTCTTGGGGGCTGTGGGGGGCCCTGCCAGGCACTCCCAGGGACTATGGGGGCTGTGGGGGGCCCTGCTGGGCACTCTGAAGGGCATGGGGCTTAGGAATGAGAGGAGCTGTCTGATGATGATGGTGGGGGCATTGCAGAGGCCCCCGGCCTGCTCAGGTCCAGTCTCGGCCCCTAAGTCAAGCCTCAGGCCAGCCTCTCACCAGCCTGGGTTTCTCAGAGGGCCGGGACAAATGTTCTGGGTCTCTAATATTCCAAGAAAGCCTCTGGCTGGACTCTGAGCCCCACCTGCGAGCCCCTAGAATCACAGAGAGCTAGGGTGAGAAGACCAGGGGGACTCCGTCCCACCCTCGTCGTGGCTGAGCCCACTGTGGCCGGTGGTGGACCAGGCTGTGGCCTTTGCTGAGGGTCCCCAGGGCCCCTGGGGGCTACTGAGGCTGGAGGCCAGCGGTGGCCAGGAGGGTCCCTCCCTCAGCCACTCAAGCCAGAAGGTCGAGTCCTGGTTTCTATGTGAGGAGGGGGCTTCAGGGGCTGGGACCTGGGGGCACCGAAGGCCTGGAGCTGGGGTCCAGGCGGCTGAGGGTTAGTGCGTTCCCACGCTCCCCTCCGCCAGCGCCGTGAGGAGAGGGAGGTCCACTCTGGAAAGAATGTTTGAGGGCAGGGGTAGACAGGGTCTGGGAACGCGGAGATGACACACTGGGGTGCCGCCTCCGCACCCTCCGCCCTTCCTCCCACTATTGTTTCTGGCCTCGGCCGCAGGAACAGCAAGGCAGATTCCTTCGAAAGTGGGGCCGGCCGGAGGCGGCACCCCATCGTCCCTCTCGCGGCCCAGCCGTGCTGTGCTGGCGCCAAGCTCCCCGCCGGCCTCCCACGCGCTCCTCCGCGTCCTCAGCTCACTCCTCTGCTCCCAGGTGGCCCCAGTCCTCACCCCACCTCGCTTGGACTCCCCACTTCCTGCCCATCTGCCGCTGTTGGGAGACCCTCTCCCTGACCCCAGGGACTGCTGAGGCAGCCTCCAAGCCTCCCAGTGTCCCCGAGGCTGCCCCTAGAAGCTGGCTTGGGGCTGTACCAAAAGGTCACCCCACAGTCCCCACTCCAAGGCAGGTTGATAGCAGGGATCTCAGGGTGCCCATGGATCAAGGACTAAGTCAGAGTCGGGGTCCCTCAGGCCGAGGGTAACGTAGGTGGTGCCTGCCAGGCTCTCCTCGCCCAGGGGGGCTGAGAATGTCTAAACCCGGGTGGCTGTGACCCCTAGGCAGAGCCAGCCCAGCCCTTGCCAGGGATGGAGACCGGCCTCGAGGAGGCCAAGCCCTGGGGGTCCACAGGCCTGTGGGCTTCGGGGAGGCTCTGCTCCCTGTGGCCCTGTGTGGCCCAGGCTGCTGAGTCATCAGAACCTCGGGGGCGCCGCGGGCCCCACATTCCGCCCAGGCCTCTCTCTGACCCCCTTCCCAGCCCATCTGTGTTTTTGGAAAACAGAGCCAGAGCCCCCCGCGGCCCTGCCAGCTTGCGGCTGCTCACGCTGGGACTCAAATCGCACCCTTCTGTCTTCAAAGTCCACCTTCACTTCAAAGCTCGGTCCCACCCCAGCCCGGCCTCCACAGGGCCACCACCTGCCCACATCCAGGCCCGCTGCTGCCCAGTTTCGGAGGGACCTTGGGCATCCCCTGATCCTCTCTAGAGCGCGGGGTTCCTGGCATGGGCCCGTTACACATGGGTGGCTCGGTGGGTGGTGAGGACGGGGCTGGGAGAAGATCCTGGGGACCCCATGGTGGAGGCAATGAGGCACCCAAACCCCAACTCCAGCGATGGCTGCTTCCACGGGGCCCTCCGAGCCCTGACCTTCAAGGTGCAAGAAAAGCTTTCAGGGGCAGGGGTGAGTGGAAGGTGGGCTTCCTCCCTTGCCACCTGGGGGGCGGGCCCAGGACAGATGCTCCGTGAGAGCACTTCCCAACCTAGGCCCAGCTGTGGGGAAGGAGGGAGCAGGCGGCTGGGCTCCAGGCAGGGGGAAGAGTTGCCTGAGAACTCAGGGAGAGAGGGAGGGCTGGGGCACCCCATGCCAGCTCCAGCTGCAGCACCAGAGCTCAGAGCAGAGGAGGCAGGAGCCAGCAGGCTGGGAGGCTTCCTGGAGGAGGTGTCCCAGGCCCCTGCCAGCACTGCAGCCTTGAGCACGAGGCCACGCTGGGCTCCTGCTTCCAGGGCCGCAGACCCAGCCCAGCACTGCCCATGCTGCCCTTGCCAGGGACCCTTACAGAGCTAGCACCTGGGTCCCTCCCCCTGGCTGGGCATGGGCTGGTCTCGACAACAAAGAAGGGGTAGCTGTGGCCTCAAGGTCTACAACAGGTTGTGATCTGTGGGTGCCAAGAAGTCATGGGCCCTCAGCATCCTCAGGGCCAGTGAGTGTCCACCTGGGCCAGTGTGGGGCTGAAGGGTGAGAGCTGAGAGGCGGGGCTGACATCCTGGCTCTGCTGCCAGTGGCTGTGTGGCCTTGGGAAAGTCACTTAGCATCTCTGGGCCTTGGTTTCCTCATCCATCAGAAGGGAACCAAAGAAGGCCCTGCCTGCCTCAGCTGCTGGATGGTGTAGCTCAGTGTTGTCTGTGAGAGGCAGGCCCTTCGGCAGCCGCGCCTCTGGCTTCAGTACACCCGTGAGCTGCTTTCTGTGCCCAGGCCTTCAAATCACGGGGACAGCCCCGTGGGTGTGGTTCAGGTCTGGGCACCACAGGCAAGGGGAAGCTGACATGTCCTCCGTGGGAAGTGGCAGTCCCCATGGCTACCGGGCATGCACAGGGCGTGTGGAAGGGACCTTGGAGGGAGGAGCAGCTCCTCGAGGGAGGAGCCCGGGGCTGGGGTACGGAGGCCTCTGCACATCTTAGAGTAAAACAAGCAGGAGAGGCTGGGTGCGGTGGCTCATGCCTATAATCCCAGCACTTTAGGAGGCTGAGGCGGGCAGATCACCTGAGGTCGGGAGTTCAAGACCAGCCTGACCAACAGGGAGAAACCCCATCTTTACTAAAACTACAAAATTAGCTGGGTGTGGTGGCACATGCCTGTAATCCCAGATATTCGGGAGGCTGAGGCAGGAGAATCGCTTGAACCTGGGAAGCAGAGGTTGCGCTGAGCCGAGATGGCACCATTGCACTCCAGCCTGGGCAACGAGAGCGAAACTCCGTCTCAAAAAAACAAAAACAAAAAAATCAAAACAATCAAAAAAACAAGCAGGAGGGGCTCTGAGGTGCCTGCAACACCCAGGTACAATCCGTGGCCCTGAGGCCCATCACAGGGAAGGGGTCTTTGCAGCTCTTTCAACCCCCAGCCCAGCATCCAAGGAAGCCCAGGGCAGGGAGAAACCTCAGCTGCACCATCAGAGCTCAGAACAGAGAAGGCAGAAATTAGCAGGGAGTGGGGCTGGGGAGGCTTCCTGGAAGACGTGTCTCCCGCCTTGCTGGCACTGAGGCCTTGAGGATGGGTCCATACTGGGCCCCCACTGCCAGGGATGCAGATCCGGCCCACTGCTGAAATCTGTGCTCCTGGAGCCTCCCTCCTGTTCATGGGCCACAGGCTGTGAAAACCCCAGAGTCCTCCCAGGCAGCAAGTTTTGTTTTGTTTTTTGTTTGTTTGCTTGTTTGTTTTTTGAGAGTCTTGCTCTGTCATCCAGGCTGGAGTCCAATGGTGCGATCTCAGCTCACTGCAACCCCTGCCAGCCAGCAAGTTTTGCTGGAGCAGGTGGAGGAGTCTTTGCAGCGAGCTCCCGAGCTGCCTAGGCCTGCCGAAGAGTTGCTGAGCACATGACCACCAAAAAAGGTTTCGGCACCTGTGGACCTGTGGGTAGGGGAGGCAGGGGCAAATGTCACTTTACGTCAGGGGGAGGATAAAATCGAACGTTTATTAACATTGATTTTGTGCCAGAGGTGGCTACCCAGACCCATCCACTGTAGCCGTGAGGTTGGAAGGGAGAGGGGAGGCATGAACTGGTTTGTCCAAGGTCGTTGGCAGAGCGCGGCTGTGAACTGGGTTAGCCCCCAGGCCCCTCCTGCCCATCCGTCCTCCAAGCACTGATGTGCGAGTGGCACAGTGGTCCCCTTGGCCCTGCCAGCCCCTCGGGCTGTGGCCCTATAGCCTTTGAAGGACGGCCTCACTTCCCCAGCAGAGGCAGCCTGGCCTTCCAGTACCTCGATGGTGTAGGGCTCTGGGGCCACAGTCTGGTGTTTTCAGGACTAGGTTGTGGGTTACTTCCTCCTCTTCTCTCAATTCCCAAGGTTTGTTAAGCGGCCCTGTAGCTACGGTCATGGCAATATGGATTTACTGGCGGTGCTTTCTGAAGCTGTGGATGCAATTCTCACAAGTGGCCACATGGTGTCAGGCTCGGGCCAGATTAGGAAATCTCCGCTTTACAGGTGGAGCCGGGTGGGGCTGGGGAAGCGAGTTAAGAACGAAATTCAGCCCATCTGGGCTCATCCTAGGGACGCTGTCTCTGAAAGGGGGTCTCAACGTTCTGCCCCGGGCCTCTCAGTAATAGATCTCATTTTATGTTCATGCTAATGTGGTGGTTTCCTCTCTTAGAACAAAACGGATGCTTCAGAAAGGTGTTCCAGACCTATCCTGTGGCTTAGGCCCTAAGCTTTAGGATGCTCACCAGGCCACAGCCCCCTCGGGTTAGGAGACACCCGAAGGGAGGAATTCCCTCAGCGCCCCCTCTCAGTCCTGTAATGCCGGGACAGAAGCAGATAAGAGCCCCGGTTCCAAACACAAAGGTGCAGGACCCATGGCACCCTGACACTGTAGGGAGGCGTCCTGACTTTGCCCCCAGAGTCCCCCTCCAGAGTGCCCCAAATTGCGGCGCCCAAGACCTTTGGGTTATGCCACTGTAATTCTAGAAATGGCCGCCAGGTGTCAGCATAAGGCCACTTAAGAGGCTAAATGGCGAAAGCTTGGTGTAGCAGATTTCTGGGGGTTCCCAAGACTCTCATGCATGAACAGGGGTGGGCTGAGCCTCTCCCAGGCCTAAGAGGCAGTGGAGCAAGGAGGTTTTTCTATGTCGTGTCCCTCAATCCTGCACCCCAGTTTTTGTCCATTTTGCGGTCCCTCTCACCTGTCTCCATAAAGCATGTGTCCCCCAGACCCTTGCGTGGAAAATCTGTGGAATGTAGTGCTGTGGGGCCACAGCCCTCACACCCCAACTCACTGATCCCCAATGCCTCTAGTCCTGCCTCGGTGGCACCATGGCTTAGCTGCTCCCCGGGGGCCCTTTCTATCCTGACCGCTTCTCCCTGCTCTCCTTCTCCTGTTTACACACCCTGGGTTCCAAGATCCTGATGGGATAAAATAGCCTTGGAGACTAGAGTGAGCTCCTCCTGGGCCCATCCAGAGATGGAATTCCAGTCCAGGGCAGAGTTTGGATTCAAGACACCATTGTGGGCCTGGGAGGCTCCAGGTTTCCAGGAGTTTGACCTGTGGGCTGCTTCCCTTTCAGCCCCATAGCTGCCCACCTCCTCAACCTGGGGACTGTTCATTTGGGGGGGCATCCCATGGAATCACTTCATCTGGCTGGGTGTCAGCCCGTCACTCTCTCTAGGTCCATCTGCAGCTTGGAAAGTCCCAGCCAAGTGTCTCCAGAGGGCTCTGGCAGTCGCTGTTTGCAACATTTGGGCATCTTGCAGCAGACACTGGGACCAGCACATGCTACGGGGTCTCTAAGCCATAGAGCCCCGGAGCAAGGGCTGCTTCATGCTGACCTCCTTGTATCTTTGTTTTGTTTCTTTCCCTGAGTCTTTGTTTTGTGCCTTCTCTTCCTGCAGGCTTGAGGAAGAGGTGTCAAATTCCCAGTAAGACTTGATCTAATCCAATGGGTGATTCTATCTGAGCCCTCCCTGAGCTGCTGCCAGCTCTGAGTCTGTGCTTTAGCTGGAAAGACTGTGAACCCATTCAGTGCTCTGGACCTGACAGGGCCATTAACATCCCTCCCCACCCAAAAGCCGAGTGAAAAATCCCATTTTCCCTCCTCCCATGGGAGGGCATGGCTCTGGGGCATCTACGTCTTATTTGAGACATCCCCCAACACATGCCAGATTTGAATCCCCTTCAAGTCTAACTCTCTTCCCTGCTGAAATCCTTGTTGTCCCCACTAGATGTCCTATTCCTCCAGCTAATGAAGGGATTTAAGACGAGGGCTTGAAAGAAAAAGGGAGAGGGGACAATTAAATCCCAACACAGGCTAGTAAAACTAATCACACTGAAGGTGGTTGGGGTGCGTGGGTGTTGGAGGGGGGGACTGGTGGCTCTCTGGAAAGTACACGTCTTTGCCTCTTCCTGAGTCTTTGCTAGCTTGGGGAAGAGGTTAGAAATTTCCAGTGTGATTTAGTCCAATCTGGTGGATGCTTCTATATGAACCCTCACCCAGCTGCTGTCAGCTTTGAGTCTGTGCTTTAATTAGAAAGGCTGCGAACCTGTCCAATCGCCCAATCCAGAAATGCCTGCAAGTGCCCCCTGCAGCAGTGTCATTAGAGCTTAGTACCACACAGGGAGTGTCTGAGGTCAGATCAGACGTGACCAGTGAAGTGAAAAACCCCCCAGCTGAGTACCTTGCTCATGGAAGATGGAAGGACATAACTGCACAGTACATAACTGTACCGGGAGCACCTAAAATCCAATTTTTCTGCTGATTCTTGAACCCTGCTTTGTCCCCCTTATTCCCCCCCCCCCCGCCATTTTACCAGTGCCACGTCCACCAACATTCCAGGGTGTCAAGTAACTGCCAAGTGTCACTCTAAGTAAAGCTACACCCACTCCCCACCACCTCCACATAGCCCCCACCTCCTAGCTGGCAGGGAGCTTCTGGCTTATGCCCACGCCCACAGGCGCCTTTCTGCCAGGTCAGGGGTGGGCCAAACCTCCACCCGCTAATGTACCATGCCCTGGTGCTGGAAAGTGCCTGAGCCAGCTGCCCCAGCGGCCTCAGCACTACCAAGTTGGCACAAAGCTCCCCAAATTCGGAGGGGCTCAGGGAAACGAGTGGAGGGGATGAGGAGGTGAGGGGTAAACCCATCATTTCAGTTGGCATTTGAGCAGGTGCCATGCTCAGCGGAGATGAGGCTCTCCCATCTGTAGGGGCCGTATTAACATGCACACTCTAAAAGTGCCCTTCGTTTCTCCAGCCTCAGCTTTGTCCCTCTCCTCCTCCACGTCAACCTGGCCAGAGGGTCTGGACGCCACAGCCAGGGCACCCCCTGCTTTGGTGGTGACTGCTAATATTGGCCAGGCCGGCGGATCATCGTCCAGGCAGTTTCGGCAGAGAGCCTTGGGCACCAGTGACTCCCCGGTCCTCTTTATCCACTGTCCAGGAGCTGCGGGGACTGCGCAGGGACTAGAGTACAGGTAACTGGGCTCCCATCCCTTGAGTGTGAGAGAAAAGCTGCACTTTAAGTGTTCAGGCGTGGGTGGGCCGGGAGCTTGGGGCAGCTGCCAGGATCCTGGTTTCTGAAGGAGGGGAAGAACTTCTGCTGCTGGAGGGTGCAGGGAAGCCTCCTGAGAGCAGCCTCAACTTCAGGGATGGGGTGTGCAGGAAAGGCCATTGTGGAGAGGGTTCTCCTTTAGGGCTGCACAAAGCCACTGAGGCTTTTGCAAGGAAAATAGGTTTTCCTTGACTAATTCACCAAGCAAAATGGGAGGGGTAGGGGAGGAGGGCTAGGCCGCTCTTCCCAGCGGGAACACACAGCTGTCTTCACAAGTGTGAAAGGAAGAGTCTTTCTGTGTGAAAAGTTTCCTCCCGTTGCATCCCCCATCCCATTCCCAGAGACAAACAGGAGACTTTGCAGAGGAGCCAGGGGCCCGAGATTCTGGCGCAGAGATTTTATTTATACATATATACACCATTTTACAGGTAAAGCTTCCTTCCCTCCTGCCTCCCTATGCCTCCTGACCACCAGCAAGAAATTGGACAGGAGACTGAGGAGAAATGCCGGGAGAGGCAACAACCGCCCTCCATGTCCCCCCTAGGTTTAGCTTCTCTCCTCCTGATGGCGCACCTGGTCCCCCTTGCTGCTCTCCCAGCCTCCCTGGCACAGAGAGGCGCCCTGGGGCCAAGGCAGTTTCCCTGGGAATGCTCATTCATGCATGAAGTTTTTCTCTGTTGCACCCTGGACCCAGACTCCTCGATCCACCCAGGGTGGTGTCTGTGGGGAGGGGGTTCATTTCCCCAGGAAGCACAGCCACGCCGTCCCTCACTGGCCTCGTCAAGCAGAGCTGTGTGTCCAGTGGCTTTTGCTGGGGCCCCCTCCTTATCTCCTTCCAAGGTGGGGGTGTTTGGAGGTGGAGGAGGCTTTCATATTCCGTGCCATGACCCCTCAAGGCGGGCCATTCGTGTGCACCCTCCACCCCCAGTGCCAGGCAGAAGCCCATCCTCACCCAGGAACAGGGCAGCCTGTCCAACAGAAGGGTCTCGGCCTCTCCATCAGCACCGGGAAGCCCTTTCTAGGCAAACTTCTCACCACTTCTTCCCTCCCTTATACTTTGAAAGAGGGAGCTCTAGGCAGGGGAGGGGCTAGAGGGGGAAGCCGCTGCCCAGATCCTGACAAGGTGACCTGAAGGAACCCGGGGAGGGGGATGGGACAGGGCTCAGGCTTGGGGTGTATGGGGAGGGGGGCTTTGCTTTTAAAAGAGGTCATCTCAGCAATATCTTTTTGTTTTTCCCCAGGGGCCGAAGAGTCACCACCGAGCTTGTGTGGGAGGAGGTGGATTCCAGCCCCCAGCCCCAGGGCTCTGAATCGCTGCCAGCTCAGCCCCCTGCCCAGCCTGCCCCACAGCCTGAGCCCCAGCAGGCCAGAGAGCCCAGTCCTGAGGTGAGCTGCTGTGGCCTGTGGCCCAGGCGACCCCAGCGCTCCCAGAACTGAGGCTGGCAGCCAGCCCCAGCCTCAGCCCCAACTGCGAGGCAGAGAGGTGAGTGTCTCAGGCACCCTGAGGCCTGGCAGAGAGGGCCACAGGCTCTGCGCGGGAGTCTTCGAACTGGGATCTCCCCCTTCTGCAAGCAGCTTTGGCTCAGAGAGGCTGGCGTGGATTCAGTCACACAGCTGGGATCTGGAGTTCCGTGGTTGGCTCCAGGTGCTTCCGTCTAGGGGCCAGAGCAGGTGTGGGCAGAGCAGGTTCCCCGCAGTCTCCACGGCACCGAGGTCCTGGCAGGGGAGCTCCTGGGAGACGAAAGAGGGCAAAGAAGGGGAGAGGGGCAGGGAGAGAGCGGGCAGCCAAAGGGGAGAAGATGGGGGGCAGAAAGTGGGTAGAGAGGGAAAAAGGGAAAATATCATTGGGGAAGAACCTAAAAACCCAAGGAAAGCTGGGCTCTGCTGGGGGCTGTGAGACCCCCGGGTTCTCCCCGCCCCAGGCTGCTGGCCATGGGGTCTTGCACCAATGGCCTGACCTTTCTGTCGGTCTGTATTTATCAAAGTGGGTGACAGTCTCAGGCCTCCTGGCTGTTCAGAATTGAGGTAATAACCAGAGGCCTTCTGAGCAAAGGGCCTAAGGGGCTCCGGCGTCAGGATCCCATTGTGGTCAGGAGCCTGCGGGGCTTCCCGTGTGCAAGAGGGGTGAAAGGTGGCTAGAAAGGCCCAGCCAGTGGCCTCTGCCTCAGCCAGAGGGAGCTCTGTAGTGGGGGCAGCACCCATTCACTGGTCAGGCACTGGGGTGACAGGGGAGGCTCCAGGACTTGGGGAGCGTTGGAGCTGGAGGCACATGGATTGGAGTCCCTGTACCTGCCCCACGACAGGGCCTGCAGGGAGGGATCCAGCAGGTGACTCTTCAGGCTGATTTGCCCATCCCAGATAGAAGCCGGGAGTGTTCTTTCAAAGGTGTCTTTACCTTAGACACTCAATAAAATGGTAACACAGTGGCGCCGCCTCAGTCCTTTGGAGTGTGCACCGTCTGAACCCCTCTCCCAGGGCCCTCTCCCAAGCACCCCAACCTGGACCCATATCCCCCACGTACTTTTGGCTTTGGGCAGATTGAGCAGCCTTGGGGTGGTCTGTGCTGTCTGGTGTGGAGGGTTGCAGTTCGGGTCCTTAGTCCTACTTCCCAGGCCGGCCGGGCTGACGCCAGCGAGTGTGTCCTTCCCCAGCGAGGGGAGTGAGCGCAAGGTCAGCGCCTCGTCTGCGGCGCCCTGCAGGGGGTGACGGAGGGGCGCTCTGAGGACCCTTGGAGAAAGGAGCTGGGTTTGTAAAATGCTGGGCTTGGTCCCACGGACGGCGGAGCGGTGAGCTCAGAGCCAGAGCTGGGGAGGAAATGGGAATGAGAAAGGCCCACTTCAGGGCTGGTGAGCGAGGGGATGGGGAGCAGCCACAGGCCGAGGCTGGGGCATGGGCCAGGCTCCATGGGGTGAGTCTGAGTCCTTGAGGGGATGTTCATCCTCTGTGGAATGTGGGTTTGCCAGTGGAGAGGAGACCAGCGTTGCCCTGGTGAGGTGCTGGTTCAGGGCTGGGGGGCGGACGCTGCTTGGGGCTAAAGTTCCTGCCGGCCAAGCTCTGGGTGGGAGGAGACCCTGGCCCCCTCCCAACACCCTTGGACTGCTGGCGGGACCCTTCCTACCTCCGGGGGCTGGAAGTAGTGGGGGAGGAGCCAGTCTTGAGGAAGAACCCCGATGCTGGTCTTGACTAGAGGGGAGCCGGTGTGCTTTTCGAGCCTCAGGGTGACCCGCGTCTGCCCCAGCCTCCAGCCTGCCCTGGTCACTTCTGACTAAATAAGGAGAGCACTCAGCAGGCAGCCCCACGAGGGAGGGGGAACATGTGTGCACCCCCACTCCCCCACCTGCTCCTCCCTCCCTACAGGGCCACTACACCCTGCTGTGGGCACCCCAAGGTGACCCTCAGCCTTCTTCCTACCTTAAAAAGTCCAGGCATGCATTTTCAAGCATGAGCGGTGGCCCCCTGGGGGAAGGCACCTCGGCAGGGCAGAACAAAGGGAAGGGACCCCCAAACAGGTCACTGGTGTAATTGTCCCCAGCACCCCCAAAGAGGAGGAGAACCCACAACTCGGAACTGGGGCTCACCCCCGATGCCCAACCTGTCCCCAGCCTGGGAAGCAGGCGTGGAGGAGAAGGTGGGGGGAGCCTAGAGCTGGCCCTGGGGGCCCTGGTTTTGTCCATGACGGGAGCCTCGGCAACCTAGTCCGCTCTCCCGGGGACCAGGTTTGCAGACAGGCACCTTTCAAATGCTCCTCACCCCCAAATTTACAAGTCACCCTGCAGAGGAAAACATCAACACAGCCAGGGGTTCTCTGCTGGAGGCTCCCCCTTCTATAGGCACAGCCGGAGAGGCCAGAGAGCTGGGGACACGGGGAGGCTGCAGAAGGCTGGTGGGAAGGGGGGCAGTGATGGGTGGGGAGAGATGGGCCAGATGTTCTTGGAATGGGACATGGGGGTGATTGATGCAGACAGAAATTTGAAGGGGACATTCCCACGTGTCTTGTTCTGTGGGTGGAAAATGGGCTGTTTTTCATGGTGGGGGCGGGTTCTCCCTGTCTTGCCAAGCTAATGTGAAAGAGATGCCTCATCCTGCCCAGCTCCCCACACCTGTCCAAGGCCATTAACTTCTGCCTCCCCAGTGTCAGGCTTTGAGATGCCCCCCTTCTAGCCGGGGTCCTCCTATGGGGTGACAATGGGGACAAGCAATGCCCACTGTAGTTGCCCCAGGATCCCCCACCATTCTGCTGGTCCCCAGCGGTGCCCCCTCTCTGGCAGTACCCCCACCCACCCCACAGGTCCCCTTAGGGCCACTGCCCCATCGCCCGACATTGCCCAACGCCAAGGGGTGACCTTGTTCCTGCCGACAGGGCCGTTGGGCGCCTGCATGCGGGTTTAATATTTGCCTATAAGGAACTGGGCTTTCCCCAGCCGGAGTGGACAGACTTTCCCTGAAAATTCGCTTGGAGAGAACGAAAAGAGACCCCTGGCACCCCAGCGGCGTGCAGCCCTGCACCCCCCTCCTCCCGGGCCCCGTGTTTCTCATTTTCCTCCCCACTTCCTCTGCTCTTCAGTGTTACCCAAACAAAACTGGTTTCACCCTTGTTTGGTGCTGGCGAAGGCCCGAACGGCGCGCGCAAAGCTCCGGGGCAGGCCGGAGGTGGCCACCGGGGGTGCTCCGGGCCCCCAAGCCAAGCCGGGGACTAGCCTGCCCCCGGTGGCGGCTCGGCCGCGGCTTCGCCTAGGCTCGCAGCGCGGAGGCGAGTGGGGCGCAGTGGCGAGGGGGAGCCTGCGGACCTCCCACGCGGGGACCGAGCAGGTATCTGGGAGTCCCGGGAGCGCCCGGGAAGCAGCGTCCTGGTCGCTCCCTCGCGGCCCTTGGGTTTCTTCCTTACACCCGGACGCCCGCTAAGCTCGGGCTGCCGCCACAAACGCGCTCTCCGTGTGGAGAAGGCAAAGAAAAAAAAAAATAAAAGCAAAAGGAAGAAAAACCCCAAAGAACGAAAAGCAGAATTTCAGCCGGCCGTGCGCGCCAGGGCGCTCCGCGCTACCTGCCCGCGCCGCCCGCGCTCGGGTTCCCGGGGAGGGCGCCAGTGCTCCGCGCGCGCCCCAGCCAAGGTGAATCCCCGGCAGCGCCTTCCTTCCGCTGCCCGGGAAGCTTGAGCTCAACAATTAGCCCTTGATCCTCGGGGGATTCCAATCCACGGAACAACTTCCCTGCTTTCCCCGAACTCGGACATTTTACTTTTTCTGGGATCCTCTAAATTTAAGCATTGCTTCCCAAGTCTTCTAAATATACTCACCATTTCGACGGGTCACAATAATTTTCTTGGACGTTAATTTCCGGGGACGTCAAAACACATCAGTCCCGGCGGGCTTTTCCAGACTTACACTATGTGGCCTGGGGCCCCAGATGTGCTTTCTCCCAGGCTCTGGACAGTTTTATACACCCCCTCCAGGTCCCACAGATTTACAGGCCACTAACCCGGCTTCCCTAATTTTAAAGACGAAGCCCTTGGTCCGTGGTGGTCGCGCTGACCAATTTGCCTGGCTCCCCAGGATGTGGACAGTGCCTTTTCCACATTTAGGCATTGTTTCCAAAACAAGTGGAACTTTCCCGCATAATTTTGAATATTAACTCCAGGGTCTCCTAAGCTTACTGTTTCCGGCACACGTCCGCCCCATTCCGCGCCCCCCCACCCCACCCCCGCGCCCCTTCCCGTTCACCTCAGCATGGGACATTTGCTGTTGGGTCCCGCAAATCTATTCACACTAACCTGGGTTCCCTAAACTTTACACGTTGAATCCCAAGTCCCTCATGACACTCAGCAGGGCTGGAAGGTTGGAACCCTCAGAGTATGAAAATTGCTTCCCATACCTTCCCCCAAATTCGGTCATTACACCCAGAGCATGTTGAATCCTTTTCTGAATCATAAACGACCTGCCCTCTGATTGCCTGAGTTTCATAAAATGGAGGGATTTCCCCAGTGATTCCCCAAAGCTATTGAGAATGTTGTGGGTGTGTGAGTCACAAAGCTTTGGGGCATTAACGTCTATGGCTCTATATGCTGCCTGGCCACGAATCAGGTCCCTTAAGATGTAGACAGTGCCACCCAGGTCCCTGGAGCACACTGAGCAGTTACCAGGAGGTGCTCAAGTGTGACCCAGGATTCTCCAGGTCCCCCCAAATCACACAGGGTCTCCCGGGTCCCTCTGGGCTACACCAAGCACAAAAGGACCCCTTGGGCAGAGCCTACTTTTATTTCTGTTATGCCAGGTGTTGCTAACGGCCCCAGTTCCCAAACATTCCGAGCACTTTCTCTGCATCACAACATATTGACTATTAAACAATTCTCTGGGTCCCAGGAGCTTCATAACAAGAATCTTGCTTTTCTAAAATTCAGGCATTGGTCTGAAACCCCAACGGCCAGGATCACACTGGACCCTTTTCCTGGTCCCCCATACTTGGATGTTCTGGACGCTGCCCTCCAGGCCCTCTAGGAACATTCAGCATTGCCCTCGGATCACAGGACAGCACTGATTTCTTGGGCTCCAAACAACCCACTGAGTCATCTCAAAGTTAAGCAATATTTCCTTCAAGCACACTGCACACTCCCTATCACAAAATCTGAAAATTCCTAAGTCCTAAGACCTAGGAATTCTGAATCCCCTTTCTTTAAAATGTACATATGGACCCCCAAGTCCTCCAAGGACTCTGAGCAACTTCCCTAGATCTTTAGATTCAAAAACGATTTTCCTGGAGCCCCCAAATTGCGGTATTGTCTCCCAGCCTTCCAAAGCAAATTGAGATTTTTTTCCCTTCACAAAACAATTGAGGTTTTTTTTTTTTTAATACTGATTTATGAGTCTCCTGACTTTATGGTCCCTGCCCTGGGTCCCCCTACATTTAGAAAATGTTCCATGGACCCCCAAAGCACACTAAAAAATGTCCCTGGGTCCCAAGAAATCCCAGGCATGGAAAAACCTGCGACCTATAAGTTTCCTAGCTACTAACTAGGTTTCCAGAAATTTAGATATCAAATCTCCATTGGGTAATTTCCATGTGTCCCAAAAACTTGAAATGTGTTTCACTGGGGCTCCCCCAAATGCAGACGACATCCAGGAAAATATATAGTCTTTTTCTTATTTACCAAAAATAAGCTAATGGAAATCATTTAAAAATTAGCATAGAAAAATAATACTGATTTTTTATTTTTTTATTTTTTATTTTGCTTTCCCCAAATGTACTGATCACACTCCAGGCTCCCCCAAAATCTAGACAGTGCTTTCTTCCATCTCTGAAGGGTGTTAAAACCTTTCCCTGAAGCCACAGTAATTATGAAGGTTATTTTTTCCCCGGCTGCTGCCAGCGTCCAGGCCACTAACTTATATTCTTAAGATGTGAAAATTAATCTCAGCTTCCCCCTAACACACCAAGAATGTGTTTGGATCCCCAAAATGTGTTCCTTGCTTTCATCTGCCAATTTTACGTAATATGGCTCTACGGCAAAATTCCCAATTTCATATGGAGAATTTTCTTTAACTACCCCTCCTCACAAATTGGTCCCCCAAGCTAGCTGGCCCCTATTTGAGACCTCTTTCTCTATGTTCCCAATTGCATGGAGCAACTTCTCTCATCCCCCAAACCTGTAATCTATTTTTCTGGAGTCTCGAGTTTAGTCATTAATCACGGTTCCCACATTAACGGAGTCCCCGGGGTCCCCTCCTCCAGGACACCCATTCGCTAAGCCCGCAAGGCAGAAAGAACTCTGCCTTGCGTTCCCCAAAATTTGGGCATTGTTCCCGGCTCGCCGGCCACCCACTGCAGCTTCCCCAACCCCGCGCACAGCGGGCACTGGTTTCGGGCCTCTCTGTCTCCTACGAAGTCCCCAGAGCAACTCGGATTTGGGAAATTTCTCTCTAGCGTTGCCCAAACACACTTGGGTCGGCCGCGCGCCCTCAGGACGTGGACAGGGAGGGCTTCCCCGTGTCCAGGAAAGCGACCGGGCATTGCCCCCAGTCTCCCCCAAATTTGGGCATTGTCCCCGGGTCTTCCAACGGACTGGGCGTTGCTCCCGGACACTGAGGACTGGCCCCGGGGTCTCGCTCACCTTCAGCAGCGTCCACCGCCTGCCACAGAGCGTTCGATCGCTCGCTGCCTGAGCTCCTGGTGCGCCCGCGGACGCAGCCTCCAGCTTCGCGGTGAGCTCCCCGCCGCGCCGATCCCCTCCGCCTCTGCGCCCCTGACCGGCTCTCGGCCCGCATCTGCTGCTGTCCCGCCGGTGCTGGCGCTCGTCTCCGGCTGCCGCCGGGGAGGCCGGCGTGGGGCGCGGGACACGGCTGCGGACTTGCGGCTGGCGGCTGCGCTCGCTCCTGCTGGGCGCCCCGAAATCCGCGCCACTTTCGTTTGCTCATTGCAAAGATCTCATTTGTGGGGAAAGCGGCTGGAGGGTCCCAAAGTGGGGCGGGCAGGGGGCTGGGGCGAGGGACGCGGAGGAGAGGCGCTCCCGCCGGGCGGTAAAGTGCCTCTAGCCCGCGGGCCTAGGACTCCGCCGGGAGGCGCGCGCGGAGCGCGGGCGAAGTGATTGATGGCGGAGCGAGGGGGGCGAGGGGGGCCAGGGGGGCGCGAGATTCCGCCGGCGGCCCCTTCCCCTTGGCTAGGCTTAGGCGGCGGGGGGCTGGCGGGGTGCGGGATTTTGTGCGTGGTTTTTGACTTGGTAAAAATCACAGTGCTTTCTTACATCGTTCAAACTCTCCAGGAGATGGTTTCCCCAGACCCCCAAATTATCGTGGTGGCCCCCGAGACCGAACTCGCGTCTATGCAAGTCCAACGCACTGAGGACGGGGTAACCATTATCCAGATATTTTGGGTGGGCCGCAAAGGCGAGCTACTTAGACGCACCCCGGTGAGCTCGGCCATGCAGGTAGGATTTGAGCTGTGTTTCCCGCCCTGATCCTCTCTCCTCTGGCGGCCGGAGCCTCCGTAGGCTCCAAGCCTGGCCCAGATTCGGCCCGGCGCAGCCGGCCTTCCGCGCGTCCCGCACCTGGCGGGGGCTCCGGGGCTCCGGCGCGGCACCGGGGGGCGCTCGGGATCTGGCTGAGGCTCCAAGCGCCGCGTGGCCGGCTCCTCCTGCTGGGGCAGGTGGCGGCTGCGCGCCCCGCCCGAGCCCAGGGGCCCCCTCAGCCGCAACAACCAGCAAGGACCCCCCGACTCAGCCCCAAGCCACCTGCATCTGCACTCAGACGGGGCGCACCCGCAGTGCAGCCTCCTGGTGGGGCGCTGGGAGCCCGCCTGCCCCTGCCTGCCCGGAGACCCCAGCTCACGAGCACAGGCCGCCCGGGCACCCCAGAAACCCGGGATGGGGCCCCTGAATTCTCTAGAACGGGCATTCAGCATGGCCTTGGCGCTCTGCGGCTCCCTGCCCCCCACCCAGCCTCGCCCCCGCGCACCCCCCAGCCCCTGCGACCGCCGCCCCCCCCCCGGGGCCCCAGGGCCCCCAGCCCGCACCCCCCGCCCCGCTCTTGGCTCGGGTTGCGGGGGCGGGCCGGGGGCGGGGCGAGGGCTCCGCGGGCGCCCATTGGCGCGGGCGCGAGGCCAGCGAGGCCCGCGCGGGCCCTGGGCCGCGGGCTGGCGCGACTATAAGAGCCGGGCGTGGGCGCCCGCAGTTCGCCTGCTCTCCGGCGGAGCTGCGTGAGGCCCGGCCGGCCCCGGCCCCCCCCTTCCGGCCGCCCCCGCCTCCTGGCCCACGCCTGCCCGCGCTCTGCCCACCAGCGCCTCCATCGGGCAAGGCGGCCCCGCGTCGACGCCGCCCGCTGCCTCGCTGCTGACTCCCGTCCCGGGCGCCGTCCGCGGGGTCGCGCTCCGCCGGGCCTGCGGATTCCCCGCCGCCTCCTCTTCATCTACCTCAACTCCCCCCATCCCCGCTTCGCCCGAGGAGGCGGTTCCCCCCGCAGGCAGTCCGGCTCGCAGGCCGCCGGCGTTGTCACCCCCCCCCGCGCTCCCCCTCCAGCCCTCCCCCCGGCGCGCAGCCTCGGGCCGCTCCCCTTTCCGCGCTGCGTCCCGGAGCGGCCCCGGTGCCGCCACCGCCTGTCCCCCTCCCGAGGCCCGGGCTCGCGACGGCAGAGGGCTCCGTCGGCCCAAACCGAGCTGGGCGCCCGCGGTCCGGGTGCAGCCTCCACTCCGCCCCCCAGTCACCGCCTCCCCCGGCCCCTCGACGTGGCGCCCTTCCCTCCGCTTCTCTGTGCTCCCCGCGCCCCTCTTGGCGTCTGGCCCCGGCCCCCGCTCTTTCTCCCGCAACCTTCCCTTCGCTCCCTCCCGTCCCCCCCAGCTCCTAGCCTCCGACTCCCTCCCCCCCTCACGCCCGCCCTCTCGCCTTCGCCGAACCAAAGTGGATTAATTACACGCTTTCTGTTTCTCTCCGTGCTGTTCTCTCCCGCTGTGCGCCTGCCCGCCTCTCGCTGTCCTCTCTCCCCCTCGCCCTCTCTTCGGCCCCCCCCTTTCACGTTCACTCTGTCTCTCCCACTATCTCTGCCCCCCTCTATCCTTGATACAACAGCTGACCTCATTTCCCGATACCTTTTCCCCCCCGAAAAGTACAACATCTGGCCCGCCCCAGCCCGAAGACAGCCCGTCCTCCCTGGACAATCAGACGAATTCTCCCCCCCCCCCCAAAAAAAAGCCATCCCCCCGCTCTGCCCCGTCGCACATTCGGCCCCCGCGACTCGGCCAGAGCGGCGCTGGCAGAGGAGTGTCCGGCAGGAGGGCCAACGCCCGCTGTTCGGTTTGCGACACGCAGCAGGGAGGTGGGCGGCAGCGTCGCCGGCTTCCAGGTAAGCGGCGTGTGCGGGCCGGGCCGGGGCCGGGGCTGGGGCGGCGCGGGCTTGCGCCGGACGCCCGGCCCTTCCTCCGCCCGCTCCCGGCCCGGGGCCTGCGGGGCTCGGCGGGGCGGCTGAGCCCGGGGGGGAGGAGGAGGAGGAGGAGGAGGACGGACGGCTGCGGGTCCCGTTCCCTGCGCGGAGCCCCGCGCTCACCCTGGCGGCGGAGCTGGGGGTGGGGTGGGGGCGTCGGGAAGGGCCGAGGGAGGTGTGAGGTGTCTGCAGGGGCGACTTCCCGGTCGGTCTGTGGGTGCAGGGGGTGCCGCCTCACATGTGTGATTCGTGCCTTGCGGGCCCTGGCCTCCGGGGTGCTGGGTAACGAGGAGGGGCGCGGAGCCGCAGAAGCCCACCCTGGTATGTTGACGCGGTGCCAGCGAGACCGCGAGAGGAAGACGGGGGTGGGCGGGGCCAGGATGGAGAGGGGCCGAGTTGGCAGGAGTCATGGCAGACGCCACATTCGCGACATCTCCCCCACACCCCCTCTGGCTCTGTCCGCAACATTTCCAAACAGGAGTCCCGGGAGAGGGGGAGAGGGGCTGCTGGTCTGAGGCTAAGAAGGGCAGAGCCTTCGACCCGGAGAGAGGCCGCGGCCCCTGCCCAGTGGGCAGCGTGGAAGTTTCCATACAAGGAGGTGGGAAGGAGACCCCCCCCCCCTTCACTGCCCTGTGCAGAGATGAGCCGGGGGTGCAGGATGGGAGCCCATGGCACTTCGCTACGGGATGGTCCAGGGCTCCCGGTTGGGGGTGCAGGAGAGAAGAGACTGGCTGGGAGGAGGGAGAGGGCGGGAGCAAAGGCGCGGGGGAGTGGTCAGCAGGGAGAGGGGTGGGGGGTAGGGTGGAGCCCGGGCTGGGAGGAGTCGGCTCACACATAAAAGCTGAGGCACTGACCAGCCTGCAAACTGGACATTAGCTTCTCCTGTGAAAGAGACTTCCAGCTTCCTCCTCCTCCTCTTCCTCCTCCTCCTCCTGCCCCAGCGAGCCTTCTGCTGAGCTGTAGGTAACCAGGGCTGTGGAGTGAGGACCCCCGCTGCCATCCCACTCCAGCCTGAGGCAGGGCAGCAGGGGGCACGGCCCACGCCTGGGCCTCGGGCCCTGCAGCCGCCAGCCCGCTGCCTCTCGGACAGCACCCCCCTCCCCTCTTTTCCTCTGCCCCTGCCCCCACCTGGTCTCTGCTCCCTCACCTGCTCCTTCCCTTTCTGTTCCTTCCCTTCGGCCCCCTCCTTGCCCAGCTCAGGACTTTTCCTGGGCCCTCACCTGCTCCGCACCGCTGCATGCTTCCTGTCCTGCTTTCTGCCGGTCCCCTGACCCGGACCTCCAAGTTCAGAGTGGTGGGGCTTGTTGCGGAAGCGCGGCGAGGGCTAGAGTGGCCAGCTGGCGGAGTGTGCTCTTAGAATTTGGAAGGGGGTGGCAGAGGGGGCGGTGAGAGGACTGGCCAGGGTCCAGTCAAGGAGATGACCAAGGAGGCTTTCAGATCCTCGGCGCAGCTGCCCACTAGTCTTTAGAGAGGGCATGCAAAGTTGTGCTTCTGTCCCACTGCCTGCTCAGTCGCTCACATAATTTATTGCATCAAAAACTCCCCTGGGTCTGCGGAGCGAAGGCTGGGGCTGCCCGCCTGGAGGGTTCCACCTTCTGCAGGGGCAGGGCCAACTTGCTGTGGTGGCTCCCGGCCTCCCACCCCCGAGTGGGTTAACCCGGCCCTGTGGCCCTGCAGCCTGTGGAGGGGGTGTGTCCTAAGACTGGCCTCCCCTTCCAGATTGTAGTCTGGGGAACCTGGTGTCGGACTTCCCAGGTGGCCTGAGCTGGTCTCTCCAGCTCCCACGGGGAGAGTTTGGTAGCGCAAATAGGGAGATGTTCTGGAGGCCCCTGGCCTTACTGGTTCGATTTGAGGCCTGGAAAGGAGGCTCTGGGCGTGTGTGTGTGTGTTTGGGGGTACCCAAGGCAGACTGGAGTTGGAGAACTGGGTGACTGGGAAAACAAGGTTTCTAGAGCATGGGTGGCGTGGTTGTGTTAACCATTGGAGTCCTTGACCCAGGCCTGGCTCAGCTGCAGACTGGAAAGGTGGAAAAGCCAGGGGGAGGGGCGGGGCTGGCCCAGCAGGACTGGCCTGCTGCTTTGAGGGCGATGGTCCTCCTGGACCCCCCCTGCTCAGCTGGGGGTTGTGGGGAGGAAGGGACTGGTCCTCCTGGATGCACATGCTCTGTAGGGGTGGGGCTGTCTGCCATCTTGGCTGGCGCTGGAGGCCTGAGAAGTGGCGATGTGACGCTGGGCTGGCCCTGCCCCCATGGTGTCATAGGACGGAGGCCAGGTCGGGTGTCCAGCCTGGGCCCCTGCAGCTGTGGATGCCGCTGAGCTCCTGCAATAATGACCGTGGAGATGGTCACCCCTCGTGTAAAATTACTAGTGCTTCTTGCAAATGGAAGGAACTGGGCCTTTTCTGTGTGCTTCTGGACGCTTCATTCTGCACATGGCCCTGCGCCCTCACCTCGGCATTATGACCTGTGTGTTACTTTTGTAATAAAAATAATGTTTATAGGAAAGCCGTGCTTTCAATTTTCAACTGAATTTGTAGGTTGGCAAATTTGGTTTGGGAGGGGCACCTCTGGCCTGGGGCTTGGCCTGGCTGCCCCGCTCACGCCACTTCTCTCCCGCCCCCAGACACCAATGGGAATCCCAATGGGGAAGTCGATGCTGGTGCTTCTCACCTTCTTGGCCTTCGCCTCGTGCTGCATTGCTGCTTACCGCCCCAGTGAGACCCTGTGCGGCGGGGAGCTGGTGGACACCCTCCAGTTCGTCTGTGGGGACCGCGGCTTCTACTTCAGTAAGTAGCTGGGAGGGGCTTCCTCAGACCTGGTCAGGCCCCTAGAGTGACCGGTGAGGACGCCCAACCTCAAGCCAGGGGAGCACACTCCTAGGTCAGCAGCCCAGCCGCTTGCTCTGAGACTTTGACCTTCCCGCCGCGTTTCTGAGCACGTGCGGTGTCCCAGGGCATCCACACCAGCTGCCTTTCCCATCACACGCCTCCTTCGAAGGGTGGGCCAGAGGTGCCCCCTAGACGTCAGGGGCACTCACAGGGGTCTCCCTGGGCATCAGAATTTCTGTTGGGGGCCGTGAGGCTCCTGCTCCTGAGGCACCGCACGCCTAGTGCAGGGCTTCAGGCTCTGGAGGAAGAGCCTGCCTTTCTTCCTGCACCTTTTGGACATTCTGACAAGGGACGTGCGTTCGGTGAATGATCAGAATTAAAATCAATAAAGTGATTTATATAATTAAAATCAATAAGACAAGTGCAGTTGGTGGGTGGCAGGGGTGAGCGGTGCATGCGCCTCCTTGGGCCCCAAGGCTGCCGTGGGGGGTGCCCACCTGCTGACCTCAAGGACGCTTCAGCCTTTCCTCATGTTTCTCTCTTGGTTCTCCAGCCTGGGGGCTGGCAGGTGGGTGCATGGCCCATTGTCCTTGAGACCCCACCCCCAGATAGGGGGGCTGGGTGGATGCAGAGGCAGGCATGGTGCCTGGGCATGCCTGATGGGGCAGGGGAGGGGCCGCTCCTTACTGGCAGAGGCCGCACGGCTTATTCCACCTGACACTCACCACGTGACATCTTTACCACCACTGCTTACTCACGCTGTGAAATGGGCTCACAGGATGCAAATGCACTTCAAAGCTTCTCTCTGAAAAGTTCCTGCTGCTTGACTCTGGAAGCCCCTGCCCGCCCTGGCCTCTCCTGTGCCCTCTCTCTTGCCTGCCCCATTTGGGGGTAGGAAGTGGCACTGCAGGGCCTGGTGCCAGCCAGTCCTTGCCCAGGGAGAAGCTTCCCTGCACCAGGCTTTCCTGAGAGGAGGGGAGGGCCAAGCCCCCACTTGGGGGACCCCCGTGATGGGGCTCCTGCTCCCTCCTCCGGCTGATGGCACCTGCCCTTTGGCACCCCAAGGTGGAGCCCCCAGCGACCTTCCCCTTCCAGCTGAGCATTGCTGTGGGGGAGAGGGGGAAGACGGGAGGAAAGAAGGGAGTGGTTCCATCACGCCTCCTCACTCCTCTCCTCCCGTCTTCTCCTCTCCTGCCCTTGTCTCCCTGTCTCAGCAGCTCCAGGGGTGGTGTGGGCCCCTCCAGCCTCCTAGGTGGTGCCAGGCCAGAGTCCAAGCTCAGGGACAGCAGTCCCTCCTGTGGGGGCCCCTGAACTGGGCTCACATCCCACACATTTTCCAAACCACTCCCATTGTGAGCCTTTGGTCCTGGTGGTGTCCCTCTGGTTGTGGGACCAAGAGCTTGTGCCCATTTTTCATCTGAGGAAGGAGGCAGCAGAGGCCACGGGCTGGTCTGGGTCCCACTCACCTCCCCTCTCACCTCTCTTCTTCCTGGGACGCCTCTGCCTGCCAGCTCTCACTTCCCTCCCCTGACCCGCAGGGTGGCTGCGTCCTTCCAGGGCCTGGCCTGAGGGCAGGGGTGGTTTGCTCCCCCTTCAGCCTCCGGGGGCTGGGGTCAGTGCGGTGCTAACACGGCTCTCTCTGTGCTGTGGGACTTCCAGGCAGGCCCGCAAGCCGTGTGAGCCGTCGCAGCCGTGGCATCGTTGAGGAGTGCTGTTTCCGCAGCTGTGACCTGGCCCTCCTGGAGACGTACTGTGCTACCCCCGCCAAGTCCGAGAGGGACGTGTCGACCCCTCCGACCGTGCTTCCGGTGAGGGTCCTGGGCCCCTTTCCCACTCTCTAGAGACAGAGAAATAGGGCTTCGGGCGCCCAGCGTTTCCTGTGGCCTCTGGGACCTCTTGGCCAGGGACAAGGACCCGTGACTTCCTTGCTTGCTGTGTGGCCCGGGAGCAGCTCAGACGCTGGCTCCTTCTGTCCCTCTGCCCGTGGACATTAGCTCAAGTCACTGATCAGTCACAGGGGTGGCCTGTCAGGTCAGGCGGGCGGCTCAGGCGGAAGAGCGTGGAGAGCAGGCACCTGCTGACCAGCCCCTTCCCCTCCCAGGACAACTTCCCCAGATACCCCGTGGGCAAGTTCTTCCAATATGACACCTGGAAGCAGTCCACCCAGCGCCTGCGCAGGGGCCTGCCTGCCCTCCTGCGTGCCCGCCGGGGTCACGTGCTCGCCAAGGAGCTCGAGGCGTTCAGGGAGGCCAAACGTCACCGTCCCCTGATTGCTCTACCCACCCAAGACCCCGCCCACGGGGGCGCCCCCCCAGAGATGGCCAGCAATCGGAAGTGAGCAAAACTGCCGCAAGTCTGCAGCCCGGCGCCACCATCCTGCAGCCTCCTCCTGACCACGGACGTTTCCATCAGGTTCCATCCCGAAAATCTCTCGGTTCCACGTCCCCCTGGGGCTTCTCCTGACCCAGTCCCCGTGCCCCGCCTCCCCGAAACAGGCTACTCTCCTCGGCCCCCTCCATCGGGCTGAGGAAGCACAGCAGCATCTTCAAACATGTACAAAATCGATTGGCTTTAAACACCCTTCACATACCCTCCCCCCAAATTATCCCCAATTATCCCCACACATAAAAAATCAAAACATTAAACTAACCCCCTTCCCCCCCCCCCACAACAACCCTCTTAAAACTAATTGGCTTTTTAGAAACACCCCACAAAAGCTCAGAAATTGGCTTTAAAAAAAACAACCACCAAAAAAAATCAATTGGCTAAAAAAAAAAAGTATTAAAAACGAATTGGCTGAGAAACAATTGGCAAAATAAAGGAATTTGGCACTCCCCACCCCCCTCTTTCTCTTCTCCCTTGGACTTTGAGTCAAATTGGCCTGGACTTGAGTCCCTGAACCAGCAAAGAGAAAAGAAGGACCCCAGAAATCACAGGTGGGCACGTCGCTGCTACCGCCATCTCCCTTCTCACGGGAATTTTCAGGGTAAACTGGCCATCCGAAAATAGCAACAACCCAGACTGGCTCCTCACTCCCTTTTCCATCACTAAAAATCACAGAGCAGTCAGAGGGACCCAGTAAGACCAAAGGAGGGGAGGACAGAGCATGAAAACCAAAATCCATGCAAATGAAATGTAATTGGCACGACCCTCACCCCCAAATCTTACATCTCAATTCCCATCCTAAAAAGCACTCATACTTTATGCATCCCCGCAGCTACACACACACAACACACAGCACACGCATGAACACAGCACACACACGAGCACAGCACACACACAAACGCACAGCACACACAGCACACAGATGAGCACACAGCACACACACAAACGCACAGCACACACACGCACACACATGCACACACAGCACACAAACGCACGGCACACACACGCACACACATGCACACACAGCACACACACAAACGCACAGCACACACAAACGCACAGCACACACGCACACACAGCACACACACGAGCACACAGCACACAAACGCACAGCACACGCACACACATGCACACACAGCACACACACTAGCACACAGCACACACACAAAGACACAGCACACACATGCACACACAGCACACACACGCGAACACAGCACACACGAACACAGCACACACAGCACACACACAAACACAGCACACACATGCACACAGCACACGCACACACAGCACACACATGAACACAGCACACAGCACACACATGCACACACAGCACACACGCATGCACAGCACACATGAACACAGCACACACACAAACACACAGCACACACATGCACACACAGCACACACACTCATGCGCAGCACATACATGAACACAGCTCACAGCACACAAACACGCAGCACACACGTTGCACACGCAAGCACCCACCTGCACACACACATGCGCACACACACGCACACCCCCACAAAATTGGATGAAAACAATAAGCATATCTAAGCAACTACGATATCTGTATGGATCAGGCCAAAGTCCCGCTAAGATTCTCCAATGTTTTCATGGTCTGAGCCCCGCTCCTGTTCCCATCTCCACTGCCCCTCGGCCCTGTCTGTGCCCTGCCTCTCAGAGGAGGGGGCTCAGATGGTGCGGCCTGAGTGTGCGGCCGGCGGCATTTGGGATACACCCGTAGGGTGGGCGGGGTGTGTCCCAGGCCTAATTCCATCTTTCCACCATGACAGAGATGCCCTTGTGAGGCTGGCCTCCTTGGCGCCTGTCCCCACGGCCCCCGCAGCGTGAGCCACGATGCTCCCCATACCCCACCCATTCCCGATACACCTTACTTACTGTGTGTTGGCCCAGCCAGAGTGAGGAAGGAGTTTGGCCACATTGGAGATGGCGGTAGCTGAGCAGACATGCCCCCACGAGTAGCCTGACTCCCTGGTGTGCTCCTGGAAGGAAGATCTTGGGGACCCCCCCACCGGAGCACACCTAGGGATCATCTTTGCCCGTCTCCTGGGGACCCCCCAAGAAATGTGGAGTCCTCGGGGGCCGTGCACTGATGCGGGGAGTGTGGGAAGTCTGGCGGTTGGAGGGGTGGGTGGGGGGCAGTGGGGGCTGGGCGGGGGGAGTTCTGGGGTAGGAAGTGGTCCCGGGAGATTTTGGATGGAAAAGTCAGGAGGATTGACAGCAGACTTGCAGAATTACATAGAGAAATTAGGAACCCCCAAATTTCATGTCAATTGATCTATTCCCCCTCTTTGTTTCTTGGGGCATTTTTCCTTTTTTTTTTTTTTTTGTTTTTTTTTTACCCCTCCTTAGCTTTATGCGCTCAGAAACCAAATTAAACCCCCCCCCCATGTAACAGGGGGGCAGTGACAAAAGCAAGAACGCACGAAGCCAGCCTGGAGACCACCACGTCCTGCCCCCCGCCATTTATCGCCCTGATTGGATTTTGTTTTTCATCTGTCCCTGTTGCTTGGGTTGAGTTGAGGGTGGAGCCTCCTGGGGGGCACTGGCCACTGAGCCCCCTTGGAGAAGTCAGAGGGGAGTGGAGAAGGCCACTGTCCGGCCTGGCTTCTGGGGACAGTGGCTGGTCCCCAGAAGTCCTGAGGGCGGAGGGGGGGGTTGGGCAGGGTCTCCTCAGGTGTCAGGAGGGTGCTCGGAGGCCACAGGAGGGGGCTCCTGGCTGGCCTGAGGCTGGCCGGAGGGGAAGGGGCTAGCAGGTGTGTAAACAGAGGGTTCCATCAGGCTGGGGCAGGGTGGCCGCCTTCCGCACACTTGAGGAACCCTCCCCTCTCCCTCGGTGACATCTTGCCCGCCCCTCAGCACCCTGCCTTGTCTCCAGGAGGTCCGAAGCTCTGTGGGACCTCTTGGGGGCAAGGTGGGGTGAGGCCGGGGAGTAGGGAGGTCAGGCGGGTCTGAGCCCACAGAGCAGGAGAGCTGCCAGGTCTGCCCATCGACCAGGTTGCTTGGGCCCCGGAGCCCACGGGTCTGGTGATGCCATAGCAGCCACCACCGCGGCGCCTAGGGCTGCGGCAGGGACTCGGCCTCTGGGAGGTTTACCTCGCCCCCACTTGTGCCCCCAGCTCAGCCCCCCTGCACGCAGCCCGACTAGCAGTCTAGAGGCCTGAGGCTTCTGGGTCCTGGTGACGGGGCTGGCATGACCCCGGGGGTCGTCCATGCCAGTCCGCCTCAGTCGCAGAGGGTCCCTCGGCAAGCGCCCTGTGAGTGGGCCATTCGGAACATTGGACAGAAGCCCAAAGAGCCAAATTGTCACAATTGTGGAACCCACATTGGCCTGAGATCCAAAACGCTTCGAGGCACCCCAAATTACCTGCCCATTCGTCAGGACACCCACCCACCCAGTGTTATATTCTGCCTCGCCGGAGTGGGTGTTCCCGGGGGCACTTGCCGACCAGCCCCTTGCGTCCCCAGGTTTGCAGCTCTCCCCTGGGCCACTAACCATCCTGGCCCGGGCTGCCTGTCTGACCTCCGTGCCTAGTCGTGGCTCTCCATCTTGTCTCCTCCCCGTGTCCCCAATGTCTTCAGTGGGGGGCCCCCTCTTGGGTCCCCTCCTCTGCCATCACCTGAAGACCCCCACGCCAAACACTGAATGTCACCTGTGCCTGCCGCCTCGGTCCACCTTGCGGCCCGTGTTTGACTCAACTCAACTCCTTTAACGCTAATATTTCCGGCAAAATCCCATGCTTGGGTTTTGTCTTTAACCTTGTAACGCTTGCAATCCCAATAAAGCATTAAAAGTCATGATCTTCTGAGTGTTCCACTCTCTGACTTGGGTACTGGACTGCCAGAGGGAGGGAAGGGGCTGAGCACCTGGAAGCAGGCAGAGGGGGATAGAAGAGGGAAGGGGAAGGAAGGCCTTAGGGGTGTGGACACCTCTCTCCGTCCCCTGATCACATACATGGAGAAATGAGAGAGCTGGAAGCCAGACTCTCAGACTCACTGTCGTGCACCTGAAGCCAGGGGGTCTGGGACAGTGTCAGGCACCAAGTTCTCAAAGATGGGGGTGCCACGAAGGGTAGGAGCCTGGGGGGCTTTTTCAGAGAAAAAGCAAAGTACCATCAGTACCAACTCCAGGGAATGCCTCCCCCACCAACAGCCTTAGAGGACTGGGGCTGGGCAACCTCTAAAAGGTTCTGGAAACCGTATCTGTGGCTGGAGATGGGGGCTCAGGGCCACTCTCACCCAGGGACTCAGCCCCCTTCCAAGGTTGAGGCTGCCCAGATGTCATTAGTACCACTGCCTCCTGCCAGGGCTCAGCCTGTACCCACCTGTCCCAAGGGTGCTGGCCTCTAGCTTTCAAGGGTCCCTGAGCATGGGAGGAGGGGTAGGCTGGGCTGCTGGGAGCCTGGCCCAGCCTCTTCTCTCCATCCCCCTCCAGGAACTTTCCAGCAGCCTTGGGCAGTGGATCTGCCTGTGCCCCGCCTGCTGTGGGGATGGAGGGACAGGGGCGCCACAGAAGGAGCCCAGAAGTGTGCCCAGGGCCCTGCAGCCTTCAGTGCTGGGCAGGCGGTGGGGAGGGGCCTGACTGGGTTGGGGGCGTGCTTGCATCCTGGCCCCCAGGGTCTGCCCCTGGTCAAGCCCTGTCCCTTGATGGCTGCCTCTGTCCCTAGCATTTCTCCTGTGCCGGGCACTGGAGGGTGCTGGGCTGTCACCCAAGCCTCTGAGGCCTGGGGACACGTCTACACGGACAGTGTCACTGCCCACACCATCTGAGAACCACTCCAAGGGAAGGGAGAGGGTGGGCGGTGGTTTGGGGAGTTGCCTGGAGGAGGAGGGATTAGCCTTGAAGATGAGGAGGGCTGGGGGTTGGAGAAGAGCAGATTGGATATGGGGGGCACCATGCCCTTCCTGAGCTGGTCCCTGGCTCTGCACCTCAGTGCTAGGTCTAAGCTGGAGGGTCCAGGGCCCAGGTGGCATTGCTGACCCCCAGGGGGTCGGGGCTGCTCTGAGGCCCTTCTGTAGATGTAGATGGAAGCCTAGTCCTGTCCACCTTCCTGAGGCCAGGTGGAGTTGCTTTCCCTGCAAGCCCAGGCAGCTCTGCCCTGTGCCCCTCCCCCAGCCCTGCAGTCCCCCAGGCCCACGCAGGGCCGGCCTCATGGTCTCGCTTCCTCTCTGGGTCTGCTTCAGGGCCCAGCCTCCAGCCCCATGAGCCTGGGCCCTCCTGCTCCTGTCCCCACTGGCCCCAGGTCACTTCCACACTGGCTCTCCCCGCACCCTGGGCCTGCTCAGCCACTCTTGCCCACAGCCAGGAGCTTCTGTGCAGCTTCTTTCCTTTCACTTGCAGCCTGCCTGCCCTCTGCTTCCCCGGACCCCTTGTGACCTTCCCTGACCTCTCTGCAGAACTGGGCAAAGCCACTCACCCTGGTTCCCCCGGGTTTAGCCTGGTCTCTTGACACCCACTCAGGGCTGCCCAGCCTTCATCCTGCTTCACTGGGCCCAGCCTCATTCCAGGGCTTCTGAGACTGCAGGGCCCTCTCTTCTCCCCTCTCCCTGCTTTGCAAATTCTCAGTTCATCCTGGCAGCTCCAACTCTCCATCCCTCCACCCATCCATCCCCCCATCCCTCCACCCATCCATCCCCCCACCCATCCCTCCACCCATCCATCCCCCCATCCATCCACCCATCCCTCCACCCATCCCTCCACTCATCCATCCACTCATCCCTCCACCCATCCCTCCACCCATCCATCCACCCATCCATCCAACCATCCCTCCACCCATCCCTCCACTCATCCATCCACTCATCCCTCCACCCATCCCCTACCCATCCAGCCACCCATCCATCCACCCATCCCTCCACCCATCCATCCACCCATCCCTCCACCCATCCATCCAACCATCCAACCACCCATCCCTCCACCCATCCATCCACCCATCCCTCCACCCATCCACTTACCCACTCATTCACCAACTCATCCATCCACTGGTCCATCTGCCCACCAAACCATCCACTCACCATCCACCCATTCACCTATTTATCCATCCCATCCACCCACTTACCACTCACTCACCCACTCATCCATCCATTTACTCACCCCTCCATCCACCCACCCACTCATCCATCTATTCTTCCACCCACTCACCCACTCACTCACCCACGCACCCATTCACCCATCTATTCATCCACCCACCCAACCATCCACTCACCCACCCATCCACCTATTCATCCATCCCATCCACAAACACCCCACCTACTACTCACTCACCCACTCATTCATCCATTTACTTACCCCTCCACCCATCCACCCATTCATCCATCTATTCATCCATCCCATCTACCCACTCACCCACTTACCCAGTCTCACCCACTCATCCATCCACCCATCTATTCGTCCACCCAACAGTCCACCCACCCACCCATCCACTCACCCATCCATCCACCTATTCATCCATCCCACCCACCCACTCACCCACTTATCCACTCACTCACGCACTCATCCATCCATCCACTCACCCTCCCATCTACCCATCCACTCATCTATCCATCTACCCACTCGCCCACTCATCATCCACCCACTCACCCACTTACCCACAAACTCACCCACTCATCCATCCATCCACTCACCCTCCCATCCACCCACCCAGTCATCTATCCATCTACCCATTCACCCACTTACCCACTCACTCACCCACTCATCCATCCATCCACGCACCCTCCATCCACCCACCCACTCATCTATCTACTCACCTGTCCATCCACCCACTTAACTCTCACTCACCCACTCATCCATCCATCCACTCACCCTCCATCCACTCACCCAGTCATCTATCTATTCATCTGTCCATCCACCCACTCACCCACTTACCTCTCACTCGCCCACTCATCCATCCATCCACTCACCCTCCATCCACCCACCCACTCATCTATCTATTCATCTATCCATCTACCCACTCACCCACTTACCCACTCACCCACTCATCCATCCATCCACTCACCCTCCATCCACCCACCCAGTCATCTATCTATTCATCTATCCATCTATCCACTCACCCACTTACCTCTCACTCGCCCACTCATCCATCCAACCACTCACCCTCCATCCACCCACCCAGTCATCTATCCATCTATCCATCTACCCATTCACCCACTTACCCGCTCACCCACTCATCCATCCATCCACTCACCCTCCATCCACCCACCCAGTCATCTATCTATTCATCTATTCATCTATCCATCTACCCACTCACCCACTCACCCACTCATCCATCCATCCACTCACCCTCCATCCATCCACCCACTCATCTATCTATCCATCTATCCATCTACCCACTCACCCACTTACCCGCTCACCCACTCATCCATCCATCCACTCGCCCTCCATCCACCCCCCAGTCATCTGTCTACTCATCTGTCCATCTACCCACTTAACTCTCACTCACCCACTCATCCATCCATCCACTCGCCCTCCATCCACCCCCCAGTCATCTGTCTACTCATCTGTCCATCTACCCACTTACCTCTCACTCGCCCACTCATCCATCCATCCACTCACCCTCCATCCACCCACCCACTCATCTATCTATTCATCTATCCATCTACCCACTCACCCACTTACCTCTCACTTGCCCACTCATCCATCCATCCACTCACCCTCCATCCACCCACCCAGTCATCTATCTATTCATCTATCCATCTATCCACTCACCCACTTACCTCTCACTCGCCCACTCATCCATCCAACCACTCACCCTCCATCCACCCACCCAGTCATCTATCCATCTATCCGTCTACCCATTCACCCACTTACCCACTCACCCACTCATCCATCCATCCACTCACCCTCCATCCACCCACCCAGTCATCTATCTATTCATCTATTCATCTATCCATCTACCCACTCACCCACTCATCCATCTATCCACTCGCCCTCCATCCACCCCCAGTCATCTGTCTACTCATCTGTCCATCTACCCACTTGACTCTCACTCACCCACTCATCCATCCATCCACTCACTCCTCCATCCACCCACCCACTCATCCACGTATACAAACACATGGACAGGCACTACCCACATGCTGGACTTTCAGCCAAGAGATAAGCTCAGCGTCATGGAGGGAAGAAAGCGAAAGGTGTTCGGTGCTCTTTTAAGCAAGACAGGCCTCATGGAGAAGTTGGCGTGGGGGCAGAGACTGGACGGAGCTGAGGCCTCATGGAGAAGTTGGCGTGGGGGCAGAGACTGGAAGGAGCTGAGGAAGGAGTATGAAGCATCCAGAAAGAGCGTTCTTCCTCACAGGGATAAAACATGAGTGGTCTGGGAGTGTTTGAGCCACAGCAGGAAGTCGGGGGTTTGGGTTGGTGGGAGCTGCAGCAGGAAGAGGTGGAGGGCCTGTGTAGGGGGCTGAGGTCAGAGCTGTAATGGGGGGCAGATGGCCTGGGCTGCATAGGCCATGCCGTTTGTTCAACAGACACCATGGGACCCTGAGGCCATGGGGTGAATTGTGGCCCTCAGAAAGGTCTGTCCCGTCATGTGCAGTGACTCGAACCTGTAATCCCAGCTACCCAGGAGGCTGAGCCAGGAGGATCACTTGAGCCCAGGAGTCCAAGGTTATAGTGAGCTGCGATGGCACCTGTGAACAGACACTGCACTCCAGCCTAACCTAACCCTAACCCTAACCCAACCTCCACGCAGCACCCACGTGGCCTCGTGGCACAGCTCGGTTCATAGTCCAGCAGTGGTACCTTATTTCCTTGGTGACAAGCAACACCCTCATGATGACCCATGAGGCCACCTGACCCACACTACCCATCACCACCACCGCTATGACACCTGCCCAGCCACAGTGGTCCCAGGTTGGGTTGCCCCTGCCTAGACCCCTTCCCCTGCAGACCTTTGCCCAGGTCATCTTGGCGTGGTTGCACCCTCGGCATGGAGTCTGCCTTGGAATTCCTCTGCACAATGGCAGCCCGTGTGGACCTGTCCCACAAACGCTCTGAGAATGAAGAGGACACACTTCCAATGGCACCTGCTGTGGCCAGCTTCACTCCTCCAGGATGTCCTGCAGACCCCTCACCCAGCATGCGTCTGCCGGTCCACCACTGCCCTCCACCACACCTCACATTGAGTTAGTTGAGGAGATCCACGGACTCCACCAGGCCCTGGCCCCTGCTGCTGTCCAGCCTCCTGTAGAGCCAGCCCCTCTGGCCATGCTCCATATGGGACCAGAGCAGTGGGGCCAGAGTCTGCCTCTCTCCACTTAGAGCCCTCCGTGAATCCCGTGGGCCACTGGCAAATCCAGGCCCTGGCCAGGCTTTCCAGCACCTGGCCCCATCCCTGGTCCTCCCACCCACCCCTCCACTCCCAGTCCCAGGCTGCACCTGCTGCCCTCTTGCCCAGGCCCTCTGGTATCACCCTTGTCCTGGTAACTCACGCACGCCCTCTGCTGTACTGTGCCATCCTGACCCCCAGGAGTCTGGCCTCCCTGGTCTCCCTTCCTGTTTGTTCTGGCATTGAGCCCCCCACCATCCGCCAGAGACACTGCTAACCATGGTCCCAAGACGCCTGCTGGCAAGTCCTCTCCAGGATCCCTGGGGCTCTGTCTGGGGCTCCCAGACCAGAGGGGTCAGACAGAAGGCCCTGGAGGGTGCCTCGAGGGACTCTGGCACCCCACCAATGGCTAACTCCCTGCTCCCCGGGTTAGCTTGTCCCCTGCCCCTGTGTTAGCTTCCCCCTTGCCCCCTACCCCTGGGTTAGCTTGCCCCCTGCCCCTGGGTTAGCTTGTCCCCTGCCCCCCGGGTTAGCTTGTCCCCTGCCCCCCGGGTTAGATTGGCCCCTGCCCCTGGGTTAGCTTGGCCCCTGCCCCCCGGGTTAGCTTGGCCCCTGCCCCTGGGTTAGCTTGGCCCCTGCCCCCTGCCCCCCAGGTTAGCTTGCCCCCTGCCCCCCGGGTTAGCTTGCCGGGGAGACCCAGCTGCCAGGCATCCTTGCTGAGGTTGCCCACCGGCCCGCTCAGCAGGCCTCATCCTGGAGGAACCTGTCCCTCTGGGTCTGGCCCCCAGGGTCCCCGCTCTTCCCAGCTCCCACACAGGTGCGGCCAGGCCAGGGCTGGCACCCACAGGCTGACAGCCCCACCCCTCAAGCCTGGTCTCCACCTTCTCAGCTGGGCCCCTGGCCCTGCCCACTCCCCTCTGGCCCAGGCCGGGGCTGCAGCCCCAGGCTCAGAGTGTAGTCTCCAGCCTGTCCCCCGGCTCCCAGCCCCAGCCAGCCCAGGCCTCAGCCGGCCTGAAACCAAAGAGAAAATGCCTGTTTATGCCAGTCATGCCGAAAGCAAAACAGTTTGTGGTTTGTGACCCAAATTTTTTGCCTTTTTTTTTCAGAACATAACAAAGCCCAAGACAACTCCCTCCCCGCTCCCAGCCCTCCCCCCAAGGCAGACAGAAATGATCTGTTTACACTGGCCGCGGCACATTCCGGCCGCCAGCCCGGCCCTCTCCCCAGTGCCGTGCCCTCCGTGCTGGGCTCCTCCTCGGTGGAAGGGGCTGCTGAGGCCGGGGAGAGGGGACCGCACCACAGACCTGGAGCGAGGGTGGGGCTTGCTTCCTCTGGGGGATGGCTGAATGAGATGTGTCTTGGGGGTTGGGGGTACCGGGGTGCATGTCCATCTGGGAGTTGGAGTGGGGACTCCATGCTGCCTGCACAGGCTACACAGGGAAGGATGGCAGGAGAGCGGCCGCCTGCAGCCGCTCCCTCCAGGGAACCCCTCTCCAAGTCTGCCTTTCAGTACCCCCTTCACATAGACAGGTGCTTAGACCCTCAGGGTGACAGGACCTATTACCTACCCACCCCCTCTACTGCACTCCATCCTCTCGCCTCCTCCCTCCTTGATTGTCCAAAGCCTGAGACCCCCTGACTCAGCTCGGCCGTGGAGCACACAGAGATGGGGATGCCTCTGCCCTTGAAAGCCTGCAGCCCCAGAGTGGCGGTGTCAGTGGGGTGGTGGGTGTGGAGGAGGGTGGCCCCAGACTGCATTGAGGGAGGGGGGTGCAGGCACATGTTGGAGCCCAGTGGTAGGGGGCAGGTGGGACCCCAAGGTGCCATGACTGGAAGCAAGAACAGGCCCCTCCCCATCTTCAGACTGTTCCCACGTGCCTGGCTCTCCCAGGGGACAGAAAAGTGGTGCAAACCTTCACCTTCCCCAGGCCTCCTCGGAGTCCTCCTCGGAGTCCTCGGAGAGCCAGAATTGCCCCTCTCTCCTTCCAGCCTCCTCCACTGCCCTCTCCTGATCGCCTCCTCCCAGTCTTCATTCTTTGTTCGCGCACTTGGCTATGCCTGCTCCTGGTGCTGGGGAGCCAGGGCTTCAGAAGAAGGAATTCCTGGGCCAAGGGGACCTGGTGGTGTGAGCGGGGTGAGGCAAAGGCACCTGGAGGTCTGGGGCTGAGAAAGACCATGCAGACAGGGGTGCTCCTCCCGCGGGGTCGGACAGGAGCGTGGGCATTGGCAGGACGTGGGTGGGAAGGGCGTTCTAGGCACAGGGAACCGCATGTGCAGGCACAGGTGTGCACACATGGAGGGAGATGGCTGCAGCTCAAAGGGCCTCGGTGCTGAGCCAAGAAGCTGAACTTGACCTTCAGTGAGCTCTGGGAGGCGGGGAGGGGCTTTTAAGGGGAGAGTGAGCCACTCTAGCCATCAATTCTGGAGAGATGGTCTAAGTGTGGGAACTCCTGGAGCCTGAGAGGGTTTGGAGGTGCACTAGCGGGTGGGGTGGGTGGGGTGGAAGGGGTGGTGCTGGGCCGGGCGCAGGGAGGCACCCCAGCTGGGAGGAGCTCGGTGTGGCCCAGCAGCATCGCACGCATGCACGGATGGGGTCATTTCCACCCTGCCCCCAGCCCCACCAAATGCAGACCCTGGCTCCTCAGCTGGGGGGAGTATGGGGAGCAGGGAGCTCCTCCTGCCTCAGGCCCTGGGGGCAACCCAGGTCTGCCCACTCTCAGGCTGGCTGGCTCCCCCGCCTGGCTGGGAGCATCACTTCGGGAAGGTCTGGCCGAGTACCTCTGCTTCCCTTCCCCTGCCTTGTCGTCCCTGGCCTCCCGTCTATCAGGAACAGATGTGCCTCTGAGCAGGAATCCTAGCTATTTGGTTTAGCCAGCCACTCTCGGGAATTTCTGATAAGGCAAATTGGTTCTCTGCAGAGTCGGTGGAGGTAGTGGGGGAGAAGACAAGCAGTGCCCACCCCCACCTTTCTCCTGCCGAGGACGGGGCCTAGGATACGCCCCAGCCTGGTCCCTGGCCCCAGCTCAGCAGCACTGTGGGGAGGAAGACTTTCGAGGCCTCTCCTGATGCTCCGTGGCGCTGCAGTGGCTGAGGGCTGGCCGGCCCCAGCAGGTGGGAGCGGGCTGAGACCACAGGGGTTTCCCCCACCCCTGGACCTGGGCTCAGAGCTTTGTGGGAGGGAAAGAAATCTACACTGGAGCCCTCTGTGGTGTTGAAGCAAGCAGCCGCAACCCTCCCCAGCACCCAGCCCTCAGCGGCCACATGTCCCATGTTCCGGGCTCTGTGCGGGACCTTCCACGACACTCTGGTCCTTCCTGCCTTCATCATCTGTTCAATACACATATGCCAGGCCCTGTACAAAGCCCTAGAATCATGAAGATGGATAAAGTTCCATTCCTGCCCTCAAAACAACTCTAGGAAGTGGCACATCAACATAAATGTAACAAACAGCAGGGCTGAGGAGGGGCCCGGCTAGCACCTTGTAAATTATTCACTCAGATCTTCCCTGGATCCCAGAACATCGTCTTATCTTGTTCTATTCTGTCCATGGTTTTAGCCTGTGGAGGCCATTTAAAGTATCAGTTTGGTCTTCCAGCCACTTAGCTTATATTTCTCAGCCTTGGACCTTCAATGTGGGCTCCATGAATGGATGGGTGGGTTGGTGGATGGATAAGCAGATGGGCAGATGGGTAGATGTATGGATAGGTAGATGATGGAGTGGGTGGGTGATGGATGGGTGAATAGATGTGTGTGTGGGTGAATGGATGTATGGATGGATAAATGGATGTGTGGATAGGTGCAAGTCAGCTGTAGGTCAACAAGTGTCTACCTGGATTCTCTTCTGACATGATCCTTGTGAGGGAAGAGAGCAAAGAGACTGTAATCCATTGTATGTCTGTGCTTATAGAGATTCTATGTGTTGATTCAGGTTGAATATATCCTGTTTTTAGGATCCAACACATCATAGAGATTAAAAGATATTTGTCGATTAAATGAAATTTATTGGGAATGATATTAAAAGGAATTTTAAAAATGAAATGTAAAGGTCTTGTTTAAGTGAACATATACCTGGAAATTGTCTCAAGAGGACCTAGAAAAATCTGAACATATCGGCCGGGCTCAGTGGCTCACGCCTGTAATCCCAGCACTTTGGGAGGTCAAGGCAGGCGGATCATGAGGTCAGGAGTTCGAGACCAACCTGATCAACTTGGTGAAACCCTGTCTCTACTAAAAATATAAAAATTAGCCGGATGTGGTGGCGCACGCCTGTAATCCCAGCTACTCAGGAAGCTGAGGCAGGAGGATCGCTTGAACCCGGGAGGCGGAGGTTGCAGTGAGCTGAGATCATACCACTGCACTCCAGCCTGGGTGACAGAGCGAGACTCTGTCTCAAAAAAAAAAAAAAAAAGAAAAAGAAAAATCTGAAAATCTGAACATACCAATTACCAGGTTGTCAACTGAGGGTTACAAGATGCTACCCCAGAAAAAGGCACAGGGCCCAGAGTGTTCCACGGGAAAGTTTTTTAAACACTCAAGATCATGCCTGTACTATACAAAATGTTTCAAGTGTAGAAGATGGACACGGTTTCTATTCATTTTTGGTGTTAGCATAACCCTGATTAACAAAACTCAAACACAATGGCACAAAAAAGGAAAAACCACAGTCCAAGGTCACATGTAAAGAAAGATGCAAAAATTGTCAATAAGAGAATTAGCAAATTAAATCCAGCAGTGTATTAAATTAAAGTAATAACACACCATGACCAAGTAGAGTTTGTTTCCAGGAACGCAAGGATGACTCAACATGAAGAAATCCATTAATATCATGATGCTAATAAGCCAAAGGAAGAAAAACCATATGATAATATTGAGAAGTGCCAAAAACGTATGTAATAAAATCTAAAATGCACTACCAGTTATAAACCGTGTTGAGCAGGCTAGGACTAAAAAGAAACTTCCTCAACATAAGAGAAGATACCTAGTCCTCAGTTTCCTGCTATCTCCTCACCCACTGAGAGGACTTTTCACGACAACCACCAACCTTCTTGTAGCCAAATTCAGGGCACCCTTTTTTTTTTATTAGACTTGACCACTCAGCAGCCTTTTCCTGCTCACCCGCTTGCTCTCACTCCCCACTCGGAAACTTCTCTTGGTTCTCCTTCTAGTATGGAGTAGCAAACTTTAACAAACCAGCACTCCTGCACATAACAACTGTAAACCCCGAATCACAAACAAACAGAAACTACCAAGGACTCTAGAAAGTTAGCAAAAGCAGGTAGATTTTGATGGGGTAGTCAGGGTATGGTGTGGGTATCTATAATTCCAATAGAATGCCTGCCATGTTCAACACCTGTGAAAAAAAGAGGGGATTAAAAGAAGTCCTGCCATTATTATGGCCAGAGGAAGCAGGAAAGGAGCTGGAGGCAATCAAAGTCGCTGGAGAGTGAGATGAGACTCTCAAAAAAGGCTAGAGAAGGGCCTTTTATGTGTCAAATCTGCCCTGGTTTCTGGTATGGGGCAGAAAGCAATCTGAACTGAGACTGGGACTCCTGTCACCTCAGGTGAGACTCTTTGCAACTGGCAGCTAATCAAGTTAATTGCCTGCTAAAACAAATGCATCAGTGCTCTCCAGACAAATACAGGACATTTCAGAGTCTCCAACAACATAATATTCACAAAGTCCAGGAGGCCATCCCAAACTGTATGACATATGTCAGGGCCAGAAACCGGTATTTTCTTCTCAAGGGAAGACAATTGACTGAGGCCAGCCATGATGTTGGAATCATCAAACAAGGCCTCTATTATAACTATGCCCATGAAGATAAAGAAAAATACACTTTCAGTGAATGAAATGACAGGAAATTTCAGCAGACCAGTAGAAAATATTTAAAAATATCTAAATTGATGTTTTGAACTGAAAAATACACTCTCTGAAATTAGTAAAAAACAAAATACTGGATGAAAGGATCAGTAGTGTAGAGAGGACAGAAGAAAGTCTGTGAACTTGAAGACAGAGCAATAGAAGTTATTCAACTCAATACGAAAATGAGAGAGAGAGAAAAGGCTTTAAAAACATGAAAAGAGACTCAAGTACATGTGAATAGTGTTAAAAACTTAACAGATGGCCAGGTGCAGTGGCTCACACCTGTATTCCCAGCACTTCGGGTGGCTGAGGCAGGCAGATCACTTGAGGTCAGGAGTTCAAGAGCAGCCTGGCCAACATGGTGAAACCCCATCTCTACCAAAACTACAAAAATTAGCCAGGCATGGTGGCACGTGCCTGTAATCCCAGCTACTCGGGAGGCTGAGGCAGGAGAAGCACTTGAACCCAGGAGGTGGAGGTTGCAGGGAGCCAAGATCACACTACTGCACTCCAGCCTGGGTGACAGAGTGAGACTCCATCTCAAAAGAAAAAAAAACCCCAAAAATTAATATATAGGAAATTGGAGTTCCAGAAGGGGAGGAGAGAGCAAATGGAGCAGAAAAAAAAATATTAAAGAAATAATGATGAAAAAGTTCTCAAATTGATTTTAAAAACATAAACTTATGGATTCAAGAAGTTCATCAAAATCTGAATAGGATCAATTTGAAGAAACAAAATCTGAATAGGATCAGTTTGAAGAAAATCATGCCTAGGCTCATCAAAGTCAAATGGATAAAAATGAAAATTAAAAAAGAAAATCTTGAAAGAAGAGAACAAGGCACCACATAGCAGGGAATGGTGAATTGAATTGCCACAGACTTCTGGTCAGAAACCATGGGGGCTGGAAGACAATGGAATAACATTCCTTAAACCCTGAAATGTGCTATCCCTTTGGCTCCTGTGGCCACTTGGTCCAGTTTTACTGTCCCGTCATTTTGTTTTCCTTGTTGCTCTCCCTTCCATTAAGCACTGGCCTCATCCTGGCCTGGGCTTCCTCTATCCTTCCCTTCCTCCAACTTCACCCCCTGGATGAACTCTTCCACACCACAGCTTTGATGATGGCATATGTCCTGAAGACTCCCAAACGTGGAACTCTTGTTTCGCCCTCTTGAGATTGGGCACGTAGATCCAATGCCTGCTCAGTTTATCCACTAGCATGTGAAGCTCTTCCTCCCATCTCAAGGAATAACCATCCCAGCCCCTCAGTTGTTGACACCAGAATTCTGGGTGTTAGCAGTCCCCATCTCTCTTACCTTCCATCACATCTAATGAACCTGCTATCTGGCAAGTCTTAGTCCTTACAAGCCAGCCTTCACTCCAGAAGTTTCCACAGACAGGGTGTCACCCTGTGCTACCTGCTGTACATCTGTTCTATCACTTCATCCTCAAAAGTAGAGCTATTCTCCGCATTTTAATTGATGGCCAACTGAGAAAGACAGGGACCTGTTGATGGTCGTTCCATTGTTCTTGAGTGCCCCAGGTTAGCCACTGTGCTGGGCATTGGCCACGTAGCAGACGGGCAACTGCAGACTCACAGCTGGAGGCACAGACAGCCAACAAGGAGTCCATTGCCCTGATGGCATGATGTCAGGCTGCGGAGAATAGCAGGGCCGTGGGGTTGCTCACCCCAGTGCCCCCAAGTCCTCCTGTGGTCAGGCAGTACCCACGCCATCTTGCCTCCCAAGGCTGAGGCCAGAGATGTTTGTGGGCCTGTGTCTTCCAGGCAGTTCCCGGCCTCAGCACAGTCATCTCTTCCTTCCTCTACCAGGTACAGCTCTGGGTGCAGGTGAAATGGAAGCAGCCTCACCCTCCTCCTGCCCAACCCTGGCCAGCTCAGAAAGCCACTCAGAGAGGCAGCCCTAGGGTTTGCCTCCACTCCTCACTGCTGACCTGAGGCCAAGGGCAAGCTGTTCTGAGGCTTAGGACCCTCTGGCACCAGCTCTAGACCCCACCTGGGGTCTCCCTACTGCCCCAGGTCAGGCCTGAGGGCTTGCTTGAGGGTACAGTTTTGAACTACGCAGGTGGAGGACCCAGCCTGCTGCCCAGCTCTCCTGCCTCCCCAGACTCTGGGTGTGAAGGTAGGGCTTTCGCATCACATTTCTCCCGCTCATGGGGCTGGGCGTACCGAGAGCCCTCTGTGTGTGTCTCCCTAAATGCTCCCCATGTGTCAGGGGCAGGCTCTGTGCTTACCAGCCCCACCCGCCAGGTAAGAAGACTGAGACCGCAGCCGGCGAGTGAGGGGCAGGCCGGGGTTACTCAGGGTGCGACCAGGAGGCTGCCCTGTGTGTGTCCCCTCTGGGCCATTGCTCTGGCCCTGGTGCCCCTCCCTTCCCCTCTACGCCTCCTCCACCAGGCATCTCCCCCACTCAGGCCCAGGAAACACCACCTGGAGCTTGGAAGATCCCTCAAGGAAGGAGGGCGGCTTGGAGGAGGGAGGCCAGTATCCTGTGTGCGGCCTCCCTTCTCTGTCTCCCAGAACAGGCCAGTCTCCGCCGCTGAACCCACCACTGGGCAGTGGCGAGGAAGGGCTTCTGTGGTGCCCCAGCAGGACCCCATCAGGTGTGGCTGGCTCAGGGCTGAGTCGTCTCTTCTTTCAGCTGGGCAAGATCCTCCCACTAGGGCCCAGTTCCTGTCTGAACGCTGGGTCCAGGCCAGGGCCCGTGTGCCCAGGGGTGTCTGGGTCAGGCCCTCCATGCATCCCTGTCCTGGGAATGCCGGGGCATGAGTCGGGGAATCAGCTGGCACTGTCTCAGAGCACGAGCACTTCCAGGCGCTCAGGGCAGACGGCAAGCCCAGCTTGGGCGAGGCCTTCCCCTGAGCGCCTCTGGGCCTGGGGGGCTCCCTTGTGGAAAACATGGGAGAGGAAGCCTGAGGGGGTCGGCTCCTTACTCCTGGTCTTTCCCGCTCACCCAGCGCTCCCCGGAAACTCCTTCCTGCAGCACTGGGATCTGACATCCCGGCACGTTCTGGAAAGTTCCTCACTGAACGTTGTGCATGAGAAGAAACTTGGGGCAGGGCCCGTCCAGCTAGGAGGCGTGCACCCGCCACTCTCTGCTTGTGATTAGCAAGGAGGCGAGGGCTGTGCTCTCTGCGGTTCACCAGGGGGTCAAGAGAATTCCCAGATCCAGAGGAATCCCACTGCTGCCAGGCCTGAGACAGAGGGCCCTACGGGATGGCTGCAAGCTCGTGGGATGGACTGCAGGAGGCCGTCCTGGCCTGGGCGAGTAGGAGATAAACCACTGCCAGATAGGAGACCGTGCTGGGTCGGGGGATCTGCCTCTGCCAAGTTCGCAGCCTGGTGGGGGAAGCCAAGGAACATACGGGATAGTAAGGAATGGGCAGAGGGAGCCCCAGGAAGTGAATTTCTCTAGTCTGGGCTGGTCGGTGAGGGCTCCCTGGAACCTTGAGGAGAAGCTCCAGGAGAATCTAATGGGGAGGGTGAGGTGGTGGAGGGTGGAGGGGGCAGGGGAGAGGGCAGGTCTATGAACGGGGCTGGGAACCATCCCACCAAAGCCTCCTGACAGGGTGGTGTGGCTGAGTTTGGGGCAGGAGGTGGGACTGAGCCCAGGTCTCCCAGCCCATGGGACGTGGGCCAGCTGCCAGTCTCACTTAAGAATGTCCTTGATGAAGCATTAAACTTTATTAATTCTATTAAATCTTGACCCTGGAGTGTGTCTTTTTAATATTCGCGGAGGCACGCTCAAAGCACTCCCACTGTAGCCGGAAGCATGCCAGCGTCCCCAGGAAAAGCTCCTGCACAGTGGTTTGAGTTGCAGGCTCAATGGGCTGCGTGCACCGCTTTTACTGAACCGGCGACCGGCTGGATGTTTCCTCAGAGAAGAACAAAAAGATCCACTTAGAGAAAAACAACTCCTGGATTTTGCTGTTGGTGACCACCTTGGAGCTTTCATGCAAACAGCAGAATTTTGAGAAACTTACAACTGCCCCCTTGAACCAGACGGTTTTCCAATCCTTAAAGACCTTCCTGAGGAGCCTGGTGGGGACAGTCACAAATGTAGTTTTCCATAACAATAAAGAATGGCATCCACTCCTGGAAGAGCTGCCTGATTGTGAGATTGATATTTTCCAAACGATCAATGCGGAACGTTACAGAGGCACACACAGGAAAAGATCCTTGAGGCCGAGGCGGGCGGATCGCTTGAGCCCAGGAGTTCAAGACCAGCCTGAGCAACATGGTGAAACCCTGTCTCTACAAAAAATGTTAAAATTAGCTGGGTGTGGTGGTGCATGCCTATGGTCCCAGCTACTGGGGAGGCTGATGTGGGAGGATCCCCTGAGCCTGGGGAGGCTGAGGCTGCAGTGAGCCATGATCATGCAACTGTAATCCAGCCTGGATGACAGAGCAAGACCCTGTCTCAAAAATAAAAATAAAAACAAAAAAGAGGAAAAGATCCTTGGAAAGTGCAAGATACACCAGTTGACTCGTTCCATAATACACCTTTTATTTTGGAACAATTTCAAGATGACAGACGAGTTGCAAGGATTGTACACACAGCCCCCCTCGCCCAATCCCCCTTTGTTAAGGTCACACCTGACTGTGGTATGGTTGTGACAATTAAGAGTGTGACATTGCTTCTCGACTTATTAATGTAACCCAGGCTTCATCTGGAGTTCACCAATGTTTCTGTTCACATCCTCTTTCTGTTCCAGGATCCCATTGAGGGTCCACGGTGCATTTGTTTATTTTGTTTTTTTTTTTGTTTTGTTTTGAGACGGAGTTTCTTTTTTTCTTTTTTTTTTTTTGAGGCGGAGTCTCACTCTGTCACCCAGGCTGGAGTACAGTGGCACGATCCCGGCTCACTGCAAGCTCCGCCTCCTGGGTTCATGCCATTCTCCTGCCTCAGCCTCCCGAGTAGCTGGGACTACAGGCGCCCACCACCACGCCCGGCTAATTTTCTGTATTTTTAGTAGAGACGGGATTTCACCATGTTAGCCAGGATGGTCTCAATCTCCTGACCTCGTGATCCACCCACCTTGGCCTCCCAAAGTGCTGAGATTACAGGCGTGAGCCACCGTGCCTGGCCACATTGAGATGGAGTTTCACTCTTGTCGCCCAGGCTGGAGTATAGTGGTGCAATCTTGGCTGACTGCAACCTCCACCTCCCAGGTTCAAGTGATTCTCCTGCCTCAGCCTCCTTAGTAACTGGGATTACAGGTGCCTGCCTCCATGTCCAGCTAATTTTCATATTTTTAGTAGAGACAGGGTTTCACTATGTTGGCCAGGCTGGTCTCGAACTCCTGACCTCAGGTGATCTGCCTGCCTCGGCCTCCCAAAGTGCTGGGATTCCAGGCGTGCACTACCACGCCCAGCCCCGGTGCATTTGGTTATGATGCCTCTGTCGTTTCCTAAACTGAGGGACTGTAACATCACGGAGTCTCTAAAGGTCATGGGTTTCAGATTCTGCATTGCAGCTAAGCTTGAAGAAATGACACTTGTCAAGTTTTGGTGTAGTAGCAAAAAGAAAATCTACAAGCGCATAAGGCCATTAAAGTACCAGCGCCCCCCACCCCCCACTCCCAACCACGTATGTTCGTAGATGTCCTCATCTACATTCTTCCCATGCGCTGGCCAAAGCCTGCAGAGGCGTGATGGGAATCCGCTGCCTTCCAGCAAGCCACAGAGATTCGCAAAGTGCAAAGACATCTCACTCTTCTCACGGAACTTGCTTTGTTTTGAAAAGCCTAGTTGTCTTTTGTAAACAAATATTTTATGTTAATGTGTAGTAGTGAGTTTATTATTGCTGTTGTGATTTTACTGTTTTGTGTTCATTTGTTTCATATGGTTTTGAGTCAGGGTCTTGCTCTGTGGCCCAGGCCGGAGTGCAGTGGCACAATCCAGGCTCACTGCAGCCTCGACCTTCCAGGCCCAAGTGATCCTTCTGCCTCAGCCTCCCGAGTAGCTGGTGTGTGCCACTATACCTGGCTTTTTTTTTTAATTAAGGATATTTTAATGGCCTTATGTGCTTGTAGATTTTCTTTTTGATTACTCCTCCTTGTAATTCCAGCACTTTGGGAGGCCAAGGTGGGAGGATCACTTGAGCCCATGAGTTCAAGACCAGCCTGGGTAACATAGCAACATAGCCCAGGCTGGTCTTGAACTCCTGGGCTCAAGTGATCCTCCCGCCTTGGCCTCCCAAAGTGCTGGAATTACAGGCATGAGCCACCATGCCCAGCCTCTGTTGTGACTTTTAAATTAATTCATTTAACCTATTTTTAAAATTTCTAATATTTTAAATATTGAAATATTTCAATGTCTTAGTTGTAACTTCTAAGACAGTAAATATCAGCAGGGGTGACCCCGTATCAACCCACTCTCTTTAAGGACTTGTTCATAACTTTGGGGAATGCAAGAGGCCCTGAGGCCGGAACATTTGAGAACCGAGGTCGAAGAGCCCAGGCTTAGGGGCCAGTAGCTGTGCTTATAATTAGCAGAGGGGCAAGTGTTTTGACTGTTTCAAATCCTGGAGTGTTGCCTCGCTTTTCTGTTCCTCAGTGTCCCCCTGTGCAAAAGCGAGCACCTGAGCACGGGGCTCCCACCGGATGCGCGTGTAAACAGCCTGGCTCGGGTTTGTTCTCCACAAAGGGAGCTGCTGAGAGTGGCATTAAAAAGTGATGGACAGACGGTCCTTGGACAAGAGTAAAACTGGGTTAGGACTACAGAAAAATCACATGGAAAGCACAGTGAGTTCCCATGGACCTCCTGCCTCATGCGTCCACCACAGTTTCCCCTGTTATTCACATGTTGCAATATGTGGGCCTTCTCTTAGAATTGACCAGCCAGCACCAGCACACACTGAGGTCCAGGCTCACTCTAGGGGTTGTGCATTCTATGAGTTTGGACGCAAGTTATCATGCCCTATATCCACCATCAGACTATCAGACAGAGTAGTTTCACTGCCCCCACAGTCATGGTTCTGCACCTCTTCCTCCCTCTCTTCCTGCAAACGCTGGCAGCCACCGGTCTTTTCACTGTCTCCATAGCTTTGCCTTTTCGAGGACGTCATAGAGGTGGAATCCTACGGGCGTAGCCTTTGCAGAGTGGCTTCTCTCACTTAGTATCATGCATTTGGTGCTCCTCCATGTCTTCTTGCGGCTCACAGCTAACTTCTTTTTAGCACCGAATAACATTCCTCGGCATAGAGGTACCGCTGTGTGTTTACCCACTCACGCACTGAAAGATCTCAGTTGCTTCCAAGTTTTTGGTGATTATGAATAAAACTGCTATAAATACTTGTGAGCAGGTTTTTATGTGGATGTAAGTGTTCTCTTTGATTGAATTTTATTACAAATTACTAACACATTATCTCAAGACAATGCCTGAGGCAGCTCCTCTGTGCTCCTCTGCTGGAAGGGCTTCTGAGATCCTACGCTGTGGTTTTAAATTGTAGCGTTCTTTTTTTCTGGAGTTTTAATGTTCTTTGTGTAGGTTGCTGGTTCCACTTCCAGACTTCCACTTCTCCTCCCCAGCCTATATCTCCATCTTTGCATCAGTACCGTGAGGTTTTAATTATTGTTACTCTAGAACATGTTCTAACTTCTGGCAGGCTAAACTTTTCTGCTTTAAGCCCCTTCTATTTTAAAACATTTCTTTAAAACTTGCCTCACATCTTCCTTTCTGAACCTGGCTCACAGAGACCCCTTCCCCAACTCAATGCCACCAGAGTGAGCTTCTGCAGGCCTCAGCGCCCCAGCTGGGCTGTGGCAGCCCTTTGAAGGCCCTTGACCTGCCCAGCATGGCTGCCAGCTCCTGCCCACTCCCATTGTACCCCATGAGAAGCCCAGCTAGTTTGTGTGCTCTGGGCTGGGTCTTGGCAGCCTGGGTGGAGCAGCTGAGCCCACCGTGGCAGAGAAGGGTGTGTGCTGGGAGCCCACCCTCCTCTGACCTGCACGGCTCCACTGGTCAAGCGCGAAGCCCAGGGGTTCCTGGCGGGGGAGTTGCAGCCTGGCCGTTTCCTGGAGGGCTGGGACTGCCCAGCCCAGCCGAGGGCCTGGCTGCAGCGCCACCTTCTAGGCAGCCCGCATGCTGAGGCCCCAGCCCTCCCCTCATGTTCAGGGAAGACCAGCTGCTTCCTGTTTGTGTGAAGAATTCGGCTGTTTTCCCGAGTGGTGGGTGAGGGTCCAAGCACCCAGTGGGACGGTCGCTCCTCGTTTCTGTGGGGCCTGCTGTTCTGAGGAGAAACTTAATCACTTTGTTTTCTTGGTTTAGGTTTTGCTTTTTAATAATAAAAAAAAAAAAAGACCCAGCTTGTCTGCAGCCCCAGGGCCCTGTGACGTTCCTGGCATAACAGGCGTTACTTTTACACGGGCTGCTGCAGTGGGCGGCTGGCCGGGAGCTCCCGGGGAGGGCAGTGGGTCTCATGGACTCGGCCCTGCCCAGCTGGGCGTGGGCACCGCTGCCCGAAAGTGGGGGGGTCTGAAGGAGCCGACCCCTGCGTCCCGTGCTGGCTCAGCCGGGCTCCCTGAGGGCCCTGACCCTCTCCCAGCCATGGGTCAGTGCTGGGGAGAAGGTTCTCAGATGCCGGGGAGGCCTGGGAAGGAGAAGAGCCTGCAGGCTCCCTCAGCAAGGGCTGGCAGGTCTGGGAACCGCCAGGCCACCTGACTTCCAGGGCAGCCCCTCCGGGAGTCAACACCCGCCCCCTCTCCCAGAAACCCAAGCCAGGAAAGATGGGGGACAGAGCCCTGGCACCCCCACTCTTTCTGGCACTCTCCCCTCAGAGGCCTCAGCTGCTGGACAAGGTCCTGGGCTCCCTGGGTTGCCCTCTTGGCCCAGGCTGGGGATGGAGAACAACGTACAGTCGGTGCCCTGGTGTCCCCCAGGGCCTCAGGATGCCTCCCCCACCCTCCACCAGCTGTTCTGCCTCCCAGCCGGGCCCTTCCCTATCCCACCCAAAACGCTGGCTCTACCCTTCCTGCCCTGTGGCTGGGGAATCTGCAGAGTCATGGGGCCAGGGAAGGGGACAGTAAGGAGGGACCCCTCGTCTATCTCAGCACTGGAGGGGTTCAGGGTCCAGGGCTACCCCAGAAACAGTCACTGTCTCACTGAAGAGCTCCAGGCACACCTTGCCCCTGGCGCTCAGGGTGGCCTGAGCTGAGCCTATTGTGGGGAAGGAGGAGGGGGCTGGAGGTGTTGGCTGGGCCAGGTCACCAGGTGTCGGCAATGGAACCACAAGAAGATGGTCAGTCTGGGGCTACCTTGCCCACTGCTTCTCTCACTTCATGTCATTTGTGGAAGAAAGAAGAGCATGTCAGCTGCAGGTCATGGTAGCCATGGGCCTAGATCTGCACTTCCAGGAATTCGGCCACTGTGCGGCCCCCCTCACATTAACAGGATGGATTTGTGTAACCAACAGTGGGAATGACGGCGGGTGACTTCTGAGGCCAGGTCATAATTGACACTGCAGCATCCTTCTTCTTCCCCCACCTCTCTCCCTTCACTCCCTCTGGGGAAAGCTGGCTGCCATGTTGTGAGGATGCGCAAACCTCAGAGGTTTGTGTGGAAGGACTGAGCATCCCTCCGACAGCCACACTAGGTTGCCAGGCATGAAGGGGACACTTCAGTCCAGCAGGACCTTCAGATGGCTGGGGCCCAGGGCTGGTGGCTTGGCTTGGGGTGTCAGGGGGTGGCAGCCAAGCCAAGCCACAACCACCAGGCTAAGCTGCTCCTGTACTCCTGACCCACAGAAACTGAGATGATAAATATCCATCACTTTAAGTCTTTATTGTTTTAAGTTTTGGACTAATTTATTCTGCAGCCATAGGCAACGAACACCGTCTTCTGGCAGGGGTGAAATAGATGCAACTAGACCAGAGGGGACAAGGCTGGTGCAAGGAAGGCTTGTAAGGACGGAGAGTTGGAGGGGAGCTCAGGAGTCCTGGCCTTGGGTCTGGCCTGGCTCTGAGGCTCAGCAGCTGTGAGCGCTGGACAAGTCTGCCTCCCACCCAGATTAGCCTGGGTGATGAGTGTGGTGTGTGGCAGAGGCGAATAGCCTATGATCACACAGGGAGGACCAGTGTGAGTCACACAAGGGACAGCAATCAAGGGTGACATTGGAGGAACTTGGCTTGTGGTATGGGTACAGGGGACACCAGGGAAGCCTGCAGATGGCTCAGAGTGGCCAAGTCCCCAGAGCAGGCACAGAGGAACAAATCAGAGCATGGCTCAAAACAACGGGCAGCCAGCACCTGCACAGTCCAGCTGGGTACATCTCTTTTTGCCCTTTCAACACCTGGGGCCCAGCAGTTGTTCTCAGGTCAGTGTGAGTGGTCTGGGAAGACAGCTGCCCACCTGGGCCTTTCCACTTGGCTACGTTCCTGGCTGGCATTCAGAGAAAGGGCATCCACCCATCCATTCATCCATCCATGCATCTATCCATCCATTTATCCAGGCATCTATCCATTCATTCATCCACCCACCATCCACCCATCCATTTATACACCCAGTCATTATCCATGTATTCATCTATCCATCCATCCTTTCTTCCATCCATCCATCCAAGCATCTATTCACTCACTCCTACATGTATCCATTTATCCATCCATCTATCCATCCATCCATGCATGCATCCACCCATTCATACACCCACTCATTCATCCATGTATTTATCTATCTATCCACCCATCCATGTATCCACCCCTCTATGCATCTATTCATCCATCCATTCACCCACTCATTCATACATCCACTCATTCACCCATGTATCTATCTATCTATCCATCCATCCATCCATGCATCCACCCATCTATGCATCTATTCATCCGTCCATTCACCCACCTATTCATACACCCACTTATTTATCCATATATCTATCTTCCATCCATCCATGCATCCACCCATCCATGCATCCACCCACCCATTCATCCATCCATCCATCCACCCACTCATTTGTTCATGTATCCATCCACCCATCCATCCTTCCTTCCATCCATGCATGCATCCATCCATCCATCCATGCACCCATCCATGCATCCATCCATCTTCCTTTCCTTCCTTCCTTCCTTCCTTCCTTCCTTCCTTACTTCCATGAATCCATGCATCCACTTATCCATCCATCCATCTGTTCATCCATCCATCTGTTCATCCACCCATCCATGCACCCATCCATGCACCCATCCATGCACCCATCTGTGCACCCATTCATCCTCCCTCCCTCCCTTCTTCTCTTCCTTCCTTCTTTCCTTCCTTCCTTCCTTCTTTCCTCTTGCCCTCCCTCCCTCTCTTCCTTCCTTCCTTCCTTCCTTCCATGGATCCATGCATCCACCCACGCATCCAGCCATCTACCCAGCCAACCATTTACCCATCTACATACCTTTCTAGCCCCCACCACATACTCACATGGACATCTGGGGGAGAGCATCTCATGGCAGGAGCAGCGGGTACAAGGCTTGTAGAGAGGTGATGTGGCGTCTCTGAGGAGTGGTGGATAGGGAGGAAGCATGGGTTGTTGAGAAACACACCTGAGAAACCAAGGGGAGCTTGCCCAGGAAGGCATCAGGAAGCCCTGAAGGGGATGCAGCTTTTTCTTGGAGAGAAGTGGGGCTAGTGGAGGTCTCTGCTTAGGAGTGAAGGGATCCTGTGGCTGCTGAGTGACCAGAGTGCAAGAGGAGAAGTGGAGGCACCTGCTGGGATACACACAGAAGGGAGTGACTGGGAGGGACTGGTGGAGGAGTGAGGGTGGTTGCACCCTGGTGTGTGCTGAGGGCAGAGTGAGAGCCTTTGCTGAGGGCCTAGAGGAGTGAAGAGCCCAGAAGGCCCCTGGGAAGGATGGCATCACCTGACAGAGAAGAGGAGAGGCAGAAAGGTACATTTGGAGTTTCAGGGCTAGGCGGTCATGTCCACAGAGGCCGGGGACATCCGTGAGAGGGGAATAATGGACAGACAGCACCTGCCAGGTCATGTTGCCAAGAGGCCCCTGGCCAGGAGCTCAGACCAGCCTGGGCAAGTGGTCAGGTCCTGGCTGCTGGCTGTGGCCTTCGTCCTGCTGGCCTCTCAGATGTCACAGGGAGCTCTCGGAGCCTCTTGAGCTGTCCCCCAATGGGCTGCTACCTGGCTCCGAGGCCTGGTCCCAGCCCCACAGCCCCAACTTGGTGTTCCTTCAGGGCAGAGACAGATGGGACAGGGGTCAGTGAGGGGAGGAGAGTTCTCAGGAGGCGGTGCTTGGGCTGGGCCTGGGGAGGGAAGCTCCAGGGTGCTCCTGGGGCAGCAGGGTGAACCAGCTCTGACGTTTTCTGTATTAAGGAGCATCTGAGAAGGGAGAGAACAAACGCTTCGCTTTTCCACATCAGGCACAACATGATCGGTCATCCGTTTTCATTCCGGGATCTGGAAAACAGCTGATTCTGGAAAGCTACAACTTCCCTAGGTGCAGAGCTCTGTGGAGAAGGGCTCCCGCAGGGCTGGGGGTGGGAGCTCAGGCCCCAGGCACTCCAGAGCTGGCTCAGGAAAGGGTAAGGCTCAGACTGGGCCTGGAGGGAAGAGCCCACCAAGGAGGAACCAGTCTCCACCCCCTGCCTCTGGCCAGGTTTCTATAGCACTGGTGACCAGGACACTCGAGCCTCTGGGACCTCAGTGGGCTAATCCGGGACTAATCCTAGCAACAGGCTGGGCCTGCAGCCACATGATGGCCGAGGGTTGCTGAGCATGCACCCATGACCCTTCCCAGGGGCCTGGCCACAGTGCCTGGTTTCCCTCTGTGCCCTGGCATTGAGTGGAGTTGGCTCCAGGAGCAAGGCCCCCTGGGCCTTTGGTCCCTTTCCTGGGCCCAGCTCTGGGCCACTGGGGTCCCCATGGCTGCCCTCACCTGGGGGTTGGCAGGATCAGCGGAAATTAACAGGTGAGGGAGGCCTCATGCATGAAGCACGGCTTCCTGCTGGGAGCGGTGGAAACCTGGGGATTTCGGGGCGGGCTCAGGGATCCTGATACACTCACTTGGGGCCCTGGGCTGGGGCAAGGCAACATGGTGAGTCTTCTGGGCCACTGGAACCGTGAGGAAGGACAAAGCTCTGGAGGCCTTGACCAAGGAGGCCTGCTGCGCGTGTGTGTATATGAATGTGTGTTTGCATGTGTGGGCGTGCGTGTGTATATGAATGTGTGTTTGCATGTGTGGGCATGTGTGTATATGAATGTGTGTTTGTGTGTGTGGGCGTGTGTGTATATGAATGTGTGTTTGCATGTGTGGGCATGTGTGTGTATGCATGTGTGTCTGTGCGTGCATGTGTGTACCCCTGTGTGTGTGTGTGCGCACTCCGGCACGGGAGGGGGTTGTGCCCCTGCCTCCGCGCCCCAGAAGCTCTGGTTCCATCTGTGTTCTTGCTTTTCATCAGTCAGCCATCATTTGTTAATTCATTCATTCACCCATCATTCATTCAGCAATGGTCAGGAGGAGCCAGGAAGCACCCTTGTCCGTGCTGACCCAGGCTGTGGGTCTGTTGTGTTGGCCTCAGCAGTGTCTGGGCATCAGCAGGTGAAAGGGTGCCTGAGTGTCAGTGTGGGAGCGGCCTCCACTGAGAACCACAGCTCCCCGGGAGTACCCTGAGCGGCAGCGCTCTGTTCCCTGCTCTGCCATCTCCTGGACCCATGCCCTTCCTAGCTGCTGGATCAGCCTCTGCCCAGGTTGGGCTGCAGGTGCTGGGTCCAGGCCTCCCCGGGGTGCCCCTCGTCAGGGGTTGCAGGCAGCCCCTGCGACCATGGCTGGAGCTGGGCTGACCCGGGCTCAAACTCCTGACTCTTGTGCCACTTACTGTGTGTCTGCGGGAAAGCCACTTAATGGAGACTCATCCTCAGTCTCCTTGTCTGGAACAGCGACAGTCCTGACTCCTTCAGGGTTTCGAAGGTGATGCTTGTGGAACACGCTACTGGCACCTGGCCATGGAGGGCGTGAGGGACGGCCACTGTCACTACCCAGATTTTCCCTGGGCCAGCAGTGTGGGAGCAGATGGGATTTGGAGTGGAGCACGCACAGGACGGCCCTCGTTCATTTTGAGTCCACACAGGCCTGTGTCCCCAGTTCCCGGCCCTGCCCCTGCTCTGTACTGCAGCACCCCTACCCTCAGAAGAGACCCCTTATTTCCATGTGGAAAGCGCTCTTTGGGCTCTAAGTGGCTTCCCAGGAGGGCAGAGCCCCTGGAGCCATCTCTGGGTTTCCAGGAAGCCCACTGGGAGGGTGGTGGATGGTGTCTCCAGGGCCGTGGAACACTCTGGCTACCCTTAGCACGAGAGGGGGAGATTCTCTGGTTTTCAGCTTGTCCTTCTGTTCCAGGGACAGCTCTGTGGGAGAGGCTCTCTCCTGCCAATGCAGGAGACAGAGCTGGAGCAGAGGAGAGCCCCTGCTTAGGCCTAAGAGCCCCAGCTTGGTCACTGAAACTGGGAGCCACGGTTGGGTTGGAAAGTCTGGTCCTCCGTGCCCTGGCAAGGGCAGACTTGGTTTTCCTTCCTACTCTACTCTTCCAGTCTCCTCCTCTGCCAGACTGGCCATGGTGGGTCAGAGAGAGGGGCAAGGAAAGGGAAGTGGGGGGACAGAGCAGGATGACCATAAGGAAGAGGACACAGGAGAGAGAAGGGGATGCAGGGCCTTCCAACTATGGACTTGAAGAAGAAAGACGAAAACAAGAAACCAAAGTCATGTCTTGGCCAACAAACCCCCAGCTCCTATCTCCCTACAGAAAGAAGCTTGGGGGAAACTGGCTCCAGGAGCCTTGGCTGCAGGGAAGGCAGCATTTCCACGACTGAGCCTTTTGCAAACTATGTGGGTCCTGCTCTTTTTGGCCCTCCTGCTCCAGCCCCCAGCTCCCTGCATCCAGCTCTGAGGGCCCCAGAGCCCCATCAGATGTGGAGGGAGCTTGGGTGGAGCAGGGTGGAGGTGCGGCAAAGATCAGGCCAGGCCTCATTGTTTAGAAAAGAAGGAACTGACTTCAGCTCCGGGAGCAGGGCCTCCCACCCCACCCGGACTTCCTGCTCCCTGGGCCTGCCAGTGCGGACTTTGTCCACCTTATTTGGGGATTGAGAAGCCACACTGCTCTATGGCCCTGGGGGTCATGGCAGAGAACCAGAGACTCACAGAGTGGAGGGTGCCTGGCAATCATTCTCCATGATTCAAGGTTACAACACCTTAGCCAAAGAAAGTGCTATTTGAGGATCCATTCATTCCTCCATCCAACTGTTCATCCACCCTTCCATCTACCCACCTGCTCTTCATTCATCCACCTACTTATTCATACGTCTACATTCATCCTCATGTCTCCACATCCCCCACTCACCCATCCATTCATCCTTTCCTCTACCCACTCATCCTTTCATCCGTCCATCCATCCATCCATCCTAATCATCCATCCATCTCAACCATCCATTCATCCATTCACACACCACCTTCCCATCCACTCATCCACCCATCCATCCCACACATCCTTCCACTCACCTACATATTCACTCATCCATCCATCCATCCATTCCAACCTCCATCCATTCACCCACCTACCCATCCATCGATCATCCATCCATCCATCCATTTATCCATCCATCCATCCATCCATCCATCCGCTCACCCATCCATCCATCAATTCACCCACCCATCTATCCACCCACCTATCTACCACCCTTTCCACCACAATTCTATATCATCCAGGTTTGATAATTGGAAGCCCATTGCTAAGAAAACTTCTTGAACAAGTTCTTTGGCTAAGAAACAAGAGGCTGCCTCAATTTACCCACTGCATCTGTGTCTTATGGATTTGAAGTCATCATAAGTCACATCTAAGACCAGGACCAGGACCTGAGACTGTCCTTTCAGGACCTTTTATTTTCCACAATGACAGTGACAGACACACACAGGGAGCACTAAGGCTGGGGTCCCAGTGGACGTCAGTGTGGGGAAGAGTCTCTCCTGGCTCTGTGTGGCCTTTGAAAGACACCTCATTCCTTTGGTCTAGGCTTCTCTGTAAAATGGGCTGCCAAGATGGTTGTGCGGGTCGATGGAGAGAAGTAATCTGCCTGTCTTTGAATCATTGCCTCCAGGTGAAGGTCTCCCCTCTTTCTAACTCTAATCTAAAAACCCATGAGGTTGAAATCCTCAAGCCCCAAGCGACACCTGTGAAACGGCCCAAGAGAAGCGTGCCATGAGGCAGCAGGAAGGGCATTCCAGGAGGAGGGAACAGAGGTGAGAGAGACGCCCTGACATTTGGGGACCCAGCAGGGAGTTTGGCCTGGCTGTCACTGGAATGGCAGCACAGGTGGCTGGAGAGGAAAGAGGGGCCAGGCTGAAGGATCAGATGCCCCTGGGAACACACAGGAGCTGTGGGGTGGGCCAGGTGGGGTTCCTGAGGGAGGGGCACAGGTGGGCCAGCTGGCCGAGAAGAAGCTTCCTCTGCAGGGTGGCGAGTAGAAAGGGGAGTGAGCCCCACCTGCATGGCTGCCGAGGGGTCCAGTGAGGGAAGGTGGTGAGTCCAGGGACCCAGCTTCAAGTGCCACACGGGTCCCGCTTGGCCATGCTGGATGGGAAGGGTTCTCCTCTGGTACACTGTGTCTGGAGGCCCCGGGTCTTCCTCCCTTGGCCTGGCAGGGTGGTCCCTCCCGCTGCTCGGCTCTGTACTAGGCTTGATCCCCTGTCTTGGGTACAGTCCTGCCCCAACCTCCCCAGGCATCCAGTCCCTCCTGTCCTGCCCCATGGAGTCTGCAAACCCAATGCCCTTGGCTTCTCCCTGCCTCCAGCTTCCGTCCTTCAGCCCGTGCCAGGGGCCTGCCCGGGAGGTCTCTTGTCACCAGTCCCCAGTGCCAGTCTCCCACTCAGCAACTGTGGGGCACCTGGAAGGACCTGTGAAATAAACCCCTGAACCCTGGCCCAAAGCCACTGCCCCCCAAAACCTGGACTCAGGGAGCTCAGCAGAGCATGCAGGACTGCAACCGGCCTGGGCTGTCCACTTGTCCTGCGGGCTTTGGGCTGGGGAAGGGCAGACGGAGGGGCAGGGCCAGGCCAGCCTAGGAGGCCCCGGGGTGCAGAGTGGGGCCTGGTTGCATCAGGGAACCCAGGGGCTCTGGTCCCCTGGGCCCAGCAAGCTTGAGATGGGCCTGGGCACCTCCCTCTCTGCACTGGGCGGGCTTCCTGCCTGGCCCCGGGAAGTGGCCCCCCTGCACCTCCCGCAGACAGGTGACGTCAGCGTCTGAGATAACAAGGCGGCCCTGCCGGCGTCTGCCCCAGCGTATGCCCACTGTAATCTGGGCTGTCTGGGCACAGGGGCCACCTTGGCTCGGTGAAAAGCTACCCTCGCAGTGAGCTCCGGTGGGGCTGAGGAAAACACGTCTGCAGGCCTAGGCGGGGCAGGCCCCAGGGGCGGCTCTGCCTTGCGCCCCCTAAGATCTGTGCCAGAACTGAGCTGTTCTTACTGGGGCACACAGGACCTGAAGCCCAGCAGGGTGTGCAGTCAGTAGGTGCCCAATAAATGTGTGGATGAGCCAAGGAACCCTGCACGAATTAGTGAGGCTGAAAAGCAGATGATTTAGAGGCAAGAGAGGCCGGAGGAGCCTGGGCTTCTCCAAAGAGGAGGACAGGATGCAGGGCCCCTGGCACACACAGCCCAGCCCCCACTCTGCCCCGCCCCCACCCAGGCCAGCCTCAGGCAGCCTGTCCTCCAGGCCCTGCTACCACTGTGGCCTGTCCTGTGGTCTGACTTGGCCTGGCAAGGGCACTCGGGCGCAGGGCCAAGAGTGTGGGGCCTGCCTTCCTTGTAGCCCACTCCAGTCTCCTCCGCTGGCCGGGGAGGGCAGGGGAGCAGCTGCTGGAGCTGCGGCTGAGAGCGGGTGACGGGTACTGTTGTCAGGCAAGGCGGGGGTGCGGCTCCCGCTTGGCATCCTCCACCAGGGCTGCAGTGAGAGGCGTGGCCAGCAGGTGAGCAGGCAGAGGAGTGTGTGGGTGCACCCAGCCCAGCAGCCTGGCCACGAGGGCCCCCTGGCACCCAGGCGCTGCTCTTCATCAGAGTCTGCCCTGTGCCAGCTGGCAGGGCCAGCATAGGGATGTTTCACTTACGTACACTTCACAAGGGAAGCGGCAGGCTGAGGAGCTGTCTGCTGAGGGCCAAGACCTGGGGACACGCCACAAGTGGGGACAGCAGTTCCTGAGGATCCCAATGAGCCCTGGTGGGAGGGGGCCATGGGGAGGGTCCCAGGGAGCAGGTGCTGGGCACTGTAGCGTGTCTGGGCCAGCTTTGACCCTCAGGAGGGTGGGCTGGGGTCAGCCAAGCCGCTTCTTAGAACCTGGGGATATCAAAAAGAGCAGAGCTGGCCTGCTGTGCCCAGCACCAGCCAGGACAGGAGACAGCAGGGGAGGGGCACCGGCATATCACCTACTCAGGGCTGCAGGAGCTGGGTGGGGGCAGGCAGCAGGCACCAGGAAAGAAGGGGGAGTGATAAGGGATGTGGGCTGAGACTGGTGGGAGTTCTGGGTTCAGGATAAGCTTGGCCACAGCCTCGAGGAGAGAGGAGGAAGTCCCCACCCCAGCTGGACCCGCATTTCTGGCCATGTTCAGACGCCCTGCGGTCCGGTCTCCACTCCAGGTGCTCTGTCCGGGCAGGAGGCTGTGACGCACCCTCTTTGTCAAGGGGCATTCAGGGATAAGGCTCCTACCTGCAAGGAGCTCACTCTAGAAGGGGAGCGACTCTGAAGCAGACAGGATGGGGCCAACCGCGTGGGGTGAGGAGGAGGCATCCCAACCGGGAGGATGGGGAGGTCCCTGCAGGGGGTCCGACCCAATGTGAATGCTCGTCTGTCATGATGGCCGTGGAGGGGCAGGATCCAGGAGGGGTGCTGGTGGCGCCAAGGGGCATGAGGACTGGGCAGGACGCTCCTGAGCTTGGTGCTGGACCTGGAAGCCTTGCTCCCAGGAGGCCTGATGCCCCTGCCTCCTGCCCCAGTCCTTGGCAAGATGCCCGTGGTCCTGGGTTGCCCCTGCCCACCGTCCACCAGGGACCCCCAGTGTGTGCCTGCCACAAGAGGTACAGGGTCACCCACCCCCGCGTGGCAGTTAGTCCACCTCTGTGAAGGTGAATTTTCAGCTTTCAGGTTCCCCAGGTGCCCTGACTTCATCAGAAAGGCCCTGTCCTGCACCCAGCCCAGAAGGGCCTTCCTGCCTCTCAAATCTGGGCCTGTATCCCAGGGCCCTGCTGGAGCCGGGGGGACGCTCTGCGACTTCCGGCAGCACATGTGGGGTTCTGTGCCCAGGCAGGTGATTGGTTTGCATCCTTGGTTTGGGGTATGCGTGGGAGGGCAAAGGGGCCTCCAGTGCTGGCCCTTGGAGGCCCCTTCTTGGTCAGCATTTCCCTTTCTCCAGGGGACCTTTCTGGACTAGACACTCCTTTGGTTTCAGAAATGAAGGAAAATTTTGGAAGACACTGGCACAGGGGGCTGGAGTAGGAGTGGTCACCAGGGAACAGCATTTCCGAAGGCTGGAACAGCATGCATGCAAGGACGAGGGGGGAGGGCAGGCGCCCAGAGGGCCCATGTGTGAGGTCGGCAGGTGTCAGGACTACAGGGGAGAGACGAGAGTGAGGGCCTCCCCTAAGATCCCCTGGCAGCCTTTCTGGAGAGCGAGATGATCCCATGTTGCAGACCAGCACCTGACTCCTGGACCTTCCTTGCCCGAGGCCACAGAGCTCAGGCAAGAAGCTGTGCTGCCTGACCCCGCAGCAGTCTCTGTGGACGAAGGGAGGCAGAGATGCTGGAGGCATGTCCTGGGTTTGTGCTGCTCTCTCAACTCACGTCCCCTCTTCCAGGGCCTCCTCTGTCCCCATCACCAGCTCCCGGTGCAGAGCTCACCCAGAGAGGCATTGCACAAGTTGACCTCCTTCTGCCCTGGCCTGGACCAGCACGGGCCAGAGTGGGGAGGGCCGGGGGAGCAGTCCAGGCCAGGACCTCCAGCCCCGGCCGGTGCAGCTTGCCCGGCCCTTCAGCGGCTGCATCCTCTGCTCTGTAAAGGCACATTCCTGAGGCTGCGGGTTAGCGGCCCCCCTTGGTGAGGCATTAATGAAGAAATGGAGGCTGGCCTTGTGTAACCGTGACAGCCAGATCAGAGCAGCCAGGGCGGGCGGGCAGGCGCCCGGACCTGGGTGGGGAGGGCTGGGACGTGGCCCTGCCCTTGGCCCCCGCCCGCCTGACCCCCAAGCTCATGGTCTGTGGCTGCGGCATGCCTGAACCCTCCCAGCCTCCCCCGCAGCGGGAAGCCCGGGGCTGGGCCTGCACTCAATGTGTCCTGAGTGAGTGTGTGTGTTTATTCTTCATCACTGAGCCCGCGCGTAGTGCGTTCGTTTCCTGATGTAGTAAACATTTTAGAAGGCCAAGATCCTCTCCTTCCTGTCTCTGTGCCAGCGAAATTCCCCAAGACCAGCTTGTCCTTCGTGGAGTGCCAGAGCTCATCTTCCCGAGGGGAGATCGGGGGGCTCTTAGACCCTCCCATTGGCGCCCCCAAGGCCTCCCCAGCTCTCTGGGCCTCCGCATCAGTGCTGTTCTCCTCTGGGCCAAGCAGCGCCTCCCGATGCCTCTTGGGGCCGGGTGGGGCGTTCACCGTGGGCGGGAGGGCCGTGGTGTGCGGGTGCCCCAGACTGGGAGCCTCAGAGCCTCAGAGCGGGCCCTCGGGCCAGCAGTTGGAGCAGGAAGTCCCTGCATTCGGATCCCAACTTGGTTTCTTAAAGCTGCGTATTCTGGGCCAAGGAATCTGCCTCTCCAGGGGAGAACCCCAGGCAGTGAAGACTGTCAGTGCCCGTGAGCAGGGCAGCTTCCTGTGGAGTGGGCAGTTCACGGAGGGGTATGGAAGGGGTCTAGGGAGGAGCTGGGGATGCTGTGGGGCAGACAGCCTGGGGGCACAGACTTGAGGGGCATGCTGCCTTGGGGGTTCAGCCTCTGGTACAGCCTTGGGTGGCACAACTTTGGGGGTGCAGCCTTGGGGTTGTAGCCTTGGGGTTGCAGGGGTAGGTCTAAGGCAGGCCAGGGCAGGGTTGCTATGGCCAAAGGGGACCCACTGTGCCCTGGAGCAGGCCCTGGGTCCCCAGCTGCAAGGGCCTCTGCGGGACACGGGCTGGGGTCCCACATCACGTGGCTGTGTGTGCTGACATACAGGGCCTGTCACCCCCCCATCTCACGGATTCTCCAAAGGACTTTGGGAGGTGTGAGGGGCAGAGAAAGGGAAACTGAGGCAAAGAGAAACCAAATGACTGCTAGGCAGGACGGTGGGGGCCTGGACCCAGCAGCCCGCCCCCCACCCTGAGCTCCTTTCGCAATATCACAGCCGGGACTGGGGAAAAGGTTACCCTGAGGCCCTGTGTGTGATGTGCATGCTGGCGTGCGTACGTATGTGCAAGCATGTATGTGCATGTGTGCAGGTGCGTGTGTACATGGGTGCACGTGCGTGGTCCCTGTGTGCACGCTGCAGCCCAGGCATGGGGCCTGTGCTCCTCACCCAGCTCTATCCTCACGGCTTCTATTTTCTTATACATGTCTGGCATTTTTTGCTGCTGAGTTGGGGGGCCGTGGTTTGGGGGGAGGCTGGGCAGTGGGGGAGGGGTTGTTTATGCCAATTGTTCACCCTGGCTACACATTCTTGTGGTTGTCTCTTTAACTTGGTAAAAATTTGGGAAATTTCTAAATAAAACAAAACAAAGGAAAAACATTTTCAAAAGGATTTCAAAATCGGTGCTGCCACTTCCCCCAGTAACCGGACCTGTGGGGCCTGGGAGATGCTTTTGTGAGGAGGGGTCTGGAAGGTGGAACTTTCTAACCACCAGCACCTTTGAAAAGTGTTGTGCTGTGGAGGGATGAGCTTGCTGTCAGGAGAAACATGGAAGCCTTGGGGAGCCGCTGGGCTGTTGGCTGAGACCTGGCCTTCTCTAGAAGGAATCCAAGACATCAGGTTCGTTAGAGGGAAGTCTTGACATCTTTGGGTTCTGGTGGCCAGGACTCTGAGACCCGTCGGGACAAGAGGGGTGGGCAGGGCGAGGGCCTGCAGGGAGCTGGGGCAGGGCTGGTGAGATGAGAAATGGGGGTGAGGAGAGGAAGGAGCTCTTGGCCAGTGAGGACCCACGGATAGGTGTGCACTTGGTGAGGGCAGGTCCTATTGACCGCTGCATTCTTGGTGTCTGGCCTGGGCTGGCCAGAGAAGGCTCTGGAAGGTCTTTGTTGAGCTGGGAGGTGTAAGAGCGTGTTGGGGTGGTTCTATGGGGATGACCATCAGTCATGGTCATCTCCTACCTACCTAAGGGGTAGGTGCCTTAGACCTACCCCTCCACCCCCAACGCTACAACCCCAAGGCTGCTCCCCCAAAGTTGTGCCATATCCCACTGGGGATGACCAGTCGGGCCTGGGCGAGGGGTCCTTGTGGGATGAGAAAGCATGGGCTGCTGGGGACAGAGGCTGGAGAGGGAGGTTGAGGTGGGCCTTGGCCTCCCACAGGGTGACGTGGTGTCCACACGGGGCACAGTGGGGTCCAAGCGGCCCTTTGGCCCCCAGGCTTTTTCCTGTCCCAACCTGGCTGCACCTCTGAAACTCTGGGAACAAGGAAGGGGGACCCAGTATGTGCCCAGGTGGCCTGGACAGACGGCCCTACTGGAAACCTGTCCCTGGGTGCACGGAGTATCCCTGTGTGCCTGGGCCCTGGGGAGGGGCTGGGCATGGAGCCCTGGGAAGCTGCTCCCGGGCTTCAGTTTTCCACTCTGTACAGTGTCCAGTGGGACTCCAGCTCCATTCTGGCCTGTCTTTAGGCCACCAGGCCCTGGGGTCGAGCCTGGGGAGGGACAGCGGCAGGAATAGAGAGGCTCCGCCTCCACCTGATGGGGGTCCCCTACTTAGTGACATGCTCTGGTCTGGTCCCTGGGGTCCCAGGATGAGCTGACCAGGCAGGATTAGGGACCACGTCCTTCTGGGGATGTCCATCCACCCAGGGGCCCCAGGGCACAGGTGGGCCTGGAGTATCCCAGCCTGTGCAGATGGCATGTTCGCAGGGACCGTGCCTGTGACCAAGCCCTGGGGCGTGCACATACCCCTCTAGTCCTTGCCTCCTGCTCCCGGGATCTTACACCCTCGGCCAAACCCAAAGCCCCAAGCCAGTCTCAGAAGAGCCCAGGAACCCCGGGAAGTGTTACACGGGCTCCTTTGCGGTTTCACCTTTCCATTGCACAACCAAACCCTCCGTTTTGTTTGCCAGCAGTTTTTAGCTAGCGATGGCACCCAGCTTTCCCCCGGGACCCTCACGCAAATGTTGGCATGGAGCCAGTAGCTGCTGGGGTCTCCTGGGCAGAGCTGGCCTTAGCCTCCCGGGCCATCCAGCTCAGGGCTGTGCCGCCCAGCATCCAGGCTGGCCTGGGGCACCACTGCCACCCTCCTCCATGCCTGGCAGCTCGGGGACTAGGCTTTGAGAGGCCACAGACACTTACCATAATCCCAGGAGAGTGCCCTGGGCTGTGCGTGGGAAGCTTTCTGGGCCAGGTGCCACAAGGACTCCACGAGTCTACAGCCAGCGGCGTGTCAGGCCATGATGACGATTCCTGACATTCAGGCCCTGGCCAAGTCAGGCTTCTGGTCCGGGGGTTCCTCCTTGTCCTGGGCACTCGTCCTGCATGTTCCTGTCTCTGCCTTTTGCCCATACCCTGCCTTCCCCTCTCTGCCACATGACCTCCCTGAGAGCCCCCATCTCTCTTGTGAAGCCACATGCCAGTCCATGGGGCACTGCCAGCTTTTGGAGACAGAGTCTCATCGCTGTGGCCGGCAGGGCCCTCTTCTTGGGTGAGTGCAATTCTTGTCACTGTGGCCAGCAGGAAGCTCCTCTTGGGTGAGTGCATGGGGGGTCCTGCTGATTGTTTGGTCATGGCCAGGCTGGCGAGTGGGGCGCTGCTCTGTTCCAAACCCCCCAGGGTTCCCCAGCACCTTTGGTCCCAGTCCAAGCTCTGTGGCCTGGTTCTCTGGGTCCTCGCCATCCTGCCTGCTCCCGTGGCCCTCTCCTCTGACATCCACACACCCAGGCTCCTGCCATGCTGGAAAGTGTAGCGCCTGGCCACACCTTGCCTTAGCTGGGCTGGCTTCTCGGTGAGGAGCGCCACCTCCTTTCCTCCCTGCTGCATTTCCGTACCCAGCTCAAATGTCAGTTCTTCCACACAACTTCCAGACCTTCCCAGGGGCTCATTTTTTTCCCTCCTCCGTGGTTTCAGTCCATCTCGGGGCATCTGATTCAGTAGGCACCATGCTAGGCCCCTCCCACACAGCACCTCCTTAGCCCCCACCCGAGGTGGGTCTGTCATCAGCAGGTCAGGGGACTGGGCTGGGGTTCAGCCCCCTTTCCTCATCACCCAGCCGGTAAAGGCAGGAGCTGGTGCAGGGCCCAGCCCCAGGAGGGGCCAGGTGGGACGTGCTGCAATCACAGCCTCACCACCCACTGGGCAGGAAGCCAGCCTGGGAGCCAGAAAGCCTCAAACCACAGGCGGCGGCTCTCACAGGGAGGCTGGCAGCCACCACCTGGCGAGGCCCCAAGCTGCTGCCTGGCTGAGCCAGGGGCTGCTCCAGGCACACTCTGGCCTCGGCTCCCATCCAGCCTGCCAGGCAGCCTCCTCCCCGGGGACCTGGTTGGGAGTTCCACTGGCCCGGGCCTCCTCAGAAGACTTACCGGGTGAGTCAGTTACTACCCGCACCTGGCAGCCTCCTGCTGACCAGGAGCCTCCCCAGCCTCCCCAGAAGCTTCCCTTGTTTGTTCCTTCACCCAGGACCTTGTCCAGTCATGGCTGGGAGCTCTTGCTTGCTTAGGGCCAGGGTGGCTGCAGAGGGGATGGATAGCTTTGCACTGGCCCCAGGAGCTCCCTGGGCAGCTGGCGAGGGCTCAGGGTGTGCAGTCAGCATGGAGCTGGAAGGCAGGACCCCAGGCAATGGTTGGGGTGTAGGAAAGAGGGTTGATGGAGCGGGGGCTTGCAGGAGGGACTAGATGGGGCTGATGTGGGCAGCAAGCGGGGATGAGCCAGTCCTAGGCTGAGAAGCCCCAAGGCAGGGGCTGGGACCGGCTGGGGCTGCTGGAAGGAGACAGTGGGGGCTTGTCAAAGCCAGCCTGGCCTCCCACCTCCCCTGGAGCCCACGGGGAAGCCTCAGCCTCTGCCATCAGGCTGGTCTTCCAGGGGCCCCAAGGCTTGGCATGGGCCAGACTCTGGGCGCTTGCTGCTTCTGCTGCCCTCCGGGAACTGTCTCCCCACTGCCCCAGGCAGGCCTACCGCTTGCACAGTGGTGCTGGAAGGCGTTCCTCAATACTCCAACATGAGCCTCAGTTTCCCCTTCTAAATGATGAGCATCTCATAGTTGCTAGGAGGGTGAAGGGCCTCATGTGTGGACCCCTGGCAGCATACCCAGCACACGGTGGAGCCCTGGCAGCTCTCAGTAACCATCCCACGTATCACCTGGGTGCTTGGCAGGCACAGACCCCGGACCCTGGGCCTGAGAGCATCCACTAGTCAGTCCACAGCAAAGCCAGTTGCGCCAGATTCTCATGCTCCACCAGGCCGGAGGACCAGGGACGCTTTTCCCCTCTGTGCCTCAGTTTCCAATCTGTTAGTGCAAGGCACTCCCACTGTGCACTGTTCTGCCCATCCACAAAGGACATAGTCCCCCGTAGAGGGCTCTGCCTGCCCTTCCCGAGCCACCGGCCCCAAAGGCGCACACCGCACTACCTCCTCCGTCTGCTGTCTTGGGCTCTGCAGCCATGCTGGTGGCTGGGGTGCAGCAGGGAGAGGACAGAGATCCCGGCTCTCCTGTCTTGAGGTCCACATTCCCGTGGGCTGACAGGAATGAACAAAGTAAGGGTGTGGAGTGCCAGCTGTGATGGCAGAGACAGGCGAGTGATGTACCCGCAGGCCCAGGAGCTCCAGCAGCCCCTGGAAGCGGGAAGAGGCAGGAGGGACCCTCCCGTAGCTCCTGGAGGAAGCCCAGCCCTGCTGACACCTGCATTTCTAAATTCTGGCCCCCCAGAATTGGGACAGAACCCATTTCTGTTGCTTTAAACCACCGAGTTTGTGGTCCTGTGTTGCACCCACAGGGGACGCAGATGCAGAGGACTCCTGGGTGAGATGAGAGTGTGGGGTGGGAGCAGAGGGGGCTCCAGCCCTTGCTCATCCTTTGCCAGGGCCCCTCTGGCTGCTGTCAGAGCATGGACACAAGAGTGGGCAGGGCTGGCCTGGCTGCAGGGCTTCCCTGGAGCCCACCTGCTGGTTCTGGGGTGGCCAGGCTCAGCAGAGGCGAAGCCAGCTGGGAAAAGGGCTTGGGAGCCGGACAGGAGCAGGCCCTGTTTTCCTGCCCGCACTGTACCATGCAGCTGTGCTCTGTAATTTGGGGCTGAGGCCACCACACCCCACTTCAGGTGGAGGTGAGCCTGGTAATTACAGCCTGGGGGCCAGCTCCCCAGCCCCCAGCCCCACAGGCCTCCGACCGGGGCTGTGCAGCCAGGACCCAGAATCCAAGCCCCTTCTTCCACCTCCACCCACATGTGAGGCCTGCAGGTTAGCCTGTGGCCCCCTCCAGAGTGTCACTCCGTTCACCCTTCCCAAGCCCCTCAGGGTGTCAGAGATAAAAAGATAATAAATAAGCAAAATTTCAAGTAAGTCATTACAGTAAAAATATAAATAAACCAAGCCCCTCAGGAGGTTGTGCTGTGGGCTGTACTGGGGCCCAAAACTCCCCAGAAGATATGACAAGTCATGGGCTTCCAAGAGTGTGGGGGCCGCCTGAGAGTTTTGGGGTCTGGAGGATGGGAGGGGCTTTTCCTGGTGTGGGAAGACCAGGTGCAAGGTGGTAAGGCGTGGGACAAGGTTTGAGTGAGGGTCCTGGAGGCGCTGGCTGACCCCTGCAGGCCCTCCAGGCCTCCTACGTCCAGTGTCAGCAGGAAATTCCAGGCTGCAGTGGTCTTGGTGGGACCCTGCAAGGTGGCGGCCACTCTGAGCCCAGCCCCAGAATCCGATGTCTTCAAAGCTGCTGTGGCTCTTGTCCTGCCCTCAGCCCTGGACAGCCAAGCCCTGGACATACAAGTGTGCGCATAGACACGGCCCGCTTGCCTCTGTGCGCACTTGCCTGTGGGGATGGCAGTGGCGGTGGCTTTTCATCAGTCCAGATGTTGGAGGCTGCATAGCCAGATGAGCAGGCCTGTGGAGGGGGCCGGGGGGCCGGGAAGCAGGCTGGGGTCAGAGAGCCGATAACGTCACAAGGCTGAATGGGAGTTTTGTGGCCCAGTGTCTTTTGGAAATGATGTGCAAAGCCCAGTTAATCCAGTGGGTAGGGCGTGGTGGCTCCTGGGTGAGCCGAGAGGGGCCAGGGGTCAGGAGGCTACCAGGTGGCCAGCAGGACAGGGGGTACCTGCTGAGCAGACCCCATGCCCGCCCTCCCCATGGCCTTTATGAGGACTGGAGCCCCCTTTAAACTCAGGCAGCTGCTGGCCACAGGTCTGCCTGGCCCTGCCATGCGGGGGTAGGGAGTCCAGGACCAGGCATCCTTACGACAGGGTCTGTTGGCCCAGCATCAACAAGGGGCAGAGGGCAGTGAGGCTTGTGCTGCTTGTGGCTGTGCCCTATTTAGAACTTAGCCCCTCACCTTCCTCCCCTAGCTGAATTATTTTTGGCATGCTTGGTGGCCTCGGGGTCTTCATGCTGACTTTAGGAGCCAGATGGGGCTCAGCTTCCAGGTGGCCCTGAGCAGCAGCATCGGGGGTGTTGGAGGGTGGGGCATGAGGGTGGCAGGCCCAGCTGGCCAGGCCTAGGGGGGCTCCAGATGAGTCACTGCCCAGCTTCCAGGACCCAACCCACCTCTGCCCTTACACTCGCCCCTCATCGGGTGGTAGCATTCCTCGGGACCCTGGACTCAGAACACTCTTTAATTTGATTCCCAGATCTGAGGGCCTGAACTGTCAGCTGGGGACATGAGGATCCTATACACCCATCTATTCACTCTAGCAGTGAATCTGCTGGCACAGAGGCCACAGCCTCTCTAGAGGCCACACCCTCTCTAAGGCCACACCCTCACTAGAAACCACACCCTCTCTAAGGCCACACCCTCACTAGAGGCCACACCCCCTCTAAGACCACACCCTCTCTTAAGACCTCACCGTGTCTAAGGCCAGCTCTCTCTGAGGCTCTAGGCGGAACCCTTCCTGCATCTCTCAGCTCCTGGGGGCTCCCGCGGTTCCATGCTATGTGGTCCCGTTCCTCTCATCTCTGCCTCTGTCTTCACACTGCCTCCTCCGCCCCTCTGTCATCAAATCTCCAGCTGCCTCCCTCTTATAACCACCTTGTGTTGGCGTTTATGGTGTTCAGATGGTCCAGGACCGGATTGCCATCTCAAAGCCGTTCACCTCCTCACACCTGCACAGACCCTTCTTCCTCATTAGGTCACATTCAGAGATGAGGATCAGACACCTTTGCGGCCATTAATTCCACCTGCTGGCTCCGAAGACGAGCGCTTCTGCTCTGGGCTGTGCTCCTCTCCTACCTCCTCTGAACCACATCCACGGGACTGTCCCACCTCCCCAAAGCAGCTCTCTTCAAGGCCTCTGGTGGCCTCTAGGTGGCCAAACCCACGAGTCCTTTCTTGGCTCTGTTTTTCCCCAGACAGGGCAGTGCCTGATGCAGGCAAACACCCGTTACCCAAACCACACTGCTCCCTGGGCCCCTGGCTCTGACTGCCCGGCTGCTGGCTCATGCCCCTTTCTTCCCTTTCTGTCCCACCCCATTTTCAGAGCTGGCCTCCACACCTTCCATGTCTGGGTGGTCCCTGCCCTGCCCTCCGGGCCGACTGCCCAGCTCCCCACATCTCCTGAGGCCTCCTGGGACTCCAGAAACCGCTCAGCCCTAGCCCACCAGCCCTGCCCTCACCTCCACAGCCCCTCCTTGCGCGGCCAGGCTTTCTGCTCAAAGGCCCACATCCTGGGGCCACATTTTTTTTTAGATCAAGCATTTGGATTTTCAAAATTAATTTTATCGTGTTTTATTACAATTGGTTTTAGTCGTGGGATCGAGGAAAAATGTACACAGCTCCAAGCAGATATTTGGCAATAGGGTGTTCCACATGCGGATCTGACGTGGTATTTTAGGGTTTGTGGTCTCCAGGTCTCTGTTGTAATGACTCAGTTCCACCATTGGAAGCAACCTTAGGCCATACATAAAAATGATGGGGGCAGAGTGTCAATAAAACTTTATTAACAGAAGCAGATGACGGCCCGGTGCCCAGTGCCGGTCTGGTGTGCACGAAGCAGCAGAATCAAATGCCCGGCACTGGGTGGAGCCTGAAGGAGGCGTGTGGGAGGGGGGCGCTCCCGAAGAGTTTCAAAGACGCTAGGGGATTTTCTCACAGCTAGGCAGGATAAACGGCTTTCCTATTTGCTTAAACAGTGACGAACTTTTCTAACTGCACCAAATCGAGTAACCTGATCACTGCCAAATCCCCACATGATAGTCTAAAAATAGATAGGAAAATATGGATTCCTTTATTTATTGTGGCAAAATAGACACACTGTGAATTCGATCATCTTCACCGTGTTTAAGTGCACTGTTCTGTGGCACTATGTACATTCACGACGTCGTGCAGATGTCACCGGCATCCATCTCCAGAACTTTCTCACCTTCCCACACTGAACCCCCACCCCCATCGAACACCGACTCCGCATTCCCTCCCCTAGCCCCTGGTACCCCTGGCGCTTTCTGTCTCTATGACTTTGACCACTCTAGAAAGCTCGTGTGAGTGGAATCATGGCGTTTGTCCTTTGGTGACTGGTTTCTTTCTTTTTTATTTGTATTTATTTATTTTGAGACAGAGTCTCTCTCTGAAGCCCAGGCTGGAGTGCAGAGGCGCAATCTTGGCTCACTGCAACCTCCGCCTCCTGGATTCAAGCAATTCTCCTGCCTCAGCCTCCCAAGTAGCTGGGACTACAGGCGCCCACCACCACGCCCAGCTAATTTTTGTACTTTTAGTAGAGACAAGGTTTCACCATGTTGGCCAGGATGGTCTTGAACTCCTGACCTCAGATGATCCACTCACCTCAGCCTCCCAAAGTGCTGGGATGACAGGCATGAGCCGCCGCGCCTGGCCGGGGACTGGCTTCTTTCACTGAGCGTAGTGTCTTCAAGGCTCCTCCACATTGTCGCATGTGCCAGAATTTCCCTCTGTGTTACTCCATTCTCGCACTGCTATAAAGAAATACCTGAGACTGGGTAATTTAGAAAAAGGGGGTTTAATTGGCTCATAGTTCCGCAGGCTGTATGGGAACATGGCGCCAGGCATCCACTCGGCTTCCGTGGAGGCCTCAGGAAGGTGAGAAGGTGATGGGGAAGCTGGTGTCTCACATGGCGGAATCAGAGAGACACAGCAGGGGAGGTGCCACACACTTTTAAACAACCGGATCTGGGGAGAACTCACTCAGTATTGCAAAGACAGCACCAAGAGGATGGTGCTAAGCCATTCATGAGAAATCCACCCCCGTGATCAAATCACCTCCCACCAGACCCCACCTCCAACACTGGGGGTTACAATTCAACATGAGATTTGGGTGGGGACACAGATCCAAACCATATCCCCTTCCTTTTCATGGCTGAGTCATGTTCCATTGTATGGATGGACCCCATTTGCTTAATCCTGTCATCAGATGGTAGACATTTGGGCTGTTGGCCCTTTTTGGCCAAAGGAGATGGAGTGCTATGAGTGTTCATGCACGCATTTGCGTGTGGACTTAGGGTTTCATTTCCTGTAGGCACATTCCCAGGAGCGGGCTTGATGGGTGGAATGGCAACCGTAGGTTTACATGTGTGAGGAGCCCACGGCCCCATAGCGTTGGCACCACGGCCCATCCCCAGCAGCACAGGCAGCTCCGACTCCCCCACGCCCAGCGCTTGCCGTGGTCTGGCTTTGGGATGGCAGCTGTCCTACTGGTTCTGACGTGCATTCCTCGGTAAGTAGCCAGCCCCGTGGCTCTTGTATGTGCACTGGCCGCTTGTCCCTGTTCGAGGGGAACACAGAACCTCCGGAAAGGTACTGCAGGGCTTGTCCTTACCTCCTTTTGTCCATGCTCAGGTGTCACCTTCTCTGTGAGGCCTTTCCTGACCCTACCCCTCGCCTGCCACCCCGCCCCTGGCATTCCTCATCTGCCACTGCCTGCCAGTGCAGTCCCAGTGGGCCTTGGAGTGGAAGTGGAGGAGGAGAGGCCGCCTGTGCCGGAGACGCCACGCAGGTCTGTTCAATGAGTAAATGAGGCTAAGGGCCTTCCCGTCCACCTGCTGAGTCCCCTGGCATGAGGACTGTCCCACAGAAAGGCTCAGGATGCCTGGCTTGGGAGGCACACCTGGACCCCTGGCTTGTGGGCTCCCGGAGCTGGTGCAGAGTCTGGCTCTCCCCATCACACACAGGGCCCTGCTGAGCCCTGATCCGTGCACTGCATGGGTGGCTGGGCCCAGTCAGGAGGAGGCTGGACCTTGCCACAGCTGTGTCTCTCATTACAGTCCCTGGAGACCCAAAGTCTCTGGGTAGCTTCCACCAGTCCCTCAAATCCTGGCTTCTTTGTGGTGAGCACAGGGTGTGGGGTGTCCTGCTCCGAGGCCATAGGAACTCAAGAAGCAACTGGAGCCTGGGTCAGTGTGGGTGAGGGGCTGCCAGGTCCCCCCCGATAGTGGCTTCTGCCCCCCAGCCCTTGGAAATCACCCCAGATGGTCACTCCTAAGTCTCGGCCACGATACGTGTTTGGTTACCCTTCAGGTGCCCCAAACCCAGGCGTCGTCTCTCCCATGCCCTGGATTCCTGGTCTCAGGATGGATCAGCGTCCACCCTGGCTTCAAAACGCCCTCCAGGCGACCAGCCTCGAGCCCTTCTGTCACCCAGCAGCCACACACCCTGCCCTGCCACACTGACCACGCCCGGGGGCTGGATCTCATCATCCTTGGGTCTCTGGGCCTCCCCACCCCACTGCCACCCCCGATCCCCTCTGGCCATCCTGTCATTGTCTGAACCCTTCATGAGATTTCTAGAGCCCCTGGATGAAATTACATGGACTGCCCCGGACCAGAGGCACAGAGGCCGGCACAGCTGCCCGCTCCACCCACTGCCTGGTCTAGGCCAGGCCCCTCCTGGTGTCGTGACAGGGCCTTCCCACTCCCAGTTACTTCTTGCCCATGGCCCACAGAAGCTTCCATCACAATGCATCTGGGGTGCAGGCTGCTCAGCTTCCCCTGCCAGGCCTTGAAGACGCGGCCCACTCATTCAGCTGTGTCCTCGAGACCCTGACGCCCTCCTGGAGCGTTCACTGAATGGAAAGGTTCCAGGTGGTCACGGTGGGAGCACCTCTGACTGGCAGACCATGTGTCAGTCCTCCCCAAGGCCAAGGCAGGCTTGCCTCCTCCCGGGCTCCTGATCAACATGGTTCCAAGGTCTGTTCTTTCTCCCCTGGGTGTGAGTGTGTGATTTGAGTCTGCGTGTGTGTGTGTGTGGGTGTGATCTGTGTGAGTGTGTGTGTGCATGGGTGTGATGTGTGTGAGTATATGTGTGTGTGATGTGAGCGTGTGTGATGTGTGTGTGGTGGTGTGATATGTGTGTGTGTGTGTGCATGGGTGTGTTGGATGGTATGGTACAGGCTCATTCAGTCTCTGCACTCCGCCTCCTGCTCAGTCTGGTGGACGCTTTCCTACCACTGCGTGCGCTTTCTGAGCAGTGCCGACTGAGGAGGCAGCGGCCCCTGCTCTGTGTTCTCCTGGGGTTGCCCACCTCTCCAGCCTCCCCTCCTCAGGTCAGGCCTCTCCTGGGCTACAGGCTCACTTGTGCATTTTCTTGGTGCACCCTGGAGTGGACTCACTCTCGCCGTGAGTGTCGCTGAAACACTGGCCTCCTCCCAGTTCCCACCCCGGTGTATGTTGGGATGGGATGCCCCTCCCAGGAAGGTGCAGCAGGCTGCTGCGCAGAGTGTGTTCAACCGTCTCCATTCTCTCACCGTCCCTGAGTGTGCCTGCCTGGGGTCATCAAACAAATCATAAAGTAAAGCCTGAAAGAATCAACCTGCTTCCAAGTAACTGAACTGCATGCAGCCCAGGACAAAGTCCAAACAAAATGTATAAGAGTACAAAATGCTGAACACCCAAAAAGGTACAATTCACAATGCACAACAACCAATCAAAGATGACTAAGCACACGAAAAGGCAGGAAAATATGCCCCACAATGAGGAAGATCAGCCAACTGAAACTGATGCAGACGGACACAAAATTATCAGAAAAAGACATTGAAACAGCTTCCTAACTGTGTTCCACAGCTGCAAGAAGTTAAAGACATGAAGTATAGTTTAAAAGACTCAAATACAACTTCTAAAGTAAAAACTACCATGCCTGAGATGAAAAAATACACTGGATGAGATTAACAGCAAAAGAAAAGAATACTGAATTTGAAGACATAGAAATGGAAACCATTCAAAATAAAATACAGAGAGACAAAAGAAATGTTTTTAACTGCATCGATGAGTTCTGGTGTAACTCCAGGTGGCCCAATATATGGATAATTGGCTTCCTTGAAGGAGAGATGTGTGTATGTTTGGGGCAGGAGGGAGAAAGAAAAATGTTTGAAGAAATAATGACTGAAACATTTCCAAACTTAATGAAAACTATAAACCAAGAAACTCAATGACTCCCTAGGGCAGGAAACAGGACTAAAACCAAGCCAAGGTACATCATAATCAAATTGTTTAAACTAGTGATAAAATGAGAATCTTAAAAGCAACTAGAGGCAAAAGGAACACGGTACGTGCAGAGGAACGGATGGCCGCAGATTTCCCACAAGACGCAATGCAAGAAGACGGGAAAGCAAGACCTTTAAATTGCTGAAACAAAAAGAACCCATCAGCATCAGAATGCTATGCCTGGGTAAAACATCCTTCACAAACGAAATTTAAATAAGAACATTTTGGAGATATAAAAGCTGAAGCTCCATCGCCGGCAGAACCGTGCCGTGAATGACGTTCAAGAAATTCACTCAGGCTGAAGCGGCGTGAAATCAGACAGAAATCTACATTCTACTGGAAATGGTAACTACATGGGCAAACACGTGAGATTTTAAAATCATTTAAATTTCTTTGGAGATGCAAATCAAAACCACAAGGAGGCCAGGCGCGGTGGCTCTCGCCTGTAATCCCAGCACTTTGGGAGGCCGAGGTGGGCGGATCACTTGAGGTCAGGAGTTTGAGAGCGGCCTAACCAACGTGGTGAAACCCTGTCTCTGCTAAAAATACAAAAATTAGCCAGGTGTCGTGGCGCATGCCTGTAATCTCAGCTACTCAGGAGGCTGAGGCAGGAGAATTGCTTGAACCCGGGAGTCGGAGCTTGCAGTGAGCCAAGATCGCACCACTGCACTCCAGCCTGGGCAACAGAGCGAGACTCTGTCTCAAAAAACAAAACAAAACAAAACAACCCACAAGGATATACCATCTCACACCAGTCAGAATGCCTATTACTAAAAAGTCAAAAAACAGATGCTGGGGAGGTTGTGGAAAAGAAAGAACGCTTTTCTCTTGTTGGTGGAAGTGTAAATTAGTTCAGCCATCGTGGAAGACGATATGGTAACTCCTCAGACACCTAGAGACAGAACTACCATTCAACCCAGCAATCCTTTTACTGGGTATATACCTAGAGGAATATAAGTCATTCTATCATAAAGACACATGCACGCCATTGCAGCACTATACAATAGCAAGGACATGGAATCAACCTAAATGCCCATCAATGATAGACTGGATAGGCTGGGCGCGGTGGCTCATGCCTGTAATCGCAGCAGTTTGGGAGGCCGAGGTGGGTGGATCATGTGAAGCCAGGACTTCGAGACCAGCCTGACCAGCATAGCGAAACCCCGTCTCTACTAAAAATACAAAATTAGCCAGGTGTGGTGGTGTGCACCTGTGGTCCTAGCTACTTGGGAGGCTGAGGCAGGAGAATCGCTTGAACCCGGGAGGCAGAAGTTGCAGTGAGCCAGATTGCACCATTGCACTCTAGCCTAGGCAACAAGAAGTAAACTCCATCTCAAAAAAAAAAAAAAAAAAAAAGACAGACTAGATAAAGAAAATGTGGTATATATACACCATGGAATACTCTGCAGCCATAAAAAGGAATGAGGTCTGGACTATTTAGAAGTGACTTCTTAATTTTCAACCTTTCAAGAGTTCAATAATATTTTTGTTTCAGATCTCCATCTTAGCAACAAAGTGATCAGAAAACATACTTTTTGTGCTATAAATCCCTTAAACTGTGTGGAGATTTTCTTAATGGCTCCGTCTCTGATCAAGTTGTACAAATATACTGTGTGTGCTTGAATAATGCATGTATTGTTGCTGCTGTGAGTGTAGGGTTTTGTCTTCTGTTTAAGTCCATTTGTTAATGACGTTGTGTAGATTTTCTATATCCTCACTGACTTTTTTCGTCTGTTTAATTTACTCATTAATGAAAAAGATATGTTAAAAAAAAAAAAAAGGAATGGGGTCATGTCCTTTGCAGAGACATGAATGGAACTGGAGGCCATAATCCTTCCCAAACTAAAGCAGGAACAGAAAACCAAATACCGCATGTTCTCACTTATAAGTGGAAACTACATGATGAGAACACGTGGAGATATGGGGAACAATGCACACTGGGGCTTATTGAAGGGTGGAGGGTGGGAGAAGGGAGAGGATCCGGAAAAATAACTAATGGATACTAGGCTTAGTACCTGGGTGATGAAATAATCTGTACAACAAACCCCCATGACACACACTTAGGTATGTAACAAACCTGCACATCGTGCACATGTTCCCCTGAACTTAAAAGTTAAAAAAAAAAAAAAAAAAACTCTTTGGCCGGGCGCGGTGGCTCACGCCTGTAATCCCAGCACTTTGGAGGCCGAGGCAGGCGGATCACGAGGTCAGGAGATAGAGACCATCCTGGCTAGCACGGTGAAACCCATCTCTACTAAAAGTACAAAAAATTAGCCGTGCGTGGTGGCGGGTGCCCATAGTCACAGCTACTCGGGAGGCTGAGGCAGGAGAATGGCGTGAACCCGGGAGGCGGAGCTTGCAGTGAGCCGAGATCGCGCCACTGCACTCCAGTCTGGGTGACAGAGCAAGACTCCGTCTCAAAAAAAAAAAAGAGAAAGAAAGAAAGAAAGAAAGGAAAACTCTTTAAAAGCGGGGTTGGGAGAAGGTGGGGATGGTGGTTAATGAGTACTAAAAATAGAGAGAATGACTAAGACCTACTATTTGATAGCACAACAGGGTGACTATAGTCAATAATAGCTTAATTACATATTTTAAAATAAAGAATGTAATTGGATTATTTGCAACTCAAAGGATAAATGCCTGAGGGAATGGATACCCCATTCTCCATGTTGTGCTTATTTCACATTGCATGCCTGTATCAAAACATCTCATGTACTTTATAAATATAGATACCTACTGTGTACCCACAAAAATTTTTTTAAACAATAAAAATAATTTAAATCACTTTAAAAGGTAATAGACTAGAAAAAATAATAACGGTGTGTTATGAGATTTTTAACATACGTAAAAGTAAAATGCTTGACAAGAACTGCGTAACGACTGAGGGGAAGTGGAAGGGTCCGAGTGCAAGGTGCTTCCCTATAAGTAACGTGGTGAGACATTGTAGAGAGTGATGCTTAAAATGTATACTAAAGGGACTAACAAAATAAACAAGAAGTTATAGCTACAAAGTCAACAAAAGAGATAAAATGAAATCATGACAAATATTCAGGCTGGGTGCAGCGGCTCACACCTGTAATCCCAGAACTTTGGGAGGCTGAGGGGGGGGTGTATCCCTTGAACTCAGAAGTTTGAGACTAGCCAGGGCAACGTGGTGAAACTCTGTTTCTACCAAAAATACAAAAAATTAGCCATGGCATAGTGGCGTGTGTCTGTAGTTCCCGCTACTCAGGAGGCTGAGGTTGAAGGATCACTTGAGCCTGGGAGGTTGAGGCTGCAGTGAGCTGAGATCGCACTGCTGCGCTCCAGCCTGGGTGACAGAGTGAGACTCTGTCTCAAAAGAGAAAAAAAATCAATCAATTCAGAAGAAGACAGAGAAGAAAAATAATAAAGAATAAGTGTGGCAAATAGAAAACAAATAGGAAGATGATAGAAGATTCAAGCCTAATGACATCAATAATCACATGAAATACAAATGGTCTAAACCTCATTACAAGTAGAAAATGTCAAATTGGGTTTAAAAAGCAAGGCCTGACTGTGTGCTGCCTACATTAAATATACAGACACAAATAGGCCAAAAGAAAAAGAATGAAAAAAGTTACAACATGCTAATGCTTGTCTAAAGAAAGCTGGAGTGACTATCCTGATTTCAGATAAAGGAGGTTTTGGAGGAAAGAATATTATAAGGATAATGAAGGCTATTTTATAATGATAAAGAGGTCAATTCTTCAAGAGGAAATAAGCATCCTAAACATTTAGGCACCTAATCATATAGCTTCCAAATGCATGATGAGATTGCAAGAAGTAAGCAAAACCATAATTACAGTCAGAGATTTCAATACCCCCTCTCCATAACTATGAGAACGAGCAGGCAGAAAAACTCAGTAAGGATTGAGTAGACGTAGACAGCGCTGTGAAGAAATTTGATCCAATTGACATTTATAGGCCATTCCACCCAACGACGGCAGACTACACTCTCCTCTCAAGTGCAGGTGGGGCATTTATAAAGATAGATCATATTCTGGGCCATAAAATAAGTCTTACTAAATTCAGCAGAATTCAAGTGATGCCAAATGTATTACCTGGCCATAACAGAATAGAATTAGGAATCAATAACAAAAATATCTCTGGAAAATTCCCAAATATTAAGAACTAAATAATAGGCCAAATAACAGACTTCTAAATAACTCATGGATCAAAGACAAAATCAAAAGGCAAATTAGAAAATTTGTTGAACTGAATAAAAGTAACAACACAGCACATGCAAATTTGTGGGATGCTGATAAACTGGTCATTAAAGAAAAAAGTATAGCACTAGCTGCTATATTGTAAAAGAAGAAGTGTCTCAAAGCAACGGCTTCAAGTTTTACCTTAAGAAACTGAGGAAAGAAGAGCAAATTAAACCCAAGTAAAAGAGAAAGAATGAAGATCAAAACAGAAATCAATGAAATAGGAAACAGAAAAAAAGAGAAAACCAATGAAAGTAAAAATTAGTTTTTTGGGAGGCTCAGTCAAATTGATAAGCTTCTAGCCAGAGTGATCGGGCAGGAGGGAGGGAGGAAGAGAAGGAGAGAGGGAAAAAAGAGACCTAAGTTCCAAATATCAGAAGCAAGTGACCCAACCACACATTCCACAGATATTAAAGGGATAATAGGGGAATATTATAAATGACTTTATGCCAATGGGTTCAACAACTTAGATGAAATGGAAAAATATTAGCAATCAACGCTCAGAAATTGAAATAACAACATTTACAATGGCATACAAAATATGAAGAACTTAGGAATAAATTTGACAGAAATGCAAAAGGTATATTCACTGAAAACTGCAAAATATTACCTAGAGGAGTTAAAAAAATTTAAATAAATGAAAGATATACCTTTCTCATAGACCAGGAGATTCATTAATGTTAAGACGTCAATTCTCCTTAAACTGATCTACAGATGAAATGCAATCTCAATCCAAATTACAAAAGTCTTCACTGTGGAAACTGACAAGCTCTAAGATTCATATGAAAATGCAAAGGCCAAGCAACTCCGAAAAAGAAGAAAAAGGTTGGAGGGGTCTCACAATCTGGTATCAACAGCTGTTATAGTGCGGCATCAGCATAAAGACAGATCAATAGTGCCACAATAAACATACGTGTGCATGTGTCTTTATAGCAGCATGATTTATATTCCTTTGGGTATATACCCAGTAATGGGATAGCTGGGTCAAATGGTATTTCTAGTTCTAGATCCCTGAGGAATCACCACACTGTCTTCCACAATGGTTGAACTAGTTTACTTTGAACAATGAGAACACCTGGACACAGGAAGGGGAACATCACACACCCGGGCCTGTTGTGGGGTGGGGGGGAGGGGGAAGGGAGAGCATTAGGAGATATACCTAATGTAAATGACGAGTTAATGGGTGCAGCATACCAACATGGCACATGTATACATATGTAACAAGCCTACACATTGTGAACATGTACCCTAGAACTTAAAGTATAATAAAAATATATATATATGTAAAAAATAAAAAAAAAGTGAAAAAAAAAGACAGACTAATAGAACAATGGAACTGAGCAGTGGGTCCAGAAATGAGTCCACACATATGTGTCCACACAAATGAGTCCACACATATGTGTCCACACAAATGAGTCCACACATATGTGTCCACACAAATGAGTCCACACATATGTGTCCACACAAATGAGTCCACACATATGTGTCCACACAAATGAGTCCACACATATGTGTCCACACAAATGAGTCCACACATATGTGTCCACACAAATGAGTCCACACATATGTGTACAACTATTTTGACAAAGATACAAAGTCAATGCTGTTAAAAAAAAAAAAGAGAGAGAGACAAGCTTTTCAACCAGTGGTGCTGGAACAATGACCATACACAAGCCCCCACCCACACACCCTCAAGCCATGTCTCACATATATAAAAATTCACCCAAAATGGATGATAGACCTAAATGTAAAACCTAAAAACACCAAATTTCTAGGAGAAAACATCAAAGAACATTTTTGTGACCTTGGGTTAGGCAAAGATTTCTTAGTTATACCAAAACTATAATTCATAAAAGAACTAATGGATAACATGGCCTTCAGCCAAATTAAAAACTGCTTCACAAAAGAGGCTGTTAAGAGAATGAAAAAACAAGCCACAGACAGGGAGAAAATCTTTGCAAATCATTAATCTGATGAAGGATATAGAGTTAACAAAACTCAACAATAAGAAAACAAACAATTCAATTAAACATGGTAAAAGATTTGAACAGACACTCCATCAAATAAGATAAACAGCTAGCAAATGAGTACATGGAAAGATTCTCAGCCTGATTTGTCATCGGGTAAACAGAACGGCTAAACTTGAAATGACTGATTATAACCAGCGTTGCTGAGGATGTGGTGGAACTGGAATTCTCACTGTGGGTACAGGGTATGGTACAACCATTTGGAAACCAATCTGGCAGTTTCTTAGAAAGTTGAATATTCACCCAGCACAGGGCCCAGCCATTCCACTCCTACATATTTACTCAAGAGGAAAAAAAATATGTTGATGCAAAGACTTGTGCATGAATATTCACAGAATCTTTTTTTTTTTTTTTGTAATAGCCAAAACCTGGATATGACTCAGGTGTTCATCAACAGATGAACAGATAAAAACAAGCTCTGGTCTAGCCAGGCAGGAGGGTATAGTTAGCAACAGGAAGGGGTGAGTTACTCATACAGAACAACAAACAAGGGTGAAGCTCAAGAGAATTTTCTGAATGAAGGAAGCCAGAGGAAAAAGAAGACTCACTGTATATTTCCATATATACAGTGAAACTCAGAAATGCGGTAGAAAGCAGGTCAGCAGTGGCTCATGGGGGCTGGGGAAAGGGAAGAGTGACAGGAAGGGTTACAAAGGGGCAGGAGGACACCGTCAGGGAGGGGACGTGCCCACTGTCCCCATCATGGTGACCGTTTCTGAGGACATGAGTGGACACAAGTTTCGCGTTTTAAAATGTATCAAACTGTACATTTTAGATATGTGCAGTTTATTGTATGTCAATAATACCTCAATAAAGCTGTTTATTTAATGAACAGAGACTATGAATGAATGGGGAAGAGGCTGAAAGTGATCGCTCCGATAAGAAGCCGTGCTGTCTTGCCCCATGTCCGTATCTGAGTTTATTTTCTGACCCAGAGCCTGTTGCTTGAAGACGCAGCCAAGGTCTGCAGAGGGAAGGCCCAGCAACACCACTGCCAGCATTTGCTGGAATGTTCTCGCAAAGGAACGTGGCATTTACTCACAGGGCTGAGCACTCTGGCACAGAGACCCCTCACATTGTAGGACCGATGGACACAGGCTCTGAGTTGACGCTGGCATCTAAAGACCTGGAGGGTGGCTGGGCACACTGGTTCATGCCTGTTATCACAGCACTTTGGGAGGCCAAGGAGGAATCGCTTGCACCCAGGAGATGAAGACCAGCCTGTGCATCACCACGCCTGGCTAATTTCTCTTAATTTTTCTTTTTTTGTAGAGAGACACCCTTTTGTAGAGAGACAAACAAAGAAAAATTAAGAGAAATTAGCCAGGCATGGTGGTGCACACCTGGGGTCCCAGGTGAGGCAGGAGGATCATTTGAGCCCAGGGGTTTGAGGCTGCAGTGAGCCATGATCATGCCACCGCACTCCAGCCTGGGCAACATAGCAAGACCTTGTCTCGCAAAACAAACAAACAAGACCTGAAACGTTATCATCGTCTTCTGTTAGAGAGGAGCCTCATGGGTCAAGAAGTGAATGGTGTCCCTGCCAAACTTAGAATGGGCCCTCAGGCAGGGTTCATGACCCCATCCAGTGGTCATTTTTACAGTCTCTGAATATTCCATTGGGATTGAGATATTTGGCAGTTACAGTAATCCCCATAAATACGTCCTTGGCCTGTGAGGTGAAAGCTACCATAAGTGAAGTGAGGAGGTCAAGTGTAGGTCACTGAAAGCATCCTCGGTCAAGATAATAAATCAGAAACACAATCGCATCTCGGCGAGGACAGTGGATGTTTGTATGCACCATCAAGATCTCTGGTGTGACGAATTATTTCTATGTGTTCACTTAACTGGGCCACAGGGTGCCCAGATTAAACCTTGATCCAGGCATGTCTGCGAGGTTGATTCTGGGTGAGATGAGTATTGGGATTGGTGGACTCAGGAAGGCAGATGCCCTCCCCAGCGTGGGGGCCTCCTCCCATCCAGTGTGAACCTGAATAGAACAGAAAGGCAGGGGAAGAAGAATCTGCCCTCTTTTTCTTGCGTCACTGCTTGAGCTGGGATGTCTTATCTCATCTCCTGCCCTCGGACTGCGATTTACTCCACCGGCTCTCCCGGGTCTCAGCTTGCAGACGGGACAGATCATGGGAGCCAATTGCTTTCATCTCTCTCTCTTGTGCGTGTGCGTGTGTGTGTGTGTGTCTGTGTGTTCATTCACTGGTCTGGTCCTTGTGGAAGGTGAATAGATGGGATAGATTCTGGAAAATGGACATGACTCCTGCAGGCTCAATGTGGCCCTGTCTCTGGTCACAACCGATGTGCTGGATGCGGTGTTTTTGCCAAAGCCTCAGGTGTGCAGTGTGTGACTATGATTTGTGGGTGTGTTGCAGGCTTGGCTGATGAAAGCTGTCAGCTCTAGTTCCCACTCCCATGGAATGGATGGTGTGGCTCTGTGCTCCTGGGACCTCTTCCATGATCTGTTAAAAGGTTGAAGAAATGAAAAGGTAACCTATGAAATGGGAGAAAATATTTGCAAACCATATATATGCTAGAGCTAATACCTAGCACATACAAAGAACCACTCAACAATGACAACTACAAAATAACCCAGTCCAAAAATCTGACAGAGGACTTGAAGAAGCTTTTCTCCAAAAAAGATATACAAATGGCCAATAAGCACATGAAAAGACGCCGAACATCAGTAATCATCAGGGAAATAGAACGAGATACTGCCTCTCACCCACTAGGATGGCCGCTAAGAAACCCCGAAAATAATAAGGCAAGGACGTGGCAATGTTGGAACCCCCGGGCACTGCTGGTGAGAGTGTAGAATGATGCAGCTGCGCTGGAGAACACTATGGTGGCTCCTCACAACATTAAAGATAGAATTCCCATACGACCCAGCAATCCCGCTTCTGATTCTATGCCCAAAAGAGACGAAAGCTGAGACACAAAGAGATGCTTGTCTACACATGTTCACAGCAGCATTATTCACAACAGCCAAAAGGTGAAGGTAACTCAAGTATCTATTGAGAGACAAATGAATATACAAAATGTGGTCCATCCATGCTGTGGAATATTATTCAGCCATGTTCAGGAAGGAAATTCTGACACAGGCGACGACGTGGGTGAACCTTGAGGACTTGATGCTCAGTGAGATAAGCCGGTTGCAAAAGGACAGATGTTGTCTAATTCCAGTTTTATGAGGTCCTTAGAGTAGAATTTGACCCTCATAGCTATGACTGAATGATGGTGGCCAAGGGCTGGGTGGGGGGACGCGGGAACTGTTGTGTAATGGAGACAGTTTCAGTAGGGGGCGCTGTCTTTCAGAAGCAAAGAGGCCTCGCTGGCTTTGTGCCTTCTCCTTTGTCACAGGGGAGACACATGCAGCGTGTGTCTTTGATTTACACATCCAAACGTGCCCCTCCCCATGCTTGGGAAGATGAGAAAGTTCTGGAGACGGATGGTGGCGATGGCACCAATATAAATGTATTTAATGCCACTGAACTATACACTTAAAATGGTTAAGATGGTAAACTTTGTGATTTGTATATTTTATCACAATTTCAAAAAAAAAGATAGAAGAGATCTAGACATCCTGACATCTGCAGTACAGCCCATTGAGTCAATGGATCATTAATTGAACATGAATGACTTAACAGGGAGCCAGCAGGATGAGTGGGGGTAGCGGACGCACTGGGGTCTTCCTTAGGATGTGCTCAGGAGGACGTGTGGTAAGCCCTGCAAAGATCCAGGGGCCAGACCTGCAGGAAAGTTCTCAGAGGCCCAGGTTCAGGGGCATGTTTGCACGTCGAAATAAAAGACACATGGCTGCACGTGTCTCCCCTGTGACAAAGGAGGCACAAAGCTGGCTAGGCCTCTTTGCTTTTCAAAGAAAGTGCCCCCTACTCCTGGAAATGTGGGGAGACAGTGTCGCCTACTCCCAGGAATGGAATAAACAGTGCACCCCACTCCATGGAACGTGGAGAGACAGCGGCCCCCACTCCTGGGAATGTGGAGAGTCAGTGGCCCCCACTCTTGGGGATGTGGAGACAGTGGCCCCCATTCTTGGGGATGTGGAGAGAAAGTGGACCCCACTCTTGGGGATGTGGAGAGTCAGCGGCCCCCACTCTTGGGAATGTGGGGAGTCAGTGGCCCCGATTCTTGAGAATGTGGGGAGTCAGTGGCCCCACTCCAGGGAATATTGCCCTGGGCCATACTCTGGGCAACAGGGAAGCTGCAGCTATGAGTGGGGCCTGTCTCGGAGGAGGCCCGACCACAGCCCAGTACCAGGGCTTGGGAAGCTGGAATGCCCATCTGGGGTGCAGCAGGAGCACCAGCTCAGAGACAAGTCTCAGCATGCACCAGGGAGCTTCATGCAGCCCTGTGTCCCCAACAGGAGACGTGCATATGATGCTGAGAACGGGGGTGGTTGTCGGGGTGGCCCCGCTTCCCATCATTCCCAGTGCTCCATGGGGACCTCCTGTTTCCTGTGTCCTTAATGCCTGGCTCTGCGGCATTGGAGGCCCCTGTGCCTGAAGGAGAACCCTGGCAAGGGTGCAGAGAGGGTGTCCTTGAACTTCAAGGTCTGTCTGCCACCTGGGCCCTTTGGATTCCTATGTCCAAGGACCAGCAAGAAGAGGAGATGGCACCTCGTTGGGGTCAACTGACCCTGGCCGGCAGGAGGAGGCAGGGCTGCGGCAGCCCAGTGTGGCCTGGGAGAGACACGGGCAGACTGCAGGGGACCCGTTCATGTGCCCCTTGTACTCCTTGGCTAGGTGGACCATGAATGGACAAGTAAAGTGGCCCTGGCCCAAGAAGGGCCTGTGCTGGGGCCAGACCATGCAGGTGAGAGGTGAGGGGAGTGCAGACTGGGTGGAGGAAGAGGGAGATGGTAAGTGCTGCTCACAGCCCCAGAGGAGCTCCAGTGAGCGGGGGCTGTGGTTTGTCCCAGGAGCCCTGTTCCCAGGGCCCTGTGAGCTGCTCTTGCATCATGTGTAGGGAAGTGGATGACGCAGCACAGGGGTGTCATGCAGAGCTGCATGGAGAAAGGGCTCCCTGCCCACTGCGAGGAGTGAAGACAACTGATGCTCGAGTGTCCAGAGCCTCCAGAATCCACCTCGGCTTTCGTGCCAACATCAGGCTGTTCTTGGGGTTCCCCTGGCCAAGGACTTAGCCAGGCAGCGGTACAAGGGCCCAGCCACTTCCACCCAAGGGACACTCTCCTGATGCCCGACCCTTGCTCCTGTGGTCCCTTAGCTTGGCAGAGCCCTTCGCAGGGGACACTGGGACTTGGGGGCTGCCTCTGCCCCATCCTGCAGCCATGTCTGTATTTTCATAGGTGTCCTCCCAGCGCACCTTGTGCTCATCCGACTCCATCTCAGCATCTTCTCCTCTGAGAACTCAGCTCGCAACAACCCAAATTTTGGCTTTTTAATCCTCCTCCTGACAGAGAAATGATAATCGTTTCTAACGAGGCCAGAGTCTTCATTCACTCACCAAATCCTGATTTAATGCAAGGTCAGGGGAGAAAAAGCTCTGCAGCGACCCGAGAAAACACAGCCCCAGGCAGCATGGACAGCAAGTGCAAAGGCCCTGGGGCATGACCTCATTGGGTACAGTCAGGGAACAGCAAGGGGAATAGGAAGGCTGGAGTTGGCTGAACAAATGTGCAACCAGGTGGCTAGAGGGATTCCAGGCCAGACCTGTGGGTCTTAGTCAGGCACTGCAAGCACTTAAAACTTTACTCTGAGCGAGGCAGGGCTGATGCAGGGCTCTGAGCAGAAGAGGGACGGGTCTGTCTTATGTTGTAACAAGATCATTCCACCCCCAGCCGCTGTGTGGAGAGTGGTTGGAAGGAGGCCAGGGCAAAAGCAGGAGGATCACTGAGGACATTGGTTTTGTAATCCAGGAGCCAAAATGGTGGCTTGGACTGGGGTGGGGGATGTGGAGTTCTGAGGGTGGTAGGATTCTGGGTGCCTCCAACAGATGCGAGGTTGGGGAGTCGGAGAAAGACGAGCCAAGCCTGGTGCCCAGACATCTGTGCAGGAATCAGATGCGGAGATGAGGTGGGAGCAGGAGGGAGGAGGGAAGCTGGCATTGGCCTGGTTCTGATGGAAAAACTTGTCAGACAAGAGTGAATGGGAACCTCAAGGTTGCACGCAACTATCTGGGTCTGCAATGGAGCCTGGGCACGAGAGTCGGCACAGAGGCAGTCCATGTGGTCATAAGCAGAGAGGTCACCAAGTCTGCGAATGTGGATGGAAAGGGACCAAGCCAGGCCCCGCAGCATGGAAAAGAGAGGAAGATGAGGACGCTGAGCAATGAAGCACAGACTAAAACGCCCAGATGGTGGGATACACCCAGGAGGGTCCTGCCGCCTGGGGCAAGGTGTAGGCAATAGCTCAAGGAGAGAAAGTGACCCAGGGAGGTGCCGGATGTGAACGATTATTCAGGTAAGGGGGTCCTGAGCCAGGACCTTGGGTGGAGTGCCTTGAGGGGGTCACTGCTGAGCTTGGGGTGTGTTAAGGAGAGGACAGGCTGGGGTCAAGTGGAGACACAGTGGAGGAATCGTCTGGGTGGCCCGTGTGTTTGCTGGTTTTCAGATGAAAGGAATATCCTTCATCAGGACGTTGGAAGGACCCTGAAAGGGGATCTTTTCCCGGATAGCTGCATGGCTCTTTCACTGTCCTCCTAATTTTGACTTTCAGATCATATCCTTTTGGGATTTGGTGAGTGAAGGAAGACTCCAAACTCACTAGCAACTGTTATCATTTCTTCCTTAGGGGAAGGTTTGGGCTGTTGCAGGTTGAGGTCTCCTAGAAGGAGAGGCTGAGGCAGAGTCAGGTTAACCCAGGAGAGGGGCCTGTGAGAACGTTCCTCCTGCCGCGATATCCTGAGCTGGGGCAGGAACCTGCTCTCCAATGGACGGGTGAACTTTGAAGGAGCATGGGGAGTTTCCACCCAACATTGAGGGAAAGGAGCGATTTCATGGGATAGGCACAGAGGTTGGTGGGCACAGCACGTGTTGGTGGGCATGGGGCAGGGCGTGATGTGCACCGAGACAACTGAAAGGCCAGGTCCCTAGTGGGACAGGATGGTGGAGGGGGCTGCTGGAAGTCAGAGACAAGAAGAAAGATAGAAAAGCCTCCAGGAGAGAGGGGTGTGAGTGGACATAATGGTGTGTGAAGGATGGAACAGAAAGAATGGAGTGTGGGGTACACAGTGTGAAGCATGGGGACATATGGGACATGGAGAATGGAGTAAGCAGAATAGACAGTGGGCATGAAGAATGGGGAAGAGAACATGGAGAATGGAGCACTGGCTATAAAGGATGGAGAATGGAGCATGGAACATTGAGAGTGAAGTGAGGAGAATGGGAAATGGAGTATAAAGAAAAGACTGAATGTGGAGGCAGAGTATACAAGATGAAGAATGGAGGATGGAGAATGAAGTCTGAAGAATGCTGTAGCAGCCTGGAACATGGAAGATGTATGGAAAATGGAGTGAGTATGGAGAATGGAGAGTGGAGAATGGATGATAGAGGTAGCAAATGGGGTTGAGAGGATGGAGCATGGAGAATGAAGAATGGAGCATGGAGAATGAAAAAGGGAGTAGAGATGGAGTTTGGTGTAAGGAGGATGGAGAATTGAGAATGGAGGGTGGAGCGTGAGGTAGGGTATGGTGGACAGAATGTGGAATGCATCGTAAGAGTGGGTCATGGAGCATGCTGTATGGGGAACAGTGATGCAGAGTGGGGAATAGAGAAAGAAGTGTGCAGTATGGAGAGGAGCACATGGAAAATGGAGCGTGCAGAATGGAGATTAGAGAACGGAGTACAGTCAGTCCCTGACTTACAATGGTTCAACTTACAATTTTTTTTTACAATGGTGTGAAAGTGATGTGCATTCAGTAGAAGCCATACTTCAAATCTGGAATTTTGACGTTTTCCCAGGCTAGTGACCTGAAGTAGAATATTGTCTCATGAAGCTGCTGGGCAACCGCGAGCCACAGCCCCCAGTCAGCCAGGCTAGTGTGAGTGCTCTGAGCATGTTCCAGACAGGCTGGGCTCAGCTATGATTTTCAGTAGATTAGGTGTATTAAATGCATTTTGGACTTAAACAATGTATTTCACGTATGATGTGTTTATCAAGACATAACTCTCATAACTCAGAAGCATCTGGATAGAATATGGACAGAAAAGTATGGAGAATGAACAAGGGAAACTGTAGCATCTAATAACAGAGTATGGAGAATGAAGAATGGAGTATGAAAAGGAGAGGAATGTGGAAAATGAGCGCAGAATATGGAGAATGGCGCGTCAAGAATGGAGTATGGAGTATGAAGTATGAAGAATAGAGTATGAACCATAGAGCATGGAGAACGGAAAACAAGGAATGAAGTACAGAATATGAAGGATGAAGTACTGAGTGTGGGGGATGGAGAATGGAAAATGATGTGTGGAAAATGGAAATTGGAGTTTGCGGGATGGAGTATAGAAAACGCAGAATGGTGATGGGGAATGCAATGTGGGGTATGGAGTATGGATTCTGGAGACCGTAGATGGATAATGAGAATGGAGGATAGAGAACGCACAGCCACACCTGGTTTTATCGTGCTTTGCAAATATTGTGTTTTTTACAAATTGAAGGTTTGTAGCAACCCTGAGTCCAGCAAGTCTATTGGTACCATTTTTTCCAGTAGTGTGTGCTCAGTTCGTGTCTCTGGGTCACATTTGGGAAATTCTTCAAATATTTCACACTTTATTATTTTAGCATTTATGGCAATCTGTGATCAGTGATCTTTGAGGTTACTATTATCATTGTTTTGGGGTGCTCTGAACCATGCCCATATAAGATGGGGAACTTAATTGATGTGCTGTTTGTGCTCTGACTGCTCTACCAACTGGCCATTCCCCCATCTCTCTCCCTCTCCTCAGGCCTCTCTATTCACTGAGGCACAACAGTATGGAAATTAGGCCAATTAATAAACCAGCAATGGCCTCTGAGTGTTCAAATGCAAAAAGAGTCTCATGTCTCTCACTTTAAATAAAAAACTAGACATGATTACGCTTACTGAGAAAGGCCTGTTGAAAGCCAAGATAGGTGAAAGCTAGGCCTTTTGCACCAATTAGTCACATTGTGGATGTAAAGGAAAAGTTCTTGAAGGGAATTAAAAATGCTACTCCAATGAACACACGAATAACAAAGAAGCAAAACAGTCTTTTGCTGATAGGGAGAAATTTTAGTGGTCTGCATAAAAGATCACACCCCCCATAACATTCCCTTAAGCCTTATTCAGAGCAAGGCCCTAACTCTCCTCAATTCTGTGAAGGGTGAGGAAGCTGCAGAAGAAAAGTTGGAAGATAGCAGAACTTAGATCATGAAGTTTAAGGGAGGAAGCCATCTCCATAACATAAAAGTACAAAGTGAAGCAGTAAGTGCTGATATAAGAGCTGCAGCAACTTATCCAGAAGATCTAGCTAAGATCATTGAGGGAGGTAACTACATTAAATAGCAGATTTTCAATGTAGATGAAATGGCCTTCTATGGGGAGGAGATCCCATCTAGGACTTTCATAGCTAGAGAGGAGAAGTCAATGCCTGGCTTCAAAGCTTCATATGAGAGGCTGACTGTTTTGTTATGGCTAATAGAGCTGGTGAAGCCAACATTCACAATTCCAAAAACTCTAGGGCCCTTAAGAATTTTTATGCTAAATCTACTCTGCTTGTGCTCTGTCAGTGGAACAACAAAGCCTGGATGACAGCACGTCTGTTTAGAGAATGATTTGCTCAATATTTGAGGTCCACTTTTGAGAACTACTGCTCAGAAAAAAATTCCTTTCAAAATTTTACTATACATTAAGAATGCACCTGGTCACTCAAGAGCTCTGATGGAGATGTACCAGGAGTCAGATGTTGTTTTCATGCCTGCTAACACAGCATCCATTCTGCAGCCCATGGATCAAAGAGTAATTTTGACTTTCAAATCATATTATTTAAGAAATATACTTTGTAAGGCTATCAGTCCCATAGACGGAGATTCCTCAGATGGATCTGAATCTGAGCAAAGTAAATTGAGAGGCTTCTGAAAAGGATTCACCATTCTAGATGGCATTAAGGACACTTGTGATTCATAGGAGGAGGTAAAAATAGCAACATTAGCAGGAGATTGGAAGGAGCCATTTCACTCATGGATGATTTTAAGGAGCTTAAGACTTCAGTGGATGAAGTAATTGCAGACATTATGGAAATGGCAAGAAAACTAGCAGTGGGGCCTAAAGACATGATGAAATCGCTGTAGCCTCATGATAAAATTTGATCAGATGAGGAGTTGTTTCTAGGGATGAGCAAAGATTGTGCTTTCTTGAGATGGAATCTACTCCTGCTAAAGAAGATGCAGTGAATATTGTTGAAATGACAACAAGGGATTTGGAATATGGCGTCAACTTAGTTGATAAGGCAGTGGCAGGGTTTGAGAGGCTTGATTCCAATTTTGAAAGAAATTCTACTGTGGTTAAAATGCTATCAAACAGCATCACATGCTACAGAGAAATCTTCCATAAAAGGAATAGCCGATCAATGTGGCAAACTTCCTTGTTGTCTTATTTTAAGAAATTGCCACAGCCACCCCATCCTTCAGCAACCACCACCCTGATCAGCCAGCAGCCATCAATAACTAGGCAAGACCCTCCACCAGCAAAAAGATCATGACTCCTTGAAGGCTCAGATGATCATTAGCATTTTTTAGCGATACAATTTTTTTAAGCTAAGGTGTATATATTGTTTTTTAGACATAATTCTATTGCACACTTAATAGACTGTAGTATAGTATAAGCATATATGCACTGGGAAGCAAAAAAAAATGTGTTACTTGTTTTATTGCAATATTTGCTTTATTGTTGTGGTCTGGAACTGAACCTGCAATAGCTTTGAGGCATTCCTGTAGAGTGGAGAATGTTATGTTGAATGGAGAATGAGGTATAGAATATGAAGACTGGATTATGGAGTATAGAGAATAAAGAATGGAGTACAGTTGATTTCTGACTTATGATTTCATTTACTATTTTTCAATTTTACAATGGTGTGAAAGCAATGGGCTGTCAGTAGAAACCATACTGAATTTTGATTTTTCCTGGCCTATAATACTGTATCATCACAGTGGGCAGCCATGGAGAGTCACAGCCCTTAGTCACCCAGGCTAATGTAAGTGTTCTAAGCATGTTTAAGGTAGGCTGGGCTAAGCTATGATGTACAGTAGATTAGGTGTACTCAATGAATTTATGACTTGTAATATTTTCAATTTACCATGGAGGTCAAGATGTTACCCCATTGTAAGTTGAGGAGCATGTGTGTAGAATATAAACAAAAGAGTACAGAGTATGAAAGACAGAGAATAGACAAAGAAGCATGAGAAAAGAGAATGGGATAAAAATATACAGCTAGAATACAGAGAATAGATAATGAACTATGGAGATAGGGCAATGAAGAATGGGGCACAGCGTATAGACTAGGGAGAAAGGAGATGAAATATAAAGAACATAGAATATAGAGAGGGGGTATGGAGAATGGAATATAGCTTGGACTATAGCATATAGAGAATAAAATATAAAGTATGGAGTATGGAGAAAAAAATGTGGAGCATGGAAAATGAAGAATGAGGAATAGAGTATGAAGAATAAAGAATGGAATGGGGTCTAGATTATGGAGAATGATACCTGGAGCATGGAAAATGGAGAATGGAATGGAATATGGAAAATGGAGAATAGAGAGTGGAATATGGACAATGGTAGGTGTATGAAGTATGAAACTTGGAGGATGGAGAATGGAGAAAAAGTACAGAATATGGAGACTGAGTATGGAGAATGAAGTATGGAGTATAGAGTATGGAGAATGGAGTACCAAGTATGATAAATATTGTGCAAAGTGTGTACTGCATGTGTGCACAGAGAACCTGAAGCAATATATGGTCCAAGAGGAAGGCCTAGTGCAAGGCCTGATATATGGTAGATGTTCCCAGAAACTAAGGTAAGGCAGGTAGCACTGGATCTGCACACAATGGGGGCAGTAATCCATAATCCATAACTTTGAATATGGGGTATGAGAACTACTGCAGAATAGAGTATGAAGTGGGTTATGGAGTATGGAAAATGGTGTATGGAGTATAAAGAATGGAAAATGGAAAATAAATAACAAAGAATTGAAAGCAGTTGGAGCAGGAAAATGGTGTATGGAGAATGGAGAGTGGAGTGTGAACAATGAATATGAAGTATGGAATATGGAGAATAGAATATAGAGTATGAAGAATGGCATATGCAGTACGAGAAATGCATGCACAAAGAAGTATACAAAATAAAGAATAAAATTGGAGAATGGAGTAGAATAGATAGATAACGGTCTACAGAGAATAAATTAAGGACAATGTGGTATGAAATATGGGCTATGGTGTATAAAAAAGATGTGTGGAAATGGAGTATAAAGTGAAAAGTATGGTGTATGGAGAAAAGAGAATGGAGGACAGTGTACAGAGTATGCAGTATGGTGAATAGAGAACGGTATGTATATGGAGTGTGGAGAAAGGAAAATGAGGGATGATTTATGGGCTATGGACTACAGAGAATAAAGAATGAAGAATGAAAACGGACAACATATAATGGAGTATGGAGAATGGAAAATAAAGAAAGGAGAATGGAGCGTGGAGAATGGAAAATGGAGAAAGAGATATGGAGAATGACGTATAGAGAAAAGAATAGAGAATGGATTATGAACTATGAACTAGGGAGCATGGAGTGTGGAGAAAGAAATGAAGAATAGAGAATGGTACACACAGAATGGAGAATTGTTTATGGAGAATGGAGAAATATTGAAAAGAACAATGAAGCATACAATATGGAAAATGGAAAGTTGAGAATGGTGTATGGAGAATGGAAAATATAGAATGGAAATCGGTGCATGAAGAATCAAATGTGAAGAAAGAATAACTGAGTACAGAGTTTGGAGAACAAAGGACGGAATTGGAAAAGGGGGAAGGGAGAATGGCATATGAAGAAAGGAGTATGGAGGACAAAGAGTGGAGAATGGAGTATGCAGTGTGAAGTATGAAGAATGGAGAATGGAAAATGGTGCATGGAGAATGGAGCTTGGAGAAAGGAGAATGGAAAATGCAGTGTGGAGAAAGAAGAATGGAGGATGGAGGATGAAGAAAGAAAAAGGGAGAATACAGTATGGAGTACAAAGGATGGAATATGGAGAATAGAGTATAGAGAAAAAAGAATGAATTGTGGAGATTGGAAAATGTATGGAAAAGTATGATGTATGGATAAAGGAGAATGGAAAGTGGAGTATAAAGAATGGAGAATGAAGGATGTGTATGGAGAATATGAAGAAAGGAGAATTAAGAATAGAGTATAGAGAATGGAGTATGAGGAGAGAAGAATGAGCAATGGAGTATAGGGAATGGAGTATGGAGAAAGCAGTATGAAGAATGAAGAATGCCAAAAGCAAAATGGAGTATGGAGAACGAAGCATGGAAAATACAAAATGGAGAATGATGAATGATGTATGAGAGTAGAGTATGAAGAAAGGAGAATGGAGTATAGAGATGGAGAATGGAGAATAGGTAGTGATGTATGGAGAATGGAATATGGGGAAAGAAAAGTGGAGAATAGCCTATGGAGAATGGAGGATGGTGAATGGTGTATAAGGAATGGAGTATGGAGCACACCAGTCAGAATGGCAATTATTAAAAAGTCAAGAAACAACATATGCTGGTGAGGTTGCAGAGAAAAAGTAACACTTTTACGCTGTTGGTGGGAATGTAAATTAGTTCAACCTTGTGGCAGGCAGTGTGGAGATTCCTCAAAGATCTAGATGCAGAAAAAGCATTTGACCCAGCAATTGCATTACTGGGTATATACCGAAAGGAATATAAATCATCCTATCATAAAGACACAAGCACGTGTTTCATTGCAGCACTATTCACAATAGCAAAGCAATGGAATCAACTGAATGTCCACCACTGGTAGGCTGGATAAAGAAAATGTGGTACATATACACCATGGAATACTATGCAGCCATTAAAAATGAGATCACATCCTTTGCAGGGACATGAATGGAGTTGAAAGTTGTTATCCTCAGCAAACTCATGTAGGAACAGAAAACTGAACACCACATATTCTCACTTATAAGTGGGAGCTAAATGATGAGAACACATGGACACATGGAATTGGGGGAACAACACACACTGAGGCCTGTCAGTCACGGGGCAGGAGGAGGGAGAGCATAAGGAAGAATAGATAATGGATGCTGGGCTTAATGCTTAGGTGATGGGTTGATCTGTGCATCCAACCACCATGGCACATGTTTACCTATATAAAAAACCTGCACATCCTCCACATATACCCCAGAACTTAAAATAAAAGTTGAAGAAAAAAATGGAGTATGGAGAAAAATGGAAAATGGACTATGGAATATGAGTATAAAGAATGTAGTATGGAAAAGGGAGAATGAAGAATGCAGAATGCCATATGTAAAATGGACTATGAAGAAAGGAGAATAGAGCATAGAGTATGGAGAATAAAAAACTGTAATGGAAAGGTGTATGAAGAACAGAATATGGCAAATAGAAAATGGAGAATGGTGTTTGAAGAAAGGTGAATAGGGAATGGAACATCGAGAATGAACTATGAACAAAAGAGTATGAAAAAGGGAGTGTGCAGAATAGAAAGTGGAGAATGAAGAATGGTGTGTGTAAAGTGGGGTATGAAGAAAGCAGGATGGAGTATAGAGTATAGAGTATGGAGGATTAAAAATGGAGAATGAACCATGGTGTACGAAGAATGAAGAAAGGAGATTAGAAAATAAAGAATGAAGAACAGCATATGAGGAAGGAGTATAAAGTATATAGTATGGAAAATGGAGGATGGGGAATGGTGCATGGAGAATGAAGTATAGAGAAAGGAGTAAGGAGAATGAAGTATGAAGAACGGAGTGTGTTGAAAAGAGAACGAATGAACAATGAGTATAGAGAATGAGGTATAGAGAAAGGAGAATGATGAACAGAAAATGGAGAATGAAGAATGGTGTATGAAAAATGAAGTATGAAGAAAGAATTGAGTACAGAGTACAGAATGTGGAGAATAAAAAATGGAGAATGGAATATGGAGAATAAGGTATGAGGAGGAGAATGAAGAAATGATAATAGAGAAAGGAGTATAGAGAATGGGGAGTGGAGAATGGTATGTGGAAAATGAAGTATGGAGAAAAAGAATGAAGAACGGATTATAGAAAATCAAAAGTGAAGAATGGAGAGTAATGTACAGAGAAGTGAATATGAAGTATACCATATGGAAAATGGAGAATGCTATACATAGAAAGGAGTAAGGAGTATGGAACAAGAAGAATGGATTATGATGAAAAAAGAAAAGAATGGAGTATGGAGAATGAGTATGGAGAAAGGAGAATAGAGTATGCAGAATGGAGTACGGAGAAAGGATCATGAAGAATAGAAAATGGAGAATAAAGAATGGTGTATGTAAAATGGCATATGAAGAAAGAAGAATGGATTATAGAGTATGGAGAATAAAAAATGAAGAATGGACAACAGTGTATGAAGAATGGAGGATGAAGAATAGAAAATGAGGAATGAAGAATGGCATACGAAGAGGGATATGAAGAAAGGAGAATGGAGAAAGGAGCACGGTGAGAGTAAAGAGTAATGTGTGGAGAATGGAGTATGAAATATGGTTTATGGAGTATGGAGAATCCAGAATGGACAGTACAGAATGGTGTACAGACAATGGAGAACAAAGTATAGAGTAAGGAAAATGGAAAATGGTGTATGGAGAAAGGAGTACGAATAATGGAATATGACAAAAGAAAAAGAAGAATAAAATATGGAGAAGAGTGTGGAGAAAGGAGAATGGAGTAAAGATAATAAACTATGGAGAACAGAAAACAGAGATTTAAAATGGTGTATGTAGAACGGAGTATGAAGAAAAAAGAATGGAACATAGAGTATGGAGAATGAACAATGGTGTGTGAAGAATGGAGTATGGAGAATAGAACATGAAGAATGAAGAAAGAATGGAGAATGGAATATGAGGAGGAGTGCAAAAAAAGGAGAATGGAGAATGGTGTATGGAGTATGGTTTATGGAGAGTGGAGTGTGGAATCCAAAAGAGAGAATGGAGAATAGAAAATGTTGTATAAGGAATGGAGCATGGGGGGAAGAGAATGGAGTGTGAAATGTGGGATATAAAAATGGAGTATGGAGAATGGAAAATGGGGAATGAAGTTGTTGGAGGAGAACAAAGTATGAAAAGAGAAGAATGAGTATTGGGTATGTAGAATGAAATCAGAAGAATGGAAAATTAAGAACAGAGGATGGTGTACAGAGAATGGCGTATAGTGAGAGGGGAAAAGAAAATGGAGTTTGGAGAATGAGTATGAATAATTTTAAAAAGGCATAGAATATGGCATATGGAATGTGAAGATTACAAAATGCAATGTGGAATGAAAAATGGTATATAAAGAATGCAGTACAGATAAAGGAGAATGGAATATGGAAAATGGAGTATAGACGAAGAAGAGATAATGGAGTATAAAGAATAATGTTTGGAGAATGGAGACTGGGATATGAAAAATGGAGAAGGGTATAAGGGGATTAGAGTATGGAAAAAGCAGTGTGGAGTATAAAGTATACAGAATGGAGAATGCAGAAAGGGGGAGGGAATTTGGAGTGTGATTGTGGGGAAAGGAGTTTGAAGAATGGAAATGGAGAATGGTGTATGGAGAATGAACTATAGGTGAGGGAGAATGGAGAATGATGTATAAAGTATGGAGTATTGAAAATGCAGAATGTAGTATGAAGAAACAGGAATGGAGAATGGGATATGAAAAATGGAAAATAGAGAATAGTTTATGGAGAATGAAGTATGGAGAAACCAGACTGGAGTATAAAATATGAGGAATAGAGATTGAGAATAGAGTATGGAGAATGGAGCGTATTGTATGGAGAATGTAGTATAGAGTGTGGAGAAAGAGTATTGAGAATAAAGTACGGAATATGGAGAATTTATAGAGAAGTATAGAGCATGGAGAATGGTGTACAGAAAGGGGAATGAAGAATGGTATATATAGAATAAAGTATTGTGTATGAAGAAAGAGGAATGGAGAAAAGAATATGAAGAATACATAATGGTTTATGGAGAATGGAATATGAAAACTTCAGATTGAAATATAAAGTATGCAAATGGGTAATGAAGAATATAGAGTATGTAAAATGGAAAATGGTGGATGGAGAATGAATAAAGAGTAAGGGAAATGGAGAATGGATGATAATGTATGGAGAATGAAGTATGGAAAAAAGAATAAAGTATTGAATACAGAGATTGATGATGGAGAAAGGAGTATGGAGAAAGCAGAATGAGAATAATGCGTACATTATGTAGTGGGGGAATTGAGAATGGAGGTTGGAGTCAGGAATATGAAGTATGGAGAATGAAAAATGGAGTATGGTATATGCAGAATGGAGTTAGAAGAAAGAAAAATGGAGTATAGAGTATGAAGAATGGCTTATGGAGAACTGACCTGGAGAATGGAGAATAAGGAATATTGTACAGAGAACAAAGAATAAAGAATTGTGTATGAAGAATAAAGTATGGAAAAAGAAGAGTGGAGAATTGTGTATGGAGTGAGTATGGAGAAGGGAACGTAAAGAATGGATATTAGAGAATGGTATATGGAAGATGGAGAGTGGAGTATAGTAAATGGGGAATAAAGAATAGAGTAGGGAGAATGAAATATGAAGAAAAGAGAATAAAGTGTGGAATATGGAGCATTGAGAATGGTGTATAGAGAATGAGGTGTGAGAAAAAAGAATGAGAATTAAGTATTAAGTAAGTATGGAATATGGGGAATGGAGAATAGAAAAAGGAGAATGGAGCATGGTGTATAAAGAATTGAGAACGAAGAATGGGGCATAAAATATGGAGAATGGTGTGTGGAGAATAGAGTATGGAGAAAGAAGAATGAAGAATGGGATATGGAGAATAGTGTATGAAAAATGAAGTATGGAGAAAAGAGAATGGAGTATGGCACGTAGAGAATGAAAAAGAAAAATGTGTGTGGAGAACGGAGTGTGTAGAAAGGAGAATGAGAATAGCGAAGTATAACGCATGAAGTATGGAAAATGAAGTGAGTCTGGAATATGGTGCATGGTGTATGCTGAATGGTTTATGGAGAAAGAAACATGAAATATGGAGTATGGAAAATTGAGAATGGTGTACAGAGAATAGAGTATGGAGAAAGGAGAATAAAGAACATAGTACAGAGAATAGAGAAAAAGAATAGTGTATGGAGAATAAAGTATGTAAAATGAAGAATGGGGAATTGTATATGGCGTATAGAGTATGGAGAATGGAACAGAAAGAATGAAGAATGGAGAGTGTTGAACGGAGAATGCAGTATAAATAATGAAGAATGGAGTAATGATAATCAAATAATAAAAGAACTGAAAATAGTCCAGGTGCAGTGGCTCACGCTTGTAATCCTAGCACTTTGGGAGGCCGAGGCAGGCGGATCACTTGAGGTCGGTAGTTCAGGACCAGCCTGGCCAACATGGTGAAACCCCATCTCTACTAAAAATACAAAAATTAGCTGGGCATAGCAGTGCTTGCCTGTAATCACAGCTACTTGGGAGACAGAGTCAGGAGAATCACTTGAATCTGGGAGGCGGAGGTTGCAGTGAGCTGAGATCACGCCACTGCACTCCAGCCTGGATGACAGAGTAAGACTCCATCTCAAAAAGAAAAAAAAAAAAGAATGGAATATAAAGAATGAAAAACCAAGAAAGGAGAATGGAGAATGATGTATGGAGAATAAAGCATGGAGAAAGAGAATGGAGAATAGGCCATGATGTATGGAGAATAGACTATGAAAATGGAGAATGGTGTATGAAAAGTGGTGTATCTGAGAGCAGAAAAGGAAATGGAGGGTGCAGAATGAGTATGAAGAACAAAGAACCAAGCATGGAGCATGTAGTATAAAGAATGGAGTATAGAGATGAAAAAAATGGAGAATGGAGAATGGTGTATAAAGAATGAAGCATGGAGAAAGGAGAAAGGAGTGCGGAGAAAAGACAAGAGAGAATGGAGTATAAAGAATAAGGTTTGGAGAATGGAGTATGGGTATGAAAATGAAGGGTATAAAGAAATTGGAGTATGGAGAAAGAAGAAAGGAGTGTGGAATATGAAGAATGGAAAATCCACAATAGAGAATGATGTGTGGAGGGGAAAGGATGGAGAGAAGAGAATGGAGAATAGAGTGTGGAGTGTGGAGAATTTGAAATAGAGACTGAAGAATGTTGTATGAGGAGTAGAGAATGGAGTATGGAGTATGGTGAAAAGAGAATGGAGAATGAAGACTGGAGAATAGAGAATGGAGAGTAGAGACTGGAGCATAGATAAGGAAGTATGGAGAAAAGAGTGGAGAATGAAGTACGGAGTGTGAAGAAGAGAGAAAGGCGAATGGTGTGTAATGAATGGAGAATGTAAAAAGGGGAATGAAGAATGGAGAATGGACGAAGGTATATGGGGAATAAAGTATAGAGAAAAAAGCATGGAGTGTGAAGTATAAAGAATGGAGAGGTCGGGAGTGGTGGCTGAAGCCTGTATTCCCAGCACTTTGGGAGACCAAGGTGAGTGAATCCCTTGAGCCCTAGAGTTTGGGACCAGAGTGGGCAATATGGCAAAACCTCGTCTCTACAAAAAATACAAAAATTAGCTGGGCATGGTGGCACACACTTGTAGTCTCAGCTACACAGAAGACTGAGGTAGGAAGATTGCTTGAGCCCAGGAGGTGGAGGTTGCAGTGAGCCGAGATTGTACGACTGCACTCTAGTCTGGGCGACAGAGCGAGATCCTGTCTCAATTAAATTAATAAATAAATAAATAATGGAGAAGGAAAAATGGAGTATGGAGAATGGATTGTGGAGAAAGAAGAATATTGAACTATGGGTACAGAGTATGGAAAACATTATGGAAATTGAAAAATGGAGAATGGACAATGGTGTATGGAGAATGGAATATAGAGAAAAAAGAGTGAAGTGTGGAGAATGCAGCATGGCAAAAGGAGAAAAGAGAAAAAATGTAGAGAATAAAATTTGGAGAATGGAGTATGGGGAATGAAAATGGAGAATAGACTATGACCTACAGAGAAAGAAGTATAAAGTATAGAAAATGGAAAATGGAGAATTGAGAATCACGTATATTGAATGGAGTATGGAGAAAGCAGTAAGGACGTTGAAGTATAATGGAGGGAAAAAAGAAAGTGGAGCATGCAAAATGGCTATCGAGGCTGGGCGCAGCAGCTCACGCCTGTAATCCCAGCACTTTGGGAGGCCGAGGCGGGCAGATAACTTGAGACCAGGAGTTCGAGACCAGCCTGGCCAACATGGTGAAACCCCATCTCTACTAAGAATACAAAAATTAGCCGGGCGTGGTGGCGCGGGCCTGTAATCCCAGCTACTCAGGAGGCTGAGGCAGGAGAATGGCGTGAACCCGGGAGGCAGAGGTTGCCTTGAGCTGAGATTGTGCCATTGCACTCCAGCCTGGGTGACAGAGTGAGACTCCATCTCAAAAAAAAAAAAAAAAAAAGACTATGGAGAAAGAAGAAGAATATGGAGAATGGTGCATGGAGAACTGAGAATAAAGTATAGAGAATGGACTATGAGGAGAGGAGAATGAGCAATGGAATATAGCAAATGGAGGATGGAAAAGGAGCATGGAGAATAGAGGAAAACTGAATACGGAGAATGGAATGTGGACAAAGTAGAATGGAGGATGGAAAATGAAGAATGGCATATGGAGAATAAAGCATTAACAAAGGAGAAAGGGGAATAGAGTATGGAGAAGAGAAAAAAAGAGAATGGAGAAAGGAGTATGAAGAATGGAGAATGGAGCTGGCATATGACGAATGGAGTATGGAGTATGGAATATGTTGAATGGAGCTGAGAGAAGGAAAAATGGAGAGTGGTGCATGAAGAAGGGTGTATAGTGAGAGGGGGAAAGAACATGGAGTATAAAGAATGAGTATGAAAAATGAAGAACAAAGTATGGAGTATGTAGACCTGAGTGCAGAGACAAAAAAAATGGAAAATGGTGTATAAAAAATAGCGTATGGAGAAAGCAGAAAGGAGAATTAAGTATGGAAAATATAGTATAAAAAAAGAAGAGAGAACAAAATATAGAGAATGATGATTGGAGAATGGAGTATGGGCAATTTAAAATGCTGAATTATGTAAGGAGATTGAAGTATGGAGAAAGGAGAAAGAAGTGTGTATTACGGAGTATAGAGAAAGAAGAATGAAATATGGAGTATGAAGTATGATTATGGAGTATGGAGGATGGAGGATGAAAAATGGAAAATTCAAAATGAAGAATGGTGTATGAAGGAGAAGGTATGGAGAGAGGACAATGGAGAACGGAACATGAAGGATGTTCAATTTGGAATAGACAACGTTGTAGGCAGAATGGAGAATAAAGAAAGAAGAATAGAGAATGGTGTATGATGTATGTAGTATGAAATATGAAGAAAGGAGAATGGTGTATGAAAAATGAAATATGGAGAACAGTGTATAGAGGTGGAATATAGAGAATGAAAAATGTATGATAGAAATGGTGTATGGACAATGGCATACGGAGAAAATAGTGAATAATGGAGTATGGAGAAAAGCGAATGGAGACTGCTGTGTAACAAATGGAATATGAAGAAAGTAGAATAGAGAATGGAGTATGGAGAATAAAGATTGGTGTATATAAAATTAATTAAAGAGAAAACAGAATGGAGTATGGAGTATGCAGTATGGACAATGAAAAATGATGTATAAAGAGTGGCGTATGTAAAAAAATGAAGAATAGAGAATGGAGGTGAGAAAATGGAGAATGGAGAATAGTGTGTGGATAATGGAGTATGAAGGAAAAAGGATGAAGTATGAAGAATAGGCATGGAAAAAGAAAAACAGAGCAGGGAATATAGAGAATAAAGTTTTCAGAATGAAGTATTGAGAATGGAAAATGGAGAAATGAATGGAGTATTGAGAATGAAGTATGAAGAAAGGAGAATGAAGTATGGAGTATTATTATATAGAGTATGGAGAATAAAGAAAGGAGAATGGAAAAAAGTGTATGAAGAAGTATGGAAAGAGGAAAATGGAGATTGGAGTACGAAGTATAAAAATGGAGTATGGAGAATGGTGTATGGAGAATGGAGAACAGTATATGGAGAATGGATTATGGAAGAAAAGAGAATAAAAACTAGTGTATAAAGTATGAACTATGGGAAATACAGTATAAAAAATGAAAAATGGAGAACTGCGTCTGGTGAATGGTGTATGGAGAAAAAAGAATAAGGAATGGAGTGTGGAAGATGAAACACGGAGCATGGAGAATGTAGTATGAAAAAAGAGGAATGGCGAATGGAATATAAAGAATGAAGAATGGTTTATGGAGAGTAAAGTATAAAGCAATGAGATTGGAGTATAAAGTATGGAGAAAGGAGTATGGAGAATGTTGTATAGAATATGGAGAAATGAGAATTGTGAATGAAATATAAAGAATGAAGAATAAGGTATAAAGAATTGATTACTGAGAATGAGAGAATGTTGTATGGAGAATGGTGTATGGAAAATAGAGTATGAATAAAGAAGAATTGAGACTGAAGATTAAAGTATGGAGAATGGTATGTGGAGAATGGCATGTTGTGAATGCAGAATGTAGTTTGAAAAAAGAGGAGGGGGAATGGAATATGAAGAATGGTTTATAGAGAATAGAATGTGGAGAAAACAGATTGGAATATTATGTACAGAGAATGACAAATGAAGAAAGGAGCAAAAGAATAGAGTACAGGGAATGGAAAATGGTGTATAGAGAATAAAGAATGGAGAAAGGATAATGAAGAATATAGTATGGAGCATGGAGAATTAAAAATGGTGTATGAAGAATAATGAATGGAGAAAGAAGAATAAGAAACAGTGTATAAAATGTGGACTATGGAGAATGAAACATAAAGAGTGAAGATTAGATAATGGTGTATGGAACATAGAGAATGGAGAGTAGGGTATGGAGAATGAAGAATGGAGAAAAACAATAAATTATAGATATGAAGAATGGAGAATGGAGTATGAAGAAATGAGAATAAGAATAAAGTATAAAATACAGAGTATAGGGAATGGCGTATAAATAACATAAAAGGAAGAATGGAGTGTAATGCGTAAAAAAATGAGAATGGGCCAGGCGCGGTGGCTCAGACCTGTTATCCCAGCACTTTGAGAGGCCAAGGCGGGTGGATGGTTTGAGGTCAGGAGTTCGAGACCAGCCTGACCAACATGGTGAAACCCCGTCACTACTAAAAATACAAAAATTAGCCAGGCGTGGTGGCAGGCACCTGTAATCCCAGCTACTTGGGAGGTTGAGGCAGGAGAATCCCTTGAACCCAGGGCAGAGATTGTAGTGAGCCAAGGTCGCACCACTGCACTCCAGCCTGGACGACAAAGTGAGATTTTGTCTCAAAAAACAAAAAATGAGAATGAAGAACGGGGCATAAAATGTGGAGAATGTTGTATGGAGAATGGAATATGGAGAAAAAAGAATGGAGAAGGGAGTGTGGAGAACAGAGCAGGGAGAATGAAAAATGGAGAATGGTGTATGGAAAAGAAGGAACGAAGTATGAAAATGGAGAATGGACAATAGTGTACAAACAATAAAGTATGAAGAAAGGGGAATGAAGAATGGACAATGGTGAATGGAGAATGGGTTATGAAGAAATAAGATTGAGAATAAAGTATAAACTATATTGTATGGAAAATGGCGAATGAAGTTTGGAATGTGGAATATGAAACATGAAGAATAGAATATGGAGAAGGAAGCATGAAGTATTGAGTATAGAGAATGTAGTATAGACAATGGAGAATGAGGAATATAGTATGAAGCATGGAGAAAAAAGAATGGTGTGTGGAGAATAAAATATAGATTAAAATTGCTAATGATGTATGGAGTATAGAATATGGTGAATGGATTATAAATAATAGAGAATGGGGAGTGTTGAATGGAGAATGAAGTAGAAGAATGGATAATAAAGTATTGAGAATGGAAAATGGAGTATGAGAAAGGGGAATGAAGAAATGAGTATAGTGAATAAAGAATGGTATCTGGAGAAAGAATGATTAGAATGAAGAAATGATAATAGAGTATGAAAACCAGAGTATAGAGGGAAGAGAAGAAGAATGGTGTATGCAGAATAAAGTATGTAGAATTGGGAACGGAGAATAGAGTATGGAGTATTGAGTATCGACTATGGAGAATACAGAATGGTGTATAGATATCAAAGTATGGAGAAGGGGGAATAGAGAATAAAGAGTGGAGCATGGAGGGGGGAGACAAGACAATGCTATATAAAGAATAGACTATAAAGGAAAAGAACAGCATATGTAGTATGAAGAATGAAGAATGGTGTATGAAGAAAGAAGTGTGGAAAAAGGAGAAAGGGGAATGGCATATGGAAAAATGGTGTATAGTTGGAGCCAGAAAGGAAATGGAGTATGGAGAACAAGTGTGAAGAATGAAGAACAAAGTATGGAGTATATAGTAGGGAGAATGAAGTATGAAGCTGAAAAAGTGTAGAATGTAGAATCGTATATAAAGAATAAGGTATGAAGAAAGGAGAATGAAGTATAGAAAATGGAGTATGGAGACAAGACTAGAGAGAATGAAGTATAAAGAATAAGGTTTGGAGAATGAAGAATGGGGTACAAAAAATGAAGAGTGGAGAATGGTGTAAGGAGATTGGAGTATGGAGAAAGAAGGAAGGAGTGTGGTTTATGCAGTATAAAGAGTGGAAAATACAGAATGGAGATTAATGTATAGAGGGAAAAGTATTGAGAAGAGAGGATGGAGTGTGGAATGTGGAGAATAAAGCATGAGAATGTGAAATGGAGACTGAAGAATGTTGGATGAGAAATAGAGAATGGAGAATGGTGCATGGAGTATGGAGCACGGGGTATGAAGAAAAGAGAATGGAGTATGAAGAAAAGAGTATGGAGAAAAGAAAATGGAGAGTGAAGAATGGAGAATGGTATATAAAGAATAAATTATGGAGAATGAAAAATAAAAAGGAGAAAATGATGTATAGATAATGAAGTATGGAGACAAAAGGTGAAGAATGAAGTATGGAGAAAAAAGAATAGAGAATAATGTATAATGAATGAAGAATAAAGAAAGGAGAATGAAAAGTAGAGAATGGGGGAGGGCATATGGGAAATAAAATATAGAAAGAAAAGAACAGAGTTTGGGATATAAAGAATGGAGTATGAACAATGGTATATGGAGGATGATTATGGAGAAAGAAGAATGAGGATTGAACTATGGGTATAGAGTATGGAAAACAGTATGGAGACTGATAGAGAATGAACAAAGGTGTATGGAGAATAGAATATACAGAAAAAATGGAGTATAGAGAATGGAGCATGATGAAATGAGAACAGAGAATATAAAACAAAGAATGAAGTTGGAGAATGGAGTATGGGGAATGGAAAATGGAGAATAGACAATGGTGTACAGAGAATAAAGTATGGAGAATGAGAATCTTCATACTCATGGAAAATGGAGAATGAGAATTATGTATAGAGAATGGAGTATGGAGAAAGCAGTAGGACAATAAAGTATGAACGATGGAGTATAATGAGAGGAGAGAGGGGGAAGAAGACTGGAGTAGACAGAATGACTATGGAGAAAGAAGTATGGAGTATGGAGAATGATGCACGGAGAATTGAGAATGGAGTATAAAAAATGGACGATGAGGAGAGAAAATAAGTAATGGAGTATAGTGATGAAGCATAGAAAAAGGAGTATGGATGAGAAAGAATAAAAGAAAAATGGAATATAGAGAATGTAATATGGACAAAGAAGAACGGGGGATGAAAAATGGAGAATAAAGAACGGCATATGGAGAACGGCATATTAAGAAAGAATGAAGAAAGGAGTATGGAGAACAGTGAATGAAGTATGAAGAGAGACAAATTAAGTATGAAGTATGGAGTATGTAGAATGGAGTCAGGAGAATGGAAAATGGAGAATGGTTTATGAGAATGATGTGTAGTAAGAGGAAAAAAGAACATGGAGTCTGAAGGATGAATATAAAAAACGAAGAATAAAGTATGGAGTATGTAGACCAAATTATGGAAATGAAAAATGGAGAATGGTGTGTAAAGAATGAAGTATGGAAATAGAATATAGAGAAATGAGAAGAGAAAATAAAGTACAGAGAACAATGTTTGGAGAATGCAGGATGTAGAATAAAAAATGCAAAATAGTGTAACAGGTTGAAGTAGGAGAAAAGATAAAAAGTGTGGAGAATGGAGTATGGGGAATGGAGAATGAAGTATAGAGTATAGAGGATGAAGAATGGAAAATGCAGAATAAAGAATAGTATATGAAGGAGAGAATACAGAGAGAGAAGAATGAAGAATAGAGTATGGAGAATTGTGTATGAAGAATGACGAATGATGTATGGAGAATTAAGTATAGAGAAAGAAGAATAAAGATTGGGTGTATGGGGTATGGAAAATGCAATATAAATAATAAAAAATGGAGACGTGTTTATAGAGAATGATGTGTGAAGATAAAAGAATGAAGAATGGACTGTGGAAAATGAAGAATGGGGAATGGTATATGGGGAATAGACTCTAGAGTAAAGAGAATTGAGAAGGGTGTATAAAGTTTGAAATATGGAGAATGGAGTATGGAGAATGCAGAAAAGTGTGAGAGTATCGAGTAGGGAGAAAAGTGAATGAACAATGGAATAAGGAGTATGTATTATGGAGAATAATGTTTAGATAATAGAAAATGGAGAATGGTGAATGGCATATGGAGAACAGAGTATGAAGAAAAAAGCATGGCATATGGAGAATGCAATATGAAGAAAGAGGAATGGAGAATGGAATATGAAGAATGGAGAATTGTGTATGGAGTATGGAGAAACAAGACTGCAGTATAAAGTATGGATAATGAAGAAATAAGAATGAAGTATGGAAAATAGTGTACGGAGAATGTAGTATAGAATATAAAGAAATGAGAATTAAGAATGAAGTATGGAGAATGGAGAATAAGGTACAAAGAATGGGGAATAAGGAATAACAAATGAATTACTGAGAATGAGAGAGTGTGGTATAGAGAATAGTGTATGGATAATGGGGGATGGAGAAAAAAGAATGGAGATTGGATATGGAGAAAACAGAATACAGAATGGTGTATGGAGAATGGAGAATAAGGTACAAAGAATAAAGAATAAGAAATAAGCCCTGGCTGGGTGGCTCACACCTGTAATCCCAGCATTTTGGGAGGCCAAGGCGGATGGATCACCTGAGGTCAGGAGTTCGAGACCAGCCTGGCCAACATGGTGAAACCCCATCTCACTAAAACTTCAAAAATTAGCCAGGTGTGGTGGCAGGCACCTGTAATCCCAGCTACTTGGGAGGCTGAGGCAGGAGAATCACTTGAACCTGGGAGATGGAGGTTGCAGTGAGCCGAGATTGTGCCATTGCACTCCAGCCTGGGTGACAGAGTGAAACTCTGTCTTAAATAAATAAATAAGAGATTATTGAGAATGAGAAAATGTGGTATGAAGAATGGTGTATGGAAAATGAGGTATGGAGAAAGAAGACAGAAGAATGGAGAATGGTGTATGGAGAATGGAGAATGGGTGTTGTCAATGCAGAATGCAGAATAAAGGAAAAGGAGGGGTTAATGGAATATGAAGAATGGAGAATGGACAATGGAATATGGAGAAAACAGATTGCAGTATAATGTATGAAGAATGAAGAAAGGAGCTAGAGAAGAGAGTATGGAAAATAGAAAATGATGTGTGGAAAATGGAGAATGGAGAAAGGATACCAAAGAATATAGTATGAAGAAAAGAGAATACAAATGGTGTATGGAGAATAATAAATGGAGAAAGAAGAACGGGAAATGGTGTATAAAGTATGAAGTATGGAGAATGGAGCATAAAGAATGAGATTGAACAATGATATATAAAAAACGGAGAATGGAGAGTAGGGTATAGAGAATAAAAATGGAGAAAGAAGAATCAATTATGGATGTGAAGAGTGAAGTATGAAGAAAAAAGGAGAAGAATAAAGTATGAAGTATGAGGAATGGAGTATGAAGAATGGAAAAGGAAGAATGAAGCGTCATGCATAAAGAAATGAGAATGGAGAATTGAGTATAAAGGATGGACAACAGAGTGTGGAGAATGAAGAATATTATATGGAGAATGAAGAATTGAGAAAAGAGAATGGAGTATAGAGAATAAAGAATGGTGTATGGAGGATGGAGAACGGAATGTGGAGAAAGGATAATTAGAATGAAGAAAGGATAACAGAGTGTGGAGAATAGACTATAAAGTATAGAAAATGGAGAACAATGTATGGAGAATGATGTATGGAAATGGAGTGTGGAGTATGGAGAATAGACAATGAAGAATAGTGTACATATAATGAAGTATGGTGTATGAAAGCCAAAGTGTGGAGAAAGGGGAATAAAGAATGGAAAATAAAGATGGAGAATGGAGAATAGACAATGCTGTTTAAAGAATGGACTATGGAGAAAAGAAATAGAATATGGAGTATAAGGAATGGTGAATGGTGTATGAGGAAAGGAATATGGACAAAGGAGAATGGTGTATGAATTACAGAATATGAATAATGAAGAATGGTATACAGAGAACAGAATATGAAGAAACAAGAAAGGGAATGAAATATGAAGTATGGAGAATGAGGAAAGGAGTATGGACAAAGGAGAATGGTGTATGAATTACAGAATATGAATAATGAAGAATGGTATACAGAGAACAGAATATGAAGAAACAAGAAAGGGAATAAAATATGAAGTATGGAGAATGAGGAAAGGAGTATGGACAAAGGAGAATGGTGTATGAATTACAGAATATGAATAATGAAGAATGGTATACAGAGAATAGAATATGAAGAAATAAGAAAGGGAATGAAATATGAAGTGTGGAGTATGAGAAATTAAGTATAAAGAATGGAAAATTGAGGATGAATAATGGTATGTGGAGAATGGGATAAGGATTATGGAGAATGAAAAATGGAGAATGAAGAATGGTGTATGGGGAATGGAGTATGGAGAAAGGATAAATTGAGATTGGAGAATTTAGCATGGAATATACAGAATGAAGAATGGAGAATGATGTATAAGAATGGAGTATAGAGAAAGGAGAGTGAAGTTTGGAGAATTGAGAACAGTGTATGTAAATGGGATATGGAGAAGGGAGAATGGAGTATCAAGTATGAAATATGGAGATTGGAAAGAAGTATGAAGAATGAAGAATATAGTAGAGAGAATAAAAAAGGGTGTATTAAGAATAGACTAAGGATAATTTAAAATAGGTAAGTATTATGTATGGAGAATGTAGTATGTAAAAAGAAGGAAGAATGCCATGTGAAGAATGAATCATGGCATACGAAGAATTGAGTATGGAGAAAGGAGAATGGAGTATTATATATGGACAATGGAAAGCGGAGAATAGTGCATAAAGAATTAACTACGCAGAAAGAAGAATGAAAATGGAGGATGAAGAAAGGAAAATGGAATATGGAGTAAAAAGAATGGAGTATGGAGAAAGGAGAATGAAGAATGGAGTGTGGAATATGGATTATGGAGTGTTGATAATGACATATAAAGAAAGGAAAATAGAGAATGCATAATGGTGTATAGAGAATGGAGTATGGAGAAAGGAGAACATAAAGCGCAATACGGAGTATGGAGTGTGGAAAATGGAGTATGGAGTGTGGAAAATGGAGTATGGAGAAAAATAAAGAATGAAGTATGAAATGTGAGGTATGGAGTATAGAGAATGGAGAATGGTGTATGAGAAATGAGGTGTTGAGAATACAAAATGGAGAAAGAAGTGTGATGTATGGAGAAAAGTTAATGAAGAATGAAGCAGAAGTGGAGAATGAGTATGGTGTATGGGAATGGATATGGAGTAAGAGAAATGAGAATGGAGATCGGTGCTTGGAGAATTGAGTACAGAAAAAGGAGAATGAAGACTGGTGTTTGGAGAATGACATATGGAAAAACGAAGAATGGATTCTAGAGTACAAAGTATAAAGAATGGAAACTGGAGTATGGAGAAGGGAAAGTGATGAATGAAATATAGAGAATGAAGAATGATGGGTGGAGAACGAAATATGCAGAATAGAAAGCAAAGAATATTACATTGTGTGCAAAGAAAAGAGAATGGGGCATGGAGTATGGAGAATAAAGTATTAGGAACGGAGTTGGAGAATGAAGTATAGAAATAATGTATAGAGAATGAAGAAAAAAGAGAGAATGGAATACAGAGAAAGGAGAATAGACAATGGAGTATGAAGTATGGACAATAATGAATGAAGAATGGGGTTTGAAGAATGCAGTATGGAGAATAGACAGTACTGAGTAAAGAATGGATTACAAAGAATGAAAAATAGAGGGTGGAGTATGGTGCTTGAAGAATGGAGAAGGGAGAAAGAAGAATGGAGAATGAAAAATGGAGAATGCAGAAGAGTGTATAGAGAATGGAATGTGGTAAAAAGATCACAAAATGTAGTTAGGAGTATGAAGTACGGAGAAATTAGTATGAAGAATAGAGAATGGTGTGTAAACAATGGAGTATAGAGTATGAAGAATGAACTAAGGAAAATGAAAAAATGGAGAATAGAAAAAATAATGTATGGAGAATGCAGTATGGACAAAGAATAGAGAATGGAGTGTGAGGTATAAAGTATGAAGAATGGAGTATGGAGAATGATGCATGGAAAATGAAGTATAGATAATAGACGATGAAGAATGAAGCATGGTTAACAAAAAATGAGGAATTAAGTATGGCAAATGGAAAAATAAGAATGAAGAATGTAGTATGGATGATGAAGAATGGAGAATAGAGTCTAGAAATAGAGAAAGGAGAATGGTGTTTGAAAAATGGAGAACTGTATATGGAGAGTGGAGTATGGAGAAAGAAGGAGAACAAAGTATGAAATATGGAGAATAGAAAATTAAGAATGGTGAGCTGAGATGGAGTATGGAGATTTTTTTTAAAGAGAACGACAATACTGTTTAACAAATGAAGTATAAAAACGGGGAATGGAGAATAAATTCTGGAGTACAGAGTATAAAAATGGAGGGTGGAGTATAAAGAATGGGATATGGAGAGAGGAGAATTAAGAACGGCATATATACAATGAAGTATTCAAAATGGAGAATGTAGTACAGAGTGTGTAAAATGGAGAATGAAGTATGGAGAAAGAAAAGTGGAGAATGGAGCAAGGTGTATGGAGAAAAAAGAATGAAGAATGTCGGATAGAGAAAAGATAATGGAGGCCAGGTGTGGTGGCTCATGCCTGTAATCCCAGCACTTTGGGAGGCCGAGGCAGGAGGATCACTTCAGGTCAGGAGTTGGAGACCAGCCTGGCCAACATGGTAAAACCCTGTGTGGTGATTAAAACTGAGTTTCAACTTGATTAGATTGAAGGATACAAAGTACTGATCCTGGGTGTGTCTCTGAGGGTGCTGCCAAAGGAGATTAACATTTCAGTCAGTGGGCTGGGAAAGGCAGACCCACCCTTAATCTTGATGGGTAGAATCTAATCAATTGCCAGTAAGGCCAGAATATAAGCAGGCAGAAAATTGTGAAAAGAGAGACTGGCCTAGCCTCCCAGCCTACATCTTTCTTCTGTGTTGGATGGTTCCTGCCCTTGAACATTGGACTCCAAGTTCTTCAGTTTTGGAACTCAAACTGTCTCTCCTTGCTCCTCAGCCTGCAGATGGCCTATTGTGGAATATATATATTCCATTAGTTCTGTCCCTCTAGAGAACCCTGACTAATACACCCCATCTCTACTAAAAATACAAAATTAGTCAGGCATGGTGGTGCATACCTGTAATCCCAGCTACTCAGGAGGCTGAGGCAGAAGAATCACTTGAACTCAGGAGGTGGAGGTTGCAGTGAGCAGACATCATGCCACTGCACTGCCTGGGTGACAGAGCAAGACTCCATCTCAAAAAATAAAAAATAAAAAAAAAAGAGAGAGAAAGGAGAATGAAGAATTGAGAATGGAGAATGGTACAGAGAATAGAGTACAGAGAAAAAAGAATGAAGTTTGAAGTATGGAGAACGAAGAAGGACATACAGAGAATTGATTAAGGTGAAAACAGAATGATGGATGAGGTATGTAGTATAATGAATAGAGTATACCAAATAGAAAAATGGAGGGTGGTATGTGGAGACTGGAGTATGAAGTATGAAGGAAGGAAAATGGAGAATGGATTATAAAAATGGAGAATGGAGAAGAGTGTATAGAGAGAACGGAGTATAAAGAAAGAGGATGGAGAATGGAGTGTGAGATATGGAGTATGGAGAATGGAGAATGAACGGTAGGATATAGAGCATGAAATATGGAGAATGGAAAAATGGAGAATGGACTGGTGCATGGAGAATAGTGTAGGAAGGATGGAGAATGATGTATAGAGAATAAAAAACTGTGCACGAAGAATGGAATATGAAAAAGTAGAATGGGATATGAGTAAAAAGAATGGAGGGAAAAATGCAAAATGAAGAATAATGTATGGAGAATGAAGATGGAGAAAGGAGAATGGAGTATGAGCTATGGAGTATGGAGACTGGAGTATGGAGATAAGAGAATGGAAGATGGAAAATGAAGAATGGAGCACCAAGAATGGAGCATGGAGAATAGAGAATTGTGTATGGTGAATGGGGTATAAAGATAGGAGAATGGAAAATGTAGTGTAAATTATAGAGTATGTAGAAAGGAGTAAGGAGCTTATAGAGTACATAAAAAGGAGTAAGGAGTATGGAGAATACAGAATGCACAACAGAGTGTCAAATATGGAGTATAGAGAATAGAAAATGGAGAATGCAGAATGGTGTATAGAGAATGGAGTGTAAAGAAAAAAGAATGTAGGGCTGGGGGTGGTGGCTCACGCCTGTAATCCCAGCACTTTGGAAGGCCAAGGTGGGCAGATCACCTGAGGTCAGGAGTTCAAGACCAGCCTGGCCAACATGGTGAAACCCCATCTCTACTAAAAATACAAAAAATTAACCAGGCTTGGTGGTGGGTGCCTGTAATCCCAGCTACATGGGAGGCTGAGGCAGGAGAATTGCTTGAACCCGGGAGGCGGAGGTTGTGGTGAGCCAAGATCATGCCATTGCACTCCAGCTTGGGCAACAAGAGCGAAACTCTATCTCAAAAAAAAGAATATAGAATTCAGTATGGAGTATGGAGTATGGAGTATGGAAAATGAAGAGCAGTGAATAACATATGGAGTATGGGGAATGCAGCATGGAGACTGGAAAACGAAGAGTGGAGAATGCAGTATGAAGTATGAAGAATGGACTGTGGAAAATGAAAAAATGGAGATCCGAGAATGGTGTATAAAGAATGGAGTACGGAATATGAAGGAAGGAGATTTGAGAATGAAGTATGAAGTTTGGAGTTTGGAGAATGGAGAAAAAACAATGGAAAATGGAATCTGAAATATAAATTATGTAGAATCAAGTATGAAGAATGAAATTGGAAAACAAAGTACGGTGTATGGAGAAAGAAGAATGGAGAATGAAGTATTAAGAATGAAGAATGGGATATAGAAATGGATAAAGGAGCTGGGCATGGTGGCTCACACCTGTAATCCCAGCAGTTTGGGAGGCTGAGGCAGGTGGATCATTTGAGGCCAGCAGTTCAAGGCCAGCCTGGCCAACATGGTGAAACCCCGTCTCTACTAAAAATGTAAAAATTGGTGCATGCCTGTATTCCCAGCTACTGAGGAGGCTGAGGCAGGAGAATAGTTTGAACCACTGCAAATAGTTCTCGCCACTGCACTTCAGCCTGGGAGACAGAGCGAGACTCTGTCTCAAAAAAGAAAGAAAGAAAAGAAGAAAGAAAAGGAAAGGGAAGGGAAGGGAAGGGAAAGGAAAGGAAAGGAAAGGAAGAAGGAAAGAAGGAAAGAAGGAAAGGAAGGAAGGAAGGAGAGAGAGAGAGAGAAAGAAATGGAGAAAGGAAAATGGAGAATGGTATGTAGATAATGGATTATGGAGAAAGAAGAACAGAGTATGGGGAATGAAGAACTGAGAATGGTGTATGGAGAATGGATTATTGAGAGAAAAAAACATGGAGAATGGTGTTTGGAGAACGGAATATGAAAAATGGAGAATGGAACATGGATTCTGGGGGTATACAGTATGGATAATTAAGAATGGAGAATAGAGAATGGAGGATTCACGACGAAGAATGAAGTATGAAGAACAGAATGAAGTATGGAGAACGAGGTGTGGAGGAAGGAGAATCGAAAAGGGAGCATGCAGTATGGAGTCTGGAGAAGGAAGAATGGAGTAGGCAGAATGGAAAATAGTGAATGGAGCATGAAGAATGACGATTGAAGAATTAAGTATAAGGAATGGAGAATGGGGATGGAGAATGAAGTATAGAGAAAGGAGAATAAGATTGGAGTATGGAGAATGGAGAATAAAGAATTGATGTGCAGTCTGTATTATGGAGAATGAAGCATGGTGTATGGAGAGTGAAGAATGAAATGTTGCTTATGGAGAATAAAGAATGGTGTATGGAGAATGGAAAAAGGAAATGGAGTATGAATAATGAAGAACAGAAGATAAAAATGGAGAAGAGGAATGATGTATGGAGAATGGAGTATGGAATATGAAGAAATGAGAATAGCAAATGTAGTACAGGGTATGAATAATGAAGAATAATGTATAAAGAATGGAATACGGAGAATGAAGTATGGAGAAAGGAGAATAGAGAATGGTGTCTGGAGGGTGGAGTCTAAAAAAGGGAGAGTGGAGAATGAATTCTGGACTGTAGATTATGGAGATGGAGTATGAAAAAACAGAACTAAGAATGGAGTACAGAGAATAGAGTATTGAGGATGCAGAATATAATACAGGTATGGAGAATGAAAAACTGTTTGTGGAGAATGGCATACAGAGAAGAGAAAATGGAGAATGGAGTATGGTGTATGAAAAAAAGAGAATAAAGAATGAACTATGGAGAAAGAAGAATGGAGAAAGGAGAATGGAGCATGGAGTACAGAGAAAGGAGAATGGAGTATGGATTATGGAGTACGGAGAATGAAGAATGGACTAAGGAAAATGGAGGTTGGGTATGGAGTATGGAGAATGAAGGTTGGAGTATGGAGTATGGAGAATGGAGAATGAAGGTTAGAGTAGGGAGAGTGGACTCTGGAGAATGGAGTATGGAGAATGGAGAATGGAATAAGGAAAATGGAGGTAGGGTATGGAGTATGGAGAATGAAGATTAGAGTACGGAGAGTGGACTATGGAGAATGCAGGTTGGAGAATGGAGGGTGGAATATGAAGAATGGAATATGGGGAATGGAGGTTGGAGAATGGAGAATACATCATGGAGCATGGACAATGAGTATGGAGGGTGGAATACGGAGAATGGAGCATGCAGAATGGAGAGTAAAGCATGGAGAATGGAGGGTGGAGAATGCAGTATGGACTATGAGTATGGAGGGTGAAATATGGGGAATGGAGGTTGGAGAATGGAGTAGGGAGAATGAGTATGGAGGGTGGACGATGGAGAATGGAGGTTGGAGAATGAGTATGGAGGGTGGATGATGGAGAATGAGTATGGAGGGTGGAATATGGAGAATGGAGGGTAGAATATGGAGAATGGAATATGGGGAATGGAGATTGGAGAATGGAGAATATAGCATAGAGCATGGAGAATGAGTATGGAGGGTGGAATATGGAGAATGGAGGTTGGAGAATGGAATATGGGGAATGGAGGTTGGAGAATGGAGAATACATCATGGAGCACGGACAATGAGTATGGAGGGTGGACTATGGAGAATGAGTATGGAGGGTGGAATATGGAGAATGGAGGGTGGAGAATGGAGTATAGAGTACGGAGAATGGAGAAGAGAGATTGGAGAATGAAGAATGAGCATGGAGGGTGGACTAGTGCCCTCCACTCTGTGCAGACCCAGTGGTATCTGCATTACCTTCTCTGTTGACAACTCCTGTCATGGGCCAGGCACTGCTTTGTCCACCCCCCACCATGGGCCATGCATTGTGCCAAGTGCTCTGGGGACACGTGCAGCACACATAGCATGGATGCGGTGATGGAAGCCTGTGCTGCCCAGAACCCTGGCTCTGGACTGTGCCCAGTGGTGGTGGTGATCTGCCTGCCTTGCTCCCTCCAAGCCATGTGCTGGCTGCTTTTGTCGGAAGTTGCATTTGTCCTCTGGGTGTGGACATGATGCCAGCAGTTTCGCCTGCTAACTCCATGTCCGCTGGGGGCTGAACACTGCCAGGCACTGGACAGACATTATTGACTGCCAACTGTGGGCTGTCACCATGTGCGGCTCTGTGTGCCTTTCTGACAGCTTTACCTACATCACGTGCTTTGCTGGGCTTCAATCCAACTAAGCTCCGTGTGCTCATTATTGAGCACCTGCAGTATACTAGCCATGTTTTAGACTACATCTAGAGTACCTTCTTTATATATGTTAGTGAGCATCTACTGAAAACAGGATACTCTTAGGCTCTTCAGACTAATTATTTAGCACCTCCTATGTACAGATATTCTTTTTTTTTTTTTTTTTTTTTTTTGAGACGGAGTCTTGCTCTGTTGCCCAGGCTGGTGTGCAGTGGCGTGATCTCGGCTCACTGCAAGCTCCGCCTCCCGGGTTCACGCCATTCTCCTGCCTCAGCCTCCCGAGTAGCTGGGACTACAGGTGCCCACCACCACGCCCGGCTAATTTTTTTGTATTTTTAGTAGAGACGGGGTTTCACCATGTTAGCCAGGATGGTCTTGATCTCCTGACCTCGTGATCCGCCTGCCTTGGCCTCCCAAAGTGCTGGGATTACAGGCGTGTGCCACCGTGCCCGGCCGTGTACAGATATTCTTCTAAGCTCCTTACCACATCCCCACAGCCTGCTGGGCTCTGTGGTAGCATTGCTGCACATCTTGAAGGACCAGGTCATGCCCACGTCATGCTGTGGGATTTACTTACCCCATGTGCTGGGCTCCATGCTGGGTGTTTCGCTTTTATTCCTGAGCATGTCTTGGGGGCTGGATGTTCTCACAGGCTCTTTACCTTTGTGGCCAAAGCACCTGCTCTGCGTCACACACTGTTCTAGGAATGTACATGCATCAGGGGGTGATGAGCAAAGGCAGGCCTCTATTTCCCCATCTGTTCATGGGGACCAACATGCCATCTTTACAGGGTGCTCTGAAACCCAGGAGAGCCCCCAGCACAAGGCCATGCAAGGCAAGGAATGCCAAGAGAAGGGCAGGTCTGTCCAAGGCTGCCCCCTTGGGGGGCTGGGACACCAGGAATCCCCAAGGCCTGGGCACAGGGCTCAGAGCCCATGCACCTCCCTCTGGAAGCCTTCATGGGAACTGTGGGGGTGTCAGGGAGGCTTCTGGGCTGCCCTTCCACTAGAGGATTCCCCGGCAGCTGCGCTGGAGTGGACTCCCACATGGATCTTCCAGCCAGCCCAGGTGTCCCAGCTCTCACCCCACAATGGCCTCTCCAGGAGGTCCTTTAGGACAGCACACTTGGCCTTGGGGTGCAGTGGGACTGCCTCCTGTCTGCCCTGCTCTTCACCCAGAACCATCTCTGCGGTTCCACTTGCCCCAACCCAGGCCTTCCTCACACCTCGGCTTCTCCTCCGATGGGCCTTCCTGCCCCCCCAGACCTCCCCCTACCTTGGGCCTCCCCATATGTGGCTCCCAGAGCCTCTGGGTGGTTTCTACAAACCAAGCCCCATCAGAGGAGGACGAAGATTTGCCTGTTTCAGAAGGCTCAGAAGTGGTTCAAGCTAGCAAGCAAATGGAGGCCCCTCACCAGCCCCCCCAAAACCCCCCCAAACACAGAGAGACCTGTGAGTCCCTGCCTGGTTCTGACCTCAGTCGAAACTCCCCACCCCCGCCCACAAACATGACCCACCCAGCTCCAGCCCCAGGGCCAAGGAGCTAAGCCGGCAAAAAAAATCCACGAGGCCCCTCCGCCTGCCTGGCCCAGGCCTGGGGCTGGGAAGGGAGCTGGGCTGATTGACGGGGCAGGTGGTGGTGTTGCAGCCTCTGCCCCACAGCCCGGCACGGCCAGGGCTCAAGTGCCCCCTGAGCTGCCACAGGAGGTGCCTGTGCCCTGGGAACCTGGGGGCTGTCACCCCCAGGCAAAGGCGAAGGCCGCAGGAGGGCAGTTGCACAAGCCAGGAAGCAAAGGTTAGAGAAAAGCAAATTCAATAAGCCGGCTTTTGATCCGTTTTCCACGAAAAGGTCCCCTCCTGGTCCCCAGGCGGCCTCGTGGCCAGCAGGGAAGCCCGCCAAGCTGGCTTGCCCACACCCATCAGATCCCCGCCTGTCCCCCGACCTGCTACAGGTCCCCAGCCCCTGGCTCTCGGGGCCTTTCCCGTCTGCCCATTCTCCCTGGGCTCCCCTGCCTGCCCACCCCACCCTCCCAGACTCCAGGACCGCCTGACAGATGGTCCCCTACTTTGGGAAGAGGCACAGAGACAAAGGCCTAGGACCTTACCTGCAAGCCCCCCCACCTCTCTGGGCTGCGTTGGGCCCAGGCCTGAGCCATCTACCTCTCAAGGAAGGGTGACACCCAGAGGCTGGGGGCCCTGAAGGACCCGCATGCTGTCGGGGGGGAAGACCCTCCTCCCTGTGCCCTCCATGCCACCCCTCTGCCATAGGAGTGTTCCTCTTGGGGATTCTCAGTTCCACGTAGTTCTGAGATCATAGCATGGCACCTCCCAGCTGAGCAGGAGCTAAGAACAAATGGGGAAACTGAGGCCCAGGAGAGGAAGAGCAGGAGGGAAACAAGGCGTGCTCCTTGCCCTGGGGATAGACCGGGAGGTGTCTTGAGGGCCCTGAGACCTGAGTGTCCGCCTGGCCCAGCAGTGGCCACCTGGGGTCCTCTGGGCCCAGTTTCTCTCTGCTGTGCCCTCCTTGCAGGGTGGTGGTGCATGATGGCAGAGGCTGAGGAACGCCGCTCACATGTCAAGGGGCTGCCACCAGCTGGGGCTTATTGAGTTACAGGTGTACATCATCTGCTTCAGGACTGGCCTTTTGAGAAGGGAGGAAGCTATTAAGGTGGGCCGCTGGGGGATCTAAGATGCGGGGGTAGGGCTGGGGTGGTCCAAGCCCTCGGGGAACCCTGTCTGGCCCAGGCCCTTAAAGCTCCTCCGCCTGGGACTCCCCACCTCCTGCCGTGCAGCCTTCCATGGCTCGCTAGTCCCCAGCCGCTCACCCTTCTCAAGCGCTGGGGGCTTCTGCTCAACTCTTTCCCAGCTTGTTTGGAACGCTGGCAGCTGAGCCTCCCTCCCACTCTCTACCCTCCAGCTGCCACCCCCTGCCAGAGCTTCTCTCTGCCCAGAGTCCCAGCATCCAGACTGGAAGGGAGAAGGAGCCCCCCATCCCGTGCTGCCCCACCCAACACAGGCCAGCCCTGTAGCCTCCAAGGTGTGCTGGGAAGACCCCCGTAGGAATGTCTCCTCTGGGCCCAGAGCCAAACCAGTGCCAGGAGGAAGAAAATTTGCTTAGAAACTTAGGAAGTGTCTGCTGAAAGATGCACGTGGCTCAACTGTGTCTGACAAGCCCAGGAGGGGAAGTGAGCGGCCCCCACCCCGACAGCCCGGGACTCTGGGAGCTGGCCAGGCCTGGGCGTGGGCCTCCTTGGTAGAGCTGGAGGGGGGCGGTCAGGAGGGACCGTCCACTTTCCCATCCAGATTCTGGCAGGCTTGTCCTTGCTCAGCAACCTCCCATGGCTCCCCAGTACTGGAGGGGACGGTTATGTCTCTTCTCCTTGTACCGTCAGCCTCAGACCTGGGAGAGCGCCTCCCACAGCCGTCCCTGAGTCTATCTTTCTGGCTACTCCTGGATAGCTCCCCCGGGTCCCCTGTGAAGAGCACCCCTGCTGACCCTCGGGAGTCTGGCTCTGGCAGTGGGACCCCCAGCACACCCCTCACTGCTCCTGCCTGAAGCTGGGTCTCCTCCCCTCTCCCTCTCCCTCCCACCTCCTCAATGTCCCTGGAATCCCCCACCCAAGCCCCTGGGCTGCCCTCTGCCTGTCTCCGGCCCCTCTGTGCCTCAGTTCTTCATCTCCTCTCCCCAGCCCACTCCTATCCAGGGCCTCCGCCCAGCTTTGGAGTCCTCAGCCACCTCTCCCAAGCTCCTGGGCAGGGGCCACACCTGGCTCCCAGGCCCTTCCCAGAGCTGCCCGCTCCCCTCGGCTGCCTGGGACCTGTGGCCCCTCCGCCCCAGCTGCAGACCCCTTCCTCCCGCCCCCACCGCCCCCAGGGAGCCTCAGTCCCCAGCCTGTCTGGGGTGGGCCTGGCCCAAGGAGAGGGAGTGGGGAAGTGGAGAGGAGAAGGGAGAGCGGCCTAGGGAGGAGGACAGAGGCAAGAGGGGCTGCAAGGTCAGGGGACATTGTTCAGGGTGGGAGGTGAGTGGGGTCAGGCAGGGTGGCTCGTCTTTGAGAGACGGCTGGGGAGCCCCCGCTGAGCCCCCACTAAGCCGCTCAGCCCAGAGGATCCAGCCACAAAGGGACCGTCCCTTGAACCGGCTGAAATTTTGTTGTCTCCTGCGCCCCCGTGAGGTCAGTGGGCAGCATGACACCCATTTGGCCACTGAGGTGGGGCTCCTAGGGGGGGTGCAGGTGGGAAGCGACCCCAGCCCCCTCCCGCCACCCGCAAAGCTGGGCCCTTCCTACCAGCCATTGTCCCCGTATTCCCAGGTCCTGAGGAGGGGGTGGACCTTTCCAGATCTGATTTCATCTCCCAGGCAGCAGGGAGGGGCTGCCGAGCCCCTCACCCCTGCCTCCTTTCCCTTATAACACGTGGAGACCCTCATCCCAGATGATGGGGTCCTTCCAATCCTAGGCCCCCTGAGACCCGTCACTTGGTGGAGAGAGGCAGCAGCCATCTGGGCTCCAAAGGAAGCCCCAAGTCTGGGCTTGTGCTGAGCTCCCAGCCTGGTCACAGAGGCCTCTAACTCCAGCTGCAGCCTGGGAACCAACAGCTCCCAGCCCTGGCCCTGGCTCCCACACTTGCTACGGGTGTTGGGGGCCACAGGGTGCCACCCCTGGCCCAACTGGAGACAGAGCCTGGGGCCTCAGCCCTCAGCACAGGAGTCCCTAAGGCCAGAACCCCGGAGAGAAGGGGTCTCCAAGGCCCCCCAGGCTGCAGCACCCTATGCAATGAGCTGAGGCCCTCCCTTGGAGCCTGGGCAGCCAGACGCCTTCTGCCACTGACAGAAGCTGCTGGGAAGGAGTCCTGCCTAGTCACCCACCTCCCTGTAGCCTGGCCCGGCCCTGAGGCTCCCAGCACTCTGGGCCTCTGTCACAGGGACGCCCTAGGAGGGTTCCCAGCCTCCTGGCCTCCCATCTGCAGCTGGCTGTCAGGCCCAATGGGTCAGGAAGGCTTTATGAGCAACCTGAGGCCAGAGGCAAGCCTCACAGGACAGCAGATTGAAGTAGGGGCAGACAGGGACCAGGGCTGCTGGGCACTGTAGGCATCTGGTCTGGTGGAGGCACTGGCTACAGAGGCCATCCCCACCTCAGCCACCCACGGTGAGGGGTCGGACTGCAATGTGGCCCCTCACCAGCAAGGTGCCGTGAGGAACAGGAGGAGTCCCAATGGGGAGGTGTGGAAGGGGCCTTGTGGGCGAGGGGAGCACGGCGAAGCTACCCCACCTCCTGGCTGGAGTTGTACACCCCCCTTCTCCCCTAAGGGGTCTTCAGTTGCCCTTCAGAAAAGGAGGGGGTTCAATCGCCCTGTCACCAAGGACCCTTCTAGAGAAGCTGATGATGGGACGGTTCTAGTCAGGACGAGCCCCCAGGCCAGGCTGATGGGGGTTGGGATTCTGAGGGATGGAGTGTGCAGACCGCTTTGGTGGGGCTGGGGGCATATCCTGGAGCCTCCGCAGGGGTCCCCTGGGTCCCACCCTGAGCAGCTGGGCGTTGGAAGCCGCCTCCCCTTCCCAGAAGAGCAGCTCTCTGTCGGCATCCTCCCTCCCCCCGGGCTGAGCGGACAGGCTCCCATGGAACAGCCTCTGAGCGGAGAGAGCTGTGTCCTCAGATCTGCCGGGGCCAGGGCTGGGGCAGAGGAAGGGGCGTGCAGTGAGCCCAGCTGGGACAGCAAACAGGCCTCTGGGGTCTCTCCTTTCCCTTGCCTGCCCACTGCAGGGGGCTGGCCGGGGCCAGGGCCGGGGGAGACTTCCTCGATTTATCTCTGCAGCCAGCGGACAGCCTACAGCCTGGAATCTGGGGTTAGGCTGAGGTTTGCGTGTCCTGCTGTGAGCAGCTTGCAGCAGGACAGAAGGACTGGGCTTGGGGGTGGGGGGGGCACTGAGGGAATGCAGGCGGGATGGGGTGGGGGGCTGGGACAGAGAGGATGCTGGGATGCCTCTGAGCTGGCTGGGGACCCTGTTGCTTTGATGGGGCCTGAGTGTGTGTAGAACTCTGGTACAGGCCATGGCCATGTTCTCTGAGGAGCCAGGGGACTGAGGGCTGTAGGAAGTGTATTGGGGGGTGCCAGGCGATGTAGACACAGCCCCGCCTGCGGCAGAGGGTGGGAGCGGGTGCCGGAGCCTGTGCTTCAGCTGGAGGAGGAAGGCACAGACAGAAAGAAGAGGATTCAGCAGGGAAGGGCAGGGCCGGGTCCTGGAACACCAGGCCGGAGCCAGCTGGAGGGAGGCAGGAGCTGGGGGGCTTCCAGAGGCTTCAGGCAGGAAGGAAGGGAGGCCTGGGGAGCCACAGGCTGGCGAACAGAGACAGCACAGCTTCAGGACTGCCACCGAAGCAAGGCCCCAGACACAGGCGAGGGCCCCACCAGTGGCCCTGTAGACAGAGGCTCCCGGCCTGGTTGCAAAAGCACCACACGGCTTCCCTGTGTTTTCATGATACGACTGGCCTCTCCCCCTACAGCTGCCCCAAGATGAGAGGGGCCCTTCATGGCTGCCCATGCATTGCTGTCCCATAGAGGACCCTCCGCAGTCCCTCAGGAGACCCCTGCCCAGGTTCCCGTCATCAGGGAGCTGGAAGCCCAGCTGTGCCCCTCACCCACAAAATGAGAGGGGGGCTCCTGGAAGCCCAGCTGTGCCCCTCACCCACAAAACGAGAGGGGAGCACCTGGAAGCCCAGCTGTGCCACTCACCCACAAAATGAGAGAGGGGCTCCTGGAAGCCCAGCTGTGCCCCTCACCCACAAAACGAGAGGGGAGCGCCTGGAAGCCCAGCCGTGCCACTCACCCACAAAACGAGAGGGGGGGCTCTAGATCCCACAGTGAGGGTCACATGTCAGCACCTGGCCTTGGACAAGGAAGATGTTGCTGGCTCCGATGACCTGGCTTCCTGGAGAAGGCAGCGCCTGGTGGAGCTTTGACTTCAGGATAGGTGTGGAGGGGGCGCAGCCACAGACGAGTAAGGTAGCGGATCACAGACCGTCCGAGCAAGATGGACTCTCAGACTCACCAGGGTCGGTGTCGGCCACCCAGGCTCCAAGGCCAGAGCCTCACGAGTCCACGTGGCTCAGCACACACAGCACATGGCACTCCCCAGTGCCGCTCCAGCCCTGGCACCTCCTGAGGTCAACAGATTCCCCCGCTGACGCCAGCCTCCCTGCCCAGGCCACTGGGGCCATGCTGCCCCCACCTCATCACTGCAGCAGTGGCACCCGAGTGCCGTCCGGAGGACCTGCTGCCCGAGGGAGCACAGCTCTGGGCTTTTCTTTCCACCTTGCCGCCACTCAGAGAGGACAGTGCGTATGTGGAAAAACCCTCATGCTCTTTCCCACTTCAGGCCCCACGCCGGCACCAGGCTGTGAGCAGGGCAGGCCTCACTGCAAAGTGCTTGTGCACCCACTCGCCACCCCATCCTCTGCCCCATGAGGGCCCCAGGGCATGTGGAGCAAAGTCCCACACCACCCTGCTGGTGCTGCCCCCAGGGAGCCCACGGCATTGTCTGTGAAGGTGGTGGCTGGGCTTTCCACATAGAATCTTGCCCCCCATGGGCCTGGAGCAGGGTGCATCCTCAAGCCCGATGGGCCTCAGTTTTTCCCTGGGCCCTGGCGTGGTGGAAACCCTGATCACTGACCTCAGACGCGAGGAAATGCTTTGGACACATAGGGCTGCCCAAGACCCCAGCTATTCCCCGGCCTCACATGCGTGACACCCCCCGCTGAACTCGGGCGTGGCCCACCCTGGTCTGCTTGCTGTGGGCCGCAGCTGTCCTTCCCTCCTGCACCTTCTGGGGCCCTCTCAAACCTCCCTTTCCGAGGTGGTCCTGCTCTGTGGGACGTCTCTTGTGGGTGCAGGGCCCCTGATGGATGGGCTCTGTTCACAAGGGGAGAGGAGAGAGCACGGAGGTCTTCCTGGCACAGGTCCACGTACTTTGGCCAGGGAGGGTGGCGGTGGCTCCCTGGTGGGCCACACTTCCCCGTCCCATGTCCACCTGGGCCATCAGGCTATCAGGACAGCAGGCCACATCTTAGTCAGCAGAACCCCCAATGGGCAGAGGCTGTGGGCCCCCTTGAATCCCTGAGTGCCCCCTTGGGTGTCTCTTGGCCTGCTGGGGCTCCCTGATGGGCCTAGCCCCCCTGCCCAAGCTGTGGGCCTGAGCCCCTATTTCCCCGAGGCCTCACAGGCCTCCCGACCCGGCAGGCAGGCTCCGGGGAGCTCCGAGGCACCCAGGTCTAAGCCAGGCTGGGGTGGGTGCGGCTGCCCTGGGATCTGCTCATGGTTCCTACCAGCCCCCAAGGCCAGCCCGTGGCTCTGCCTGATAAACACACGTGTTGAGCCATGGTGGATGTGTGTGTGGGGCCACTCTGCCTCCCACTGCCATTGTCACTATTTCCTCTTCCTCTAATCCCAGCCGGGCTGCTCCAGCCCAGTGGGCCCAATCAGTCTGCAGGGTCCAGCAAGGGGGTGCAGGAAGAAGGGTCCCCTGCAGAGGTAATGTCTGAGGGTAGCACATTGAGGCACGGTATAGAGACCCTGCGCCCAGAGCCAGAGTTTGGGGTCCCAGGAAATTCATTTCTAGGCAGCCGAGGCTGAGTTTGGCACAGAGCGAGAGGCCTCTCTGCCTTCCCCAAAGCCCAACCTGTTGAGCCATTGAGGCCCCGTCCACGCCTCCCGGGCCTTCTCTTCCTGCAGAAGGTTCTGAGGGGTTTCTTAGAAAGAGCCATTAGAAAGAGGTGCAGGGCCTGCGAAATCCAAGCGGCTCTGCAGCAGGTCCAGCCCGCTTCCTCCCCGGCCTGCAGTGCCAAAGGGTCCCAGGGAGCCAAAGACGCAGGCAGCCAGCCTGCCCCAACGCCAGCCACACCGGGAGCTGGGAGCCTCCTTCCACTCTGGTGTGAGGGCACTGTCGGGGGGGCCCCGAGGCCCTGGTCCACCAGCAAGCCCGGAGGAGAAGGGCTTTGGGGCAGCCCTGCCATCAGCAGTTTACAACCCACGGCTCTGGGTCCCCACCTGGCCTTGTCAGCAGATGGGTCCTCCTTGGGACAGGCCACCAGGGACACTGGCTTTAGCCCTGGGAACCAAGACATGGGGCCTTTGACTGGGCAGCAGAGACCGGCATGGGACATATCCCAGGGCCAAAGGGGCCAGGAGGGCTTTCTAAGGGGGCAGGAGAAGGGCAAGACGACCCCAAAGTGTGCCGGGGAAGCCAGCCTACCCAAAGCCTCTCTTAGGTGCTGCGTGAGGGTTTCCTAGAACAGTGGGGTGGGCCGGGCAGGCAGAGGGGCAGGGATGGGCTGGGTAGACTGGGGGCAAGGACCAGTGATGTTGTGGTGGCTGAGGGGCCTCTCGCCTAAAGCCTCCTCCTTGTGGGGTTCCCTGGAGGTGGGCAGGCAGAGCGGCCATGGCAGGCAGGGCACATTGGAGGCGTTGGGCCATGCTCTGCTCTCAATACCATCTCCTGGGCCTTGGGCCTCAACGACCGGAACGATGTCACCCCCGTGACACAGAGGGGTCACAGCCAGAAGAGGCCCTGCATGTACCTCGCTGTGCGGGCACCCAGGAGCACAGGGAATGCTCCCTGGTGAGCACACAGGGCAGTGAAAGCTGAGCTGAGCCAAGTCGTTTTTGAGCTGAACCTCAACACGGGGGCTTGCTGCCCCCTCCAAACTCCCAACCCAGGGCCTGTGGGCACCAGGGTCTGGCTGCTGCCATTAATTCCAACAGCTGAGCTTCCCCCTGGGCTGGCAGGGCCTCCTTGGCACTCCCTGTGCCCCCCATGCCAGCCCTGCACGTACAAACCCCACTGCAAGCAACACCCCCACCTCAGCCACAAAGCAGCCCTGTTCGAAGGGGCCCTACTGGGCCTCAGGGTCAACAAGACTGAATTCAGAGGACTGAGAAGGCCCTGGCAGAGCCGCCTGGCTCCTGGGGAAGCCATTTATCACTCCCAGGTCCCGGCCCGCTGCCTGCTGTGTGGCTGCGGCCAGCAGGCCTCACAGCGCCCGCCCACCTATCTGCCAAGAGCCCCTTGGCCAGGGCTCCCTTCACCACCCTCAGCCAGCGCTTTCTGCTGGGCTGGCCTTCCTAGCTCCAGAAGGGTCCGCAGCCCCTCTGCTCAAACCAAAGCTTCCCAAACCCACCCACATTTCCCCCCAGCTGTCCACTTGCCCAGGGCCTGTGGGCCTCGGTCAAAGGCAAAGGGGTCCCACTTGAAGAAATCCGAGTAGACGATGAGCCATTTCACAGAAGGGTCCCCTGAGGCCACCTGGAGAGACCCCTGAAAAACCCCCTGGCCACCTGGGGAGCCCCCTGCCCACCTGGAGACCCCCCTGGCATCCTGGTCCATTGCAAATGAGCTTTTATTGACAGCTTTTCAGGAGTGGACGCAGGCAGGCATGGGTGTGGATGCCCTGTTGGGGCACAGGTGCAGACATAGTGGGCCATTTCAGCAGCCGCCTGGGGAGCCCCGGCCCCGACACCTTTGGGCAAGGCCTCTGCTTCCTGGTGCAGTGTCTGGGCACTGTGTGTTCCTGGACTTCTGGGGCTCAAGGGAGCTGGGGCGGCCCCAGGGGCCCTGCCTCTGACACTGAGGCCTTCAGGTGACATGCTGGGCTGAAACCTGTGCCGTCCTCCTCTCTTGCCTGCCCCTCCAGACCTGGCTGTCATCTGCTCGGGCAGGCCAAGGGGGCTGTGGCCTTGTGTCCCTCCCCTGCTGAAGGCCCAGGACCCTCCTCAATTCAAAGGTCAGTGTCCCTCAAAGCAGCAGGCTATGCCCCACCCAGCACCACCCCCCACAGCCCCACACCACAGCACTGGACAGGTGGGAGCTCTCTCCACCTGGGGCCTGGCACAGTGTGGAGTGGCAGGGGCTTCCAGGGGAGCCCTGGAAGGATCTGGAAATGGGTGAAGGTCAAATCCCAAAACTCCATGCTGCCCTGAAGGGGAGGGTGAGGCAAGAGGCCTGGCAGCCCCCAGGACGCCTACAGCTGCTAGCCACGTACACACCCTCCTCCGGGCACCGCCAGCGCTGTGGCCTGTGCCTGTCCGTGTGCTGGTCCTGCGCCCGGGGGCAGTGGTGTGAGGACTGAGACTGGAGGCCTGACTGCCTGAGACCCCTGACCCCTCCTTGCTGTGTTGAGCCAAATGTGAAGCTGGGTATCCAGCCAAGAGGCAGCCCTGGAGCCCAGACCTGGGCCCCGCTCCCCAAGGAGCACATACTCCCGGCTTGCCGTCCTGGCACAGCTCAATGACACACGCTTTCCAGGCCTGCCTGGTGTTTGCCCAGGGAGACTGCAAGCTCTCTGCAGGCAGAGCCCACTGTCCCTGGAGCACTGCTCCCAAGGGCTGGCCAGCACTCCCATCTGGCACCCAGCTCTGAGCGTCCAGGACCCTCCAAGCCCCCAATGCCCCCATCCAGGCTGAAGCTCACCCTTGAGCTCCAGGTTGGAGGGGAAGACTGTCGACCCCAGGTCAAAGGCCTGTGGTCAAACAGAACCCACCCGAGCCTACAGGATTTAGCCAGACTTTAGCTTTTCTGTGTTCGCCGGCCCCTGTCTCTCCCAGCCCCAACTCCAAGCAGGCAGAGCTGGTAGCCCACTAGCTCAGGGAGGTCTTCTGGTTTCTGTCCCCGCCTCACCAGGAGCAGACTGGGACAGCTCTGGGTCTTGACAGGGGCTCTGCCCCGAGGTGGGTGGGTAGTGCCAGCTTTGCTTTTGGGAGCTCAAGCCAGCCCGGGTAACCTGTCTCCTGAGGACCCGGGCACTCAGACACTGGTGCTGACCCCCAGCACCCTGGGGCTGGAGCAGCTTGGCAGCCTCTCCAAACCCTGCGCCCATTTCTTACTGTCCCAGGAAGAAAACAAGCCGGGCATGCGGTCAGCTCCTTGGGCGTTTTCAGCCCCGGGAAGCACTGACCAGGGTGTCTCCCCAGAGGACACAGAACCAGCCCCAGCAGTTTTCGGAAGCTCACCCTGGCAGTCCTGGGAAGCCAGCCGAGTGGGCTGGCTGAGAGGGCGGTCCGTGCCATGGGTGGGGGTTTGGGCTGAGTGAGCAACCTGGGGTCTTGCAGGCCAGGGAGTCAGCCCAGCAAACAGCCCTAAAGTGGGGCTCTTGGGGACAGAAGGACGTTCCCTTTGAGTGTTCCAGGTGGCTCCAGAGCTGGCTGGGTTGATTGGTGGAGCTCCCTCCTGCTCCATCTTACTCGCCCTGCTTGTGCCACAGCTCCCCCAGCCCCCTCCGTCTTCCCCACTCGCTCGCTCTCCAGGATGCAGTGGTGGGGGGGGGTCTAAGTATTCACGCTGAGGCTTGGAGCCCTCCTCGCCAGGTGACCTGCTGGAGAGAGAAACCCCCCACCAGGGCAGCACTGGTTCCCTTGGTCTCTCCTGGAGTGGAGGAGATGGCGCAGGGGCACGGGGCAGGGCAGAGGGAACACGGCTGACTGCCACTCATGCCTGCAGAGGCTCGGGGAGTGCCGTGTGTGCTGAGCCGCCTGCCACCCATTTGTGATGAAGACTGCCCCTCCCCACCGTCCCGAGCCAGCCTAAGGAGGGCCCAGCCTCCCTCTAAAACAGTCTGTAGCTCACTCTCATCCTGTGCCAGCCTGGCGGCCTTACTAGCTGGCAAGGGAGGAGGGACCTGATTTGTCCTCCAAGAGCTGCTGAGCCCAGCCCCAAAGCCAGGGCTTCACAATGGAGGCACCAGAGTGGCCTCTCGAAGGGTCTGGGGCCCCCGCGGTGTCGTCAGAGGGGGCTGAGGTTCCCTCCAACCCTGGGGCAGGGAGAAGCTGCAAAAGCAAAAGGGAATACCAGGGCCACCTGGCCCACCCTGCATGCCCCGGAGGAAGGGCCGTTTCCCCTACCCTCTCCTGGAACCAGGGTGTGGGGAGACGGTGACATGGGGGCCTCGAAACTGCCCGAGGGCCAGAACCCGTGAGCTCATGGGCAGAAAGGGGAGCTGGACGGGCCTGGGCTGGCCTCTCTGCTCCCTTCCTTGCTGCCCTTTCTGGGGTCTCCAAGTGCCTGGCTGGCGCCTGTCCGGGCCAGGCGTCTACATTCCCTTCCTCTTTGGGAAGAGGACAGGGAAACTGACGCCAGGCCCTGAAATAGCCACCGTCCTTCGGCCTGAGCGCCTGTGCAGACGGCTGTGCTGATTGGCCCCCCTTGGTGGGCACAGGTGGCCCTGCAGTGGACAGGCCCAAAAAAGGCCAGCAGCCTCCCTGGGCGCTCTTGTGCCCCACACGGCCGGTGCCTGAGAGCTGGGGATGAGGCTGGCAGTGATGTCTGCCCCTGCAGGGGGCGGCCCGGGCCAGGCTGGTATAGCAGCTGGGACTGCCATTCACAGCCAGTGGAGACCAGTGGGATGGGAGGGGCAGCTGAGCCAGCAGGACCGGCGAGGGCACCGCCTGGAGAGGACAGGCCTTGGTGCTGGCGTGGGCAGTGGCGAGATGTTGCCTAGTCCATGCTGCCCAGAGCTCCATCTCCCCGGCCAGTCCCCATCCGGCCCTGAGCCATGGGACGTGTGCTGGTGGCCCCTGCAAGCCCGGCCCCGGGCTGAGCCTGTGCATTCTCAGAGGGAGGAGCCCCAGGTGCCTGCTGCAGAGCTGTGGGCCCAGTGGGCAAGGGTGCAGCCCCGTCAGACCACATGCTTGGTGTCTGAGAACCCGTCCCTCACAGGCCTGAAAGCCAGAGGTCGGGGCAGAGGGTGAAGCCCGTGAGCCTGGCAGTGGACGGGCGGCGGACTGGCCGTGTGACGGCATCAAGCGGCAGCTGCCCCCGAGTTCCACTTGTGTCACCTCAGCAGCCTGGGCCCTCCACGGCGCCTGACTGCCTAGCTGTCTCTGTGGCCACACTCCCTGACTCTTTAGCAAAAGGAAGCTGAGCTCCAGGGCTGGAAGTAGGCGTGCCCTAAAGAGGCCCTCGAAGACACCTGGGCAGTCAGGGACCATGGCCCCCCTCGAAGCCAGGATGGCCCAGGATCACCCTGTGTGGGTCTCTGTGCAGCCCCCACCCCGGCCCTGCCTGTCTCTGTCCCCTGTCTCCCTCTGCCCAGGGTCTGTGGGCCTCGGTTTCTCAGCCAGTAGCCACAGCTGGGTGGGCTGGGCAGGGAGTTTGAGGTGCAGAGCAAGGCGGGTGGGCGGGGGGATGAGGAAAGCTGCAGCTCACGGAAAGAACAGGGCAGCGGGCAGCACGGCGGGGGCAGTGACCCGGCCACGTCTCACACGTGATGCTGCTCTCCCAGAGGCCTTGGCCTGGCGCACCTCCCTTGCTAAAGTTTCTCTTTCCACTGCTTCCTGCTTCCCAAGTTTGCTTTCCGGGGTCCAGGCAGACGGGTGGCCACGGAGCCCGCTCAGTGAGACTTGGTTTCTTCTGAGTTCCACTTCCTGGAAGCTTCTCGCCCAGGAGCTGCCAGTCCCCTGCCCCGGCTGCGCTCCCACCCTTTATGCTGCTGCCCACGGGGATGGCAGTTCAAAGGGCCTCGACTGTCCAGGCTGACAGTGAGTGGGGCCGGGAGCAGAGGCTTGGGCCCCAGCACCTGCTCATCTACCCATAGACCCCCAGGCAGGGGCATCAGGAAGAAATAAACACAAAGAAAGCAAGGCCCGGCCGTCAGGCAAACCCAGATCCCACTCTCAGCCTCAGTTTCTCCGTGTGTCAAATAAGGGAGTGGGACTGGCCCCTCCTGGCTGTAGCACTGGCTCTCGCTCCAGGATGCAGGCCTTCCTTCTCTTGTCCCCAGCCCCTGCTCAGGGCATTCTCCCCTTTGAAGCCCCCTCAAGCCTGGGGACCCAGTGCTCATTCACCAGTGACAGTGCAGAAACCTGCCCTCAGCCAGGTCTCTGTTCTCTGCCACTGGCCATCCCTCTGAGACCGAGAGCCCACACCCAAGGCTGGAGCTCAGCCACACCCTGTTCTCTTCCCACCAGCCCCTCCTGGACTGTCCCCCGGGGTGGGTACACAGTGGGCACTTGGCAGGGACTGTGCCATGAACATGGGCTGCCCCTCACTGCCCACCTGTGCTGAGCAGACATGCACTTGGTCCCTGGCTGTTGGACCCAGTGAGGTGGCAGTGGCAGCAGCAGTGCCCACCATTCACACCTGGCAGGGAGACCTTCCCAAGGCCACCTGCCAGCCGCACTCAGGGCCAGGGCACAGGCTGTGCTGCTGGCCCCTCAGCCCACGCTTCCCAGAATGGCCACCTGGTCAGGAGGGAGAGGTCAGGGGCTCCGTCAGCCAGTGTCCTCCCTTTTAGCATCTACCAGGGGATGGGAAGGTGGTCCTCAAGAAGCCAGGGGTCAGGGCATCGCTGTGGGCGGCGGGCACCCGGGGCTCCTCAGGGTTCTCCTGGCCCTCCACAGCCACTGTGGGGAGGAGGTGCCTGCGGCTGCTCTGGGGCTTCTCCTGGCCCTCCACAGCCGTCATGGGTCATGGGTTGAGGAGGTGCCTGAGGCTCCTCTGAGTTCCCCTGGCCCTCCACGGCCGTCATGGGTTGAGGGGTGCCTGAGGTTCCTCTGGGTTCCCCTGGCCCTCTATGGTCATCGTGGGTGAGGGGGTGCCCGAGGCTCTTCTAGGGGTTCTCCTGGATCTCCACGGCCATCGGGTTTTTTGTGCCCATCCAGGTGGCAAGAGCAAGTGGATGAGACACAGGGAGAGGGGTCAGGGTTGTGCCCACCCTCAGGCCATGGTCCATCCCTGGCTCGGGACCAGACAGGGGTGGAATTTGGGAAGATCAGGAGGCACACAGCACAGAGGGGGTTGGCCAGCATCCACAGCATCGCCTGTACCTGCTCAGGCCTAGACACTCGGCGATGGTCCACACAGAGGCTGGGAGGACTGAGCTCCCTGCGCAAAGGGAGCAGTCAGGGGCCTCCAGCCACCGAGCACACCTGTGCCCCAGGGAGCCCTGCCTGGTGACGGGGCTGGGCGTGGCTGGGATCCTGCACCTGCGCCTCTCAAATGCTCTGCTTCCCCCGGCCTGGATGTCAGCTGGAAAAGGTCTTTTTTCCCCTTTCTTCTGCAGGGGAACATGTGGCCATTACAATTACTGGTGCCATGCAGGACTTCAGCTCCAGGCCTCAGGACCACAGGCAGCTCCTGGAGTTGGACGAGGGTGAGGAGAGAGGGCACAGGAACGGGGGCCGGTGCCTGGGTATAAGAAGACCCTTGTGGGCAGGGAGAGGGAGAGGAGGGGTGAAAGAGGACAGAAGCCCCCGGTCTTGATAGCTGGCCTGCCAGAGTGTGGGCAGGTGGCCTCTCATCTGAGTTGAGCATCTTGGTGAGCCCCAACCCTCCCGCCTGGGGGTCTCTGCCCAACCTGGTCCCTGGCCAGTCAGCCAGCAAGCCCCTCTGCAGCCCTTTCCAGAGGCTGCTGTGAGTCCGTGCCCACCTGCAGTCTCCCGCAGGGCCCTGGGAGGGGAAGGGGGGTGCAGGCGGCCCCAGCACCCAGCCTCACAGACACTGTTCCTCGGGAGCCGTTTCTGGGGTGCAGCTCCGACTCACACCCCAGAGCACCTTGGAGGAAGGAGCAGCAGGCCCCAGGTAGGTGCCGGTGGGGGGGCCCGTCTGCTTTGTCGCATTGGCAACCCAGCCCTGGAGCTGGGGGTCGGGGGGTCGCTGCCTGGAAGGCACATAAAGAAAGATGGAGCCTGGAATTTTTCCCTTTGGAAAAAGAAAACTTGTTCTAAAAGGGGAAAGATTGATGCTCTTGCTTTCCCACACTTGGTTTGAAGCCAACGAGGTGGTTTCAGAAGAAATTTTCCTCTCCTCTATTAAATGTAACCAAACACGATCGACATTTGCAGATCACACGGGGACCTCCAGGCAGCAGAGCTTAGGAACCTTCCTGCCTTCTGCCTGGCCAGGCGAGAACAGACGCACCTCTCACCCCCTGGCCAGACAGCCGGGCAGGGGCTGTGGGCAGGAGGGAGGTGGGGGCTCCTCAGGGCCCCAATGTCAGGAGGTGTCCCAGACAAGAGTGGAGGTGGAGGCCTGCAGCCAGGGGCTGCCCACCATCCAGCTGGCCAGATGAGGCCCCAAAGGAGCCTAGGTGAGGATGGCAATGGCAATGGGGCCACAATGGGACAGGGGCCTTGGCATCCCACACCACACCTGCCTCTCTTGGAGGCCGTCAGGAAAGCTGAGAAGCCAGGGTGGCCAAGTGAGGTGCTGGTGGCCCCTGCAGAGTCCCCCGGCTACATCTCGGCCGTGGCCCTGGCCGGGCTGGCCCCTCCAAAGGTGGACTCTGATCCTACAGGGGCAGTCCAGCCTCCTCCACCACACACACGCACACACCCACAAACACACACACACCACATACAGACACCCGCACACACCAACCCACCTCCCCACACCTGTACACACACCCATCTCCCCAGACACACACATACACACCTCCCCACACCAACACACACACAACCTTCCCACACCTGCACACACACACCCACCTCCCTGCACCCACACACACACACCCATCTCCCCACACCCGCACACACCCATGCACATCACACACAGACACACGCACAATGCCCAAGCACACAGGGCCTCGCTGCCCTTCCAGACACCCAGCCCTTACAAGCCCAGGTTCCCAAGAAACAAAGGTTTAGAGTTTGCTGCTTCCCTGAACCTCCCTCTTCTCGAGCCTCTGAGCACTCCTGAGAGCTCCTCAGACAAACTGGAGGCGAGGGGAGCCCCAGACAGTGCAGGGAGAGCCACTTCACTCCACCCTGGAGGGAGGGGTGGGCAGCAGGGGTGTCCCCTCCCCAGGGCCCACGGAATCTGCAGGGGAGATGGGGGAACACTGGAAATTGTCCCCCATTTAGACACTTGCAGAGCCAATGCCCCAAGGTCCCATCTTCCCGCCAGCACAGCCCAGTAAGGAGCCATGACATTCAGAAGGCCCAGGGCCAGCGCAGCACGATGGGCCTGGACTTCTAGGCAGCTTCCATGCGGCCGGGGTGCCCTCCTGCATCCAGCTGGCTGCCTGGACACAGACCCCCAGGATGCTCCCATCCTCAGTGGTGGCCGGAAGGAAGGCAGCCGGGGTAGACAGGGCCTGCGGGAGGGCAGGACTCGGCAGGCAGCCTCGCCTGTGGCCCACGCTCAGAGGGGCCGGTTTCCAGCCTCCAGTTTGTTTCCTGGGCAGCCAGGTTGTGTGGGGGCCCGAGGGCAGCTACAGCCGGCAAGTCCACAGCCTCTGTGTCCTCAGCCAAGACTCCATTTGTCCTCGAGACCACCAGAGGCCCAACAGCAGCCTCCCACTGACCACTCGACTGCCGACCGCAGGCTTCATCCGGACACAGGCTGTCCTGCTGCCGGTGCATGCACAGGGCAGCCAGATCCACCGACGGAAATGCAGGGCACCTGTGAAGCCGTGAATTTCACATAAAGAACAGAGGCTTCCTCAGTATTTGTCTCCAACAGTGTCCCAAATATTACACGGCACACACTCACACTGAGAACAGTCATCGTTTACCTGCGATTCAGATTCAGCTGCCATCCTGCACTTTACCTGGTGACCCTAAACCACAGAGCAGAGTGACAGCTGCACAGGTCGCACCTCCCGCTCTGCTCCGAAGGCCCGTCTCAGCTCCGCACCGTCCAGCGTGGCCATCTCCAGCCGCCACAGCTGTTTACACTGCGATCATGAACACGGCATCAGCCACGTTCCAGGGCCTCTGGAGCCGCGTGCGGCTGGGTCTCCTGGCTGGACTGGGAAGACCCAGAACGCTCCCATCGCTGGAGGAAGCTTTGCTGGGCCCTGTGGGTTTGAGAAACTTCCTCTGGTTGCCTGGCCTGCACCGACCAGTGGGTCTGACTTCTCATGCCAGGCCTTTCAACTGGGAGCTACCCGTGCCCAGGGCCTGACTCACAACTGTGGCACAGGGGCATTCACCTACAAGCAGCTCTCGAGGACACGCCTGGCGGAGTGCCTCCATCCGTGTCCGGACGCCATCCTGCTCAGCCCTGGGCCCGACACGCTTGTCTCGCCTTTGCTGGGGGAACTTGGGGCAGCCAGGGGCCTGATGCGGTCCCATCACCAGCAGAGCGCTCAGCTCCCCTCCCTGCCCTCCTCCCAGTGCCTACCCCACAGTGGAGCTGCTGACCTAGCGCAGCCGGATGGTCCCCACCAGCCTCAGAGCCACAGGCCCTCACAGCTGAGTCCCAGCAAGGCGGGACTCAGCAGGGGCACAGCTTGCACCCAAGGGCTGGTCGGCAGAGCTCTCCAGGGCTGTCCAGCCGCTGCTCCCCAGGCCCCGTTCTCCCAGGTTCTCTCTCGCCACGGGGAGAGGAGGGGAGGCTGCTGGGCCTGCGTGCTCTCCCCTAGGAGTGGGCACTGGCCAGCTGCATCAGCGGAGTCACGATGAGGGTGCTGTTTGGGGGCCTCCCTGCCCACTCCCAAGTCAAGGGTCTGGTGTGTGCAGAGGGTGCCTACTGTGTGCAGAGTGCAGAGCCCAGGGGGAGGCCAGGCTGCTGCAAGAGCCCAGGTGTGAGGTGATGAGAGCCGGGTGTGGGGGTGGCGGCAGGAAGGAAAGAGGGGCTCAGAGCTGAGTTGGAGCACTGCCAGCGTGGGGGTGGCCCAGGCCCATTCCAGTCACCCCCAACTCAGAGCCGCCACCATGGCAGTGCTGAGCCCCCCTACCCCAGCTCTTCATCCAAATCTGACACCTCCATCCCCTAGGACACAGGCTGACCAGACTGACCATTAACCTGCGGGCCTGCACTGGGCACCAAACAGCAGGCAAAGGCCCAGCTGACCCCAGACCACTGCAGACCACCCCAGACCACCCCAAACCCCTCAGGCCACCCCAGACCACTGCAGACCACCCCAGACCACCCCACCCCACACCACACCACTGCAGACCACCCCAGACCCCTCTGGCCACCTCGGGCCATTGCAGACCACCCCAGACCTCCGCGGAGCACCCCAGACCACCGCAGACCCCTCAGGCGCAGGCCTGCCTTCAAGCCCAGGCCAAAGAAGGCTGAAGCAGGCCTGCACCGCCCGGCCGCGCCAGGTCTGTCCGATGTCCTCGCGCCTCCCACCCCCAGACTCTTCCAATTGCTTCTGGGCTTTCCTGAGGCTGGGAGCTGCCTCGGGCTGACTGAGCAGATGAAGGGTGTGACGTGGGTGCCCCAGACGCAGGAGCCAATGGTAACTGCAGCAAGACGGGCTGCGGGCAGAGTCCCGCACCCTCCCAGGAGACTCATGGGGAGCCCAGCCCCACCTGTGGCCCCGCCAGCTCCACCAGAGCTCTGCACCTGAGGTCTGCTCCAAGGAAGTTCAGTGGAGCAAAGAGGGCGTGTGAATGCAAACCCCACCGTGATCCCTGTCCTTGTTTAGACTCGTGCGGCCCGGCGGCTCCCCTCTCCGAGGGCCCAGGGAGGAGGCTCACTCAGGACAGGCGGCAGGTGGGAGGGGAGGCAGGGAGTGAGTCAGGTGGGCCCTGGGGGTGGGGATGGGAGTGAAGAGGGCAGTGAGAGATGCAAATTGCTGCTTGGACTAGGGTCTGGACCCCGTGGAGAGGCGGCGAACCCCTGAGGTCCCACTGAGAACTTTCCATGGTCAAAATCACTCTTGTGGGGCACTGGAGCCGGCGCTCACCCCACACCCTGAAATGGCCAATCCTCTCCCCTGCTGAGTTCAGCATTTCGGGTTGCTTGACAATCAGCCTGGGTGGGAATATTTACACCATGGTCACTGGAATATGCTCCAAAGCAAAGCATGTGTTTTCTCCCTGAGAGCCCATTGTTAAAGCATCCCAGCACACCCCTGCACTGGCAGTAAATTCCTTTAATTCCTTTTTTTTTTTTTTTTTTTGAGACGGAGTTTTGCTCTTGTTGCCCAGGCTGGAGTGCAGTGGCGCGATCTCCGCTCACTGCAACCTCCGCCTCCCGGGTTCCAGTGGTTCTCTTGCCTCAGCCTCCCGAGCAGCTAGCTCACATTACAGGCAGGCGCCACCACGCCCAGCTAATTTTTGTGCTTTTAGTATAGACGGAGTTTCTCTGTGTTGGTCAGGCTGGTCTCAAACTCCCGACCTCAGGTGATCCACCCACCTTGGCCTCCCAGAATTCTGGGATTACAGGCGTGCGCCACCGCACCTGGCTGTAAATTCCATTTTTACAGGATGACTCGGGATCAGGGCCATTCTATGAAAGGTGATGTCCCTGAAAGACAGAAATGGGCAATTCTTCCCAAGAGTTTTATTAAGGGGAAAATATTCCATTTTGTTTAAACAAGGACAAGAGATCTGACGTGCCAGGGGCCTTCTGCCCCTCCGCGGATGGTTCAGGAGACCAGGCACTCCGTGAAAGTCTCCTACGAGGCCTCCAGCCGCAGGCAGATCCCTACTACCGGTCACTGTCACTGCTCAAGGCGGTGCCCGCTGGCTTCCCTGGGTGGGACTAAGGAAAGCACATTCCACTGGGCAATATCTGAACAAAAGCATCTTCTTAATAGGAAATTCACCTTAAAAGGTGACAGGAGTCCTCCCGGGCCAGCTTCTGCGAGACAGAGCATGTAGAGGGAAGGGAAACACGTCTAATCCCCAAGCCTTCCTGTGGCCCTCAGCCCCGGGGCCTGGCACCCCCACCCTGCTCTGGCTTGGTGGTTTGTAGAGGGGTGGCACAGGGCCACGGCCATCTGCACCTGTGGAGCTGTGAGAGGAAGGGAAGGGGCACAGGCTTGGCCGCAGTCTTCCCCCAGCCCCGTTGTAATCTTTGAAAGGCTCTGTGAGACACCCAAGAGTCAGATGGGGAAACTGAGTCCCAGGGCTCAAGGGCATGCTACGTGGAGGGAAACGGCAAAAGAGCCACCGCCCAGCCTTGCTTATCCTCATAAGGTGGCAACACAAGCCACTGACGTCCCTAACAAAGTGCCACGTGCTGGAAGGTGTGTGTCTATGGGGGTGAGGACATGGGGTCAGAGGGAGCCTGGCCTTTTCTTGGAGTGCCCCTGTTCTCGCGTCTCCCCCAGCCTCCCCAGGTGCAGCCTCTGCTGGTCCTTCGGAGGGTCGTGCCTGTGGTGTCTGTGGTGTCTGTGGTATGTGGTGTGTGGTGTGTGGTGCCTGCCCCTCTGTCAGGGGTGGGGCCAGATGCTGCGTGTCCGGGACAGGCTCTCCCTCCCCCTGAACATGCCTGGCTGAGGGGCACCGCTGCAAATGTCATTATTACCAGGAGCCGTTTATATGGTGCACTTTGTCCACGCGCAGGGTTTACAGCCCCTTTTATTCCTCATAAAACGGGAAGGGAGCAAAGCCCAAGCGTGTGGGGGCCAGAGCCTGGCTGCACCCGCTGGAGAGCTGCGAGAGGTTGGCGCGATGCAGGCCCCTTTGCCACACCACCCTGGCAGGCCCTGATCCGAGGGGACCTGGGCGAAGGGGATGGACTGTGGCGGGGCCCCTCTGGAGGCCTGGGTGCAGGATGACCAGGGGTCCCAAAGAACCCGCTGTGCTTGGGTTTTCTAAAGCAGAGGTGAGGGGTGGCAGGGTCCCTCTGGGGGTCTCGGTGCAGGATGACCAGGACCCCCAAAGAGCCCGATGTCCTTGGGTTTTCTGGAGCCAAGGTAAGGGGGAGGTGTTGAGGGGCTGGGACAGTGAGTCTGGGCTGTGTCCCTGATGGGTCCCCTCTTCCAAGCCCCCTTCCCAGCACATGAATGTTCCACGCTGCCCAGGCCTGCCATCTCTCGGGTGCCTGCCCCCACGCCGCTGCGCCTCTCCTCCCCCACCTCCCCCTCCTTGCCCATCTCACCTCTCTCAGGTGTGTGACACCAGCCGTCTCTGAGCAGCCCCTCACCCCTTAGGCCTTCTGCACCCCCACTAGCCTGCACTCCAGATCCAAGTAGGGGCCGAATCCACCTCCAAGCCCCTCTCTTCAGCCCTGCTGGGAGCCCCTGATGCTTGGAACAGCCTCAGCTGCCGATTCAGAAATCAGCATCCTGTGCCCCTACTCTGCCTGAGGCGGGTGCAGCCTCCCCTCCCTGAGCCCTGGTCTGCCAGGCGAGGGGTGCTGGAGCAGGCAGGTCTGGGGCCAGGGGCAGCAAAACTGCCAGGGGCTCACCCTCCACCCTCGGAGCTTGGAATGGGAGGGCAGCCCTGGCCCAGACACCCTGGTGAGGACCCTGGCCTTGGCTCACCCTGCGGCTCCTTCACAGAGCTCCCCCGCCCAGGCTCCCCAGAATGGAGTCCAAACTTCTCTCCTATCTGGACTCTCTTGCTTCTTTGGATTCCGGTAGCTGTGAGGGGACTGGAGGTTGGGGGTTCCTGGGCAACCTCTCCTGAAGCACAGGAGGCAGGGGCTTCACCCAGGCGGCTGGCTGAGGTCTAGACACCCCAGGGGCAGCTGTGGCCCCTGGTATGGACTTCGGTTGCCTGGGGAGGCCAAGCCAGCGTGCTTCTGGGGGTCTGTGCTCAGTGCCCCCTGCGAATTAGCACTATCTCAAAGCAGGTGCCCCAGCACACTGAGGGAGCAAAGGAATGTCTCTAACACTGCTGGAGGGCGGGGGGTCCCTGCGAGAGCCCGGGGAGGGATGCACCAGCCCACGGCAGCCAGGGCACCCCCTACCACTCCCATGCCCCCGCCTGGCTCCCCTTCCCCCTCAGCCCTTCACCTGGTCCAGGAGAAGAGGGCAGGAGACACCCCCAGACCCCACGGGGGTATGGGCAGGGAAGGGAGGCGGCTCTCAGTGGAGACTGCCTTGTAACCCAAGAGGCAAGGAGAGAGGACTGCCCTCCCAGGAGCAGCAAACAGGCACTGGGTGGAACAGGGTGCCCAGGCCTAATCATCCACCATGGCACTGTCCAAAGATGCCCAGATCACTGAATGCACAGCATGCAGAAGGGCTGAATCGAGGGTCACGTGGCGGGGGCTGCTGGTGTGGGCCATGCTCCCCAAACCCCAGGCAGCACAGAGGTCACCAGGTCTCCAGGGCTGTCCCTCCAGGGCCGTCCCTCCAGGGCTGTCCCTCCAGGGCCTTTACAGATCCCGAGTCCTGACTCCTCACACACAGAGCGTGGGCCTGGGAGTAGGAGTCCAGGCACCCCGGGCCCAGGGCCCTGCATCTTCCCTCCCCAGCCAGACTCACAGCACCAGCCAGACTCACAGCACCAGCCCTTGGGCCACGGGGGCGGCAGGCCCAGCTTCAGAGGCGCAGTGGCTGTCCCGGCCTCTGGTCGGTCTCGCTAGGGGCCGCCTCTCCCCACAGACCAGGGCCTCCCTTTGGGTGGGTGCTGCCTCACAAGGGAGCCTCAGGTGGGGGTGGGTGCGGCCGAGTCTTTAGTGTCTGCCCAGAGGCACCCAGCAGGCAGCTGACCCCCTAGACCAAAGATTCCTGGAGGCCGAGGCGCTGCCTCCCCCACCACGTGGAAAGTTGGCCCTGATCAATTAGACTGTGCGCTAAATAAATCACTCGAGGGGCTTAGAGCTGTGTTTTTGCAGCGGCTGCAATAATAATATTAATAACAATGCCCCTCAGAAACCCGGCCAAGGCTGGAGTATTGGGTGGGGAGGGGCCAGGTGCAGGGGCCATGCTGGCGTCCCTGGGTCTCTCCCCAGCCCCCTGCCCACCCACCAGGGCCCCGCCACCCGATCCACAGCCTGGCCCTGTCTCCTGGCTCAGGGCGTCCCGGGCGTCTCCTACCTGGGGCCCTCTGGCCATGGCGGGGCCGTGCTGGGACCTGGAACCTACCCCACACCAGCACGCATGCAGGGGAGGCTGGGGAAGCCCGGAGGACCCCCAGAGATACCCTGACCAGGGTGGACAGGAAGAGGCTGCAGGGCAGGGGGCAGGGTTGAGAGCACGGGGAGAACAGAAGAGAAAAGGAGAGTGTGGAGAGAAAGAGGGGGTACAGGGTGGGTGGAGTAGGGGATGAGGGTCTGGGCGCAGGTTCGGCCCCTGACTTCTCCAGGACCCCTCCTCCCACCCGGCATGGAAACAGAGTGCCCATCTCATGGGGACCTGCCCTGGAGGTCCACACACTCTGTGTAACTGTGGGTGTCCCCAGTGGGCACTGGCCCGGCTCTGCTTCTGGGATGAGGTTGAGTGAGCACATGGGGGTCCCTGCAAGGTCCAGGGCCAAGGCAGAGACACAGAAGCAGAGGGAGATGGGTCTCCATCGTCGCCCAGGCCCCTTGAGAGACCTCCACCCCCGCCAGAGCCTGTGGACAGCTGAGCAGGAGCTGCCCCCGCATCCTGCAGTGGGAGCGGAGGGTCGGCCAGCACGGGCAACCGACAGGAGCCGGCCCGGCCCCTCCATCCTCCTTCGGTGCGGGGCTGAGGAGGCCTCTGTCTGGTCAGGCTGCTGGACACCCAAGGCTCGAGAGGAAGCCATGGCTTTGGAGGGTGGCATTAGCACGGAGGGGAGCCGGCGGCCCACGGGCATCGTGCACACCCAGCACAGCGGTGGCACCAAGCCTGCCCTGAGGGCTGGTTCTGGGATGGGCAGAAGTGGCTCCTGCGGAGTGGCAGGAGAGAAAGGCAGGTGTGCCCTCCCGGCTCAGGCCTCTCCGCACCTGAAGGTCCAGAGGGGAGGCAGCCCCCAGAAGGCTGCACGGGCGGGGCTTACAGACAGGGCTCCGGGACCAAGGTGTGGGCCTCAGGGACAGCAGACAGCAGGGAGGGAAGAGGGGGAAGACGGGGCTTCTGCTGAGGGAGATGGCCCCTCGCTGGACGAAGGGCAGTTCTAGGGGGCCTCACTCCCGCCTGAGCCTGGAGATCCCAGCCCTGCGGGAGGGGCATTGCCCAGACCCACCCCTCGGCAGTCGCTGACGCTCTGGGAGAGGGTGCCCTGGCTGTGGTTTGGGGAGGCATGTTAAAACATCAAAGACTTTTGAGTTCAAAGATGTCAGAGGGCAGAGGTCGCGGGCCCCGGCTGCCCTCTGTTTAACCTCAGACCCAAAAGGGAAAAGGGAACCGAAGGGGGAGCGGCTCTGTCCCTGGCCCCATCCCCGGCCCCTCTCTCGCCTCTGATCCTTCTTCCTGGCTCTCTGCAGACAGCGAGAGTGAGAGGGCCCCAGTGTGGCTTCAGCCTCCGCACAGGCCCTCTCTCCCCTCCCCTTTTTTTGCAAAAGCAATGGAAAACAAACACGCTCCCCTGCCCCCCCCAACTCCCCACCTCCCATCCCCAAAATCAACCCAAGAACTCCGCCAGCCTGCTCAGCGCAGCGGGAAAACCGGAGTGGTTGCCTGCGACCCAGAGCGCCACGCGAAAAATAAATTCCTTGTTTTATGATGGGAGGGGAAGGTGGGGGAGGAGAAGGAGACAGAGAGAGAGAAAAATAATTTTTATTATTTTCTGTTATCATTTTCCTAGGGCTGTTTTGCCTGGGTACCACAGTCAGCTGTAGCCCAAGGCCCACCCCTGGGCCTAGGGCAGAGAAGGGCTGGAAGAGGTGGAGGAGGAGGAGGAGGAGGAGGAGGAGGAGGAGGAGGAGGCGAGGAGTGTAATTGAAGCTGGCTGTTGGCCCAACCACCAACTTAAAACAATAAAGCCAGAGGAAGTCCTGCAGGACAGAGAAACAGGGCGAGGGGGTGGGTGGCCAGGGGGCAGGATGGAGAGGCCAGGGTCGCGCTTGGGACCCAGCTTTCCTTGTAGGGAGGAGGCCCCGTGTCCCAGAGGGCACAGGGAGCTGAGGGCTTTGGATAACAGAGAGCAGGGGCGGTCAGTGGCATGGGTGGGGGTTTGGGCTTAGTAAGCAACCTGGGGGCTTGCAGGCCAGGGAGTCAGCCCAGGAAACGGCCCTAAAGTGGGGCTCCTGGGAACAGAGGGACGTACTCTTCGGGTGCCCCGGGTAGCTCCAGAACTGGCTGGGTTGGTTGGTCCAGGGGTCCCATGGCCTGGGCCTCCTTCCCTGGTACTAGGGCCATGAATGCTGATGGGTGGGGATGGAGGGGGCCCTTCTAAAGAGGACTGGCTCCCACGGGCCCTCAGGCCAGAGTGCACTGCCCGCCTTCCAGGCCACCCTTGCAGGGCTGGGAGGCCCAGAAGGAGGGCAGCAGCCCTCTCCCCAGCCTGCCACCCACCACGCCAGAGGCCCTCAAGAGGATGGGTCCATGCCAGATCCCCTGCCCACGCCGGACCCCAGAGCCGCGCCTGTGTTGGGCAGGGCGGGTGCTGCAGCACCTTCTGCGGGGCTGCACAGCTGGAGCCAGTGGAGTTCGTGGCCAGACCCCAAGGCAGTCCTTCCCGGAGCATCCAGGTGCACAGGACAGGAACCTGACTCCCTGTGTGGGCAGGAGCTTCACGCATCCTGGAAGCCCAGGGCCCCGGCCACCCCATCCCCATCAGCCCACAGGCGCCTTCCCAGGCAGGGCTGGGCTTCCAATCCCATCAGGGAGACTCTGGCCAAGCTAATGCTTCCCAGGCCAGGCTCCCCAGGGGACAAAGCGGGCAGGGCTCATGCCCAGCTGCTCACGCCCAGGTCCCCAGCCTGTTCTCCGTGTGCCGCTCCCCTCCCGGGCCTTAGGGTCCTTGTTCCCACGACAGAGGGCCTGGCCCCTCTGAGGACCTCGGGCTCTGGAGACAGCACCTGTTCATGCCCAGCTAGAGCCACAGCAGGGCGACTTGGTGAAGGGTCCCCAGGGCATCCAGCACCCAAGAGCAGGGAGGGGCCTGAGAGGCTGAGGGGCAATCTTGATTACCCCCAAAGCGAGGCACAGTGGGACTCCCTATGGAGGTCAGGGGTGCCCATGGAGAGACCAGTCCTGGGAAAAGGGGCATTTTCAACTGGCTGACAAGGAGGGGTGGGAGGCTGGAGGAAACAGGCCAGGCAGGCCAGAGGTGGTGGGAAACGGAGCGGGAGGTGACGAGTTCAGTCTTCTTGGACTGCTGTCAGAAAGTACCACAGCGTGAGAGAGAGAGTCCGAGGTCAAGGTGCCGCGGGGCGGGTTCCTCCTGAGGCCTCTTTCCTGGGCTTGCAGACCCCGCCATCTCCCTGTGTCCTCACGTGGCTGTTGCCCTGTCAGCGTCTGTGCTCTGATCTCCGCTTATAGAAACACCAGTTGGATGGGCTCAGGGTCATCCTAATGATTCCATCTTAACTTGGTACCTCCTTAAAGATCCACCTCTAGACAGGCCCATTCTGAGGTTGTGGGGTCAGGACTTCCGTGCCTGGGCAGAGACACAGTGCAGCCCTTAGCAGTTCGTGCTCCCAGAAGCCTCACCGTGGGGCCAGGAGAAGGCCAGGCAGGCACAGGTGAAGGGAACACCAACCATCTGCAGGTTGCTGGGAAGAAGGGCAGGAGGGGAGAAGGGCCCGGGGAGCGTGGCTCTGGGCAGCCAGGCCACCTGTCCCATGGGTCCTGGAAACAGCAGCCCAGAGCCCAAGTGTACCAGGCCACGAGGCCACGGAGGGAGAATGTGGGTGAGGGCGCGGGTGGCCGCCAAGAGTGAGGTCCAGAAACACACAGGGGGCCCAGGGTCCTGGCTGGGAAGGCAGAGGCAGCCTCCCCTCGGCCAGCAACGGTGCAGATGCAGTCGGGCTGAGCGGTTGGAAGCCACAGCGTGGGAAATGGCCCAGCCAGAGCCGGATGTGAGAGGGGACCCAGGAGAGGCTGCACGTGCAGAGACGTGGCCCATCCACCCGGATCCTGCGGGCCTCGGAGGATCCAGACCCCTGACTCACAGTCACGCCACAGGCCAGGTGGGGACCCGCCCGGGGAAGAGACAGGAACTGGGGAGCTGCCTCCAGGTTTCCGAGCGCGCACGGACAAACGGGTTCCCGGCGGCCGGCTCCGGGCTTCAGGTCTCCCTGCCTCCCCTAATTGTCCCCGCATGAGGCACAGAGGAGGGAAGTGAGTTAACGCAGAAGTTTCCTCCAAGAAAACTCATCAGAAAAGCCCAGATGGAAAAATCCGCCTCCATGGAGCCCTTGGAATTGGAAGTGATTTCTTTCTGGAAATATGTACCCTGAGGGGTGAGGGAAAGGACAGGGCCTGCATGTTCGTCAAGACGGAGACTGTTGGCTCCACACACCGTGAGCCCCTCCCCAGGGCCACCTCAACCCCTTCCGTCACCCCCTCTCACATCCCCTCAAGGGGAGGGTCCTGCCGGCCAGTCCGGGTCAAGGTCCACGGTCCAAGGTGGGGACGCAGCCTCTGCCTGTGAACGAGCTCCTCCCCAGACCAGCAGGGCCACAAAGTCTGGGACCTTCCACCCTCAGGGTCCTCCCCATAGCCGCCCTCCCTCTGCCAGACCAGCAGGGCCACACAGGCCGGGACCTTCCTCCCACAGCCACCCTCCCTCTACCAGCCTGCACCTGCCACACCCCATCTCCATGGAGGGAAGTCTCCCTGAGTTTAATCTGAGTGCACGCTGTGTTTGCCTGCAGCACGCAGCATTGGAAAGCACTAAAGTGTGGCTCTGCCCCCACCCCTATTTATGGACAGAGACACTAGGGTTGGGAGCGAGGAAATGATTTGTCCCCAGGGCAGCACGTGTGTCAGGACAGGGCAGGCGCTCCTGTGTGGAGAGGTGTCCCCCTTCCCTCCTGCCCCCCGTGTGGTCCTCCCTCACTGTACTCACCCCAAGATGGCGGGGTGCAGCCGACATGCGTGCATCTCTGCACAGTCACCATTCTGGGAGGGTGGTCTGAGTATGGTGTGGGCAGGGTCTCCTCCAGGCGACTGGGGACCCAGGCTCCTGCAGCCTTGTGGCTCGGCACTCCTGAAGCTGCTGGGGGTAGAGGGAGGAGAACGTAGAGGATCCTTCTGGAGACTGTTACGGACCAAATCTGAGAACAATGCAATCACTTCCGCTCCCAGTGAGTGGGCCGGGCTCCATGCACAGGGCCGGAGGACACGTGCAGAGAGAGTGGTCCTCACTGGCCCTCACTGGTCCCGGCGGCAGCACCCACCTCCCACCTCCAAGCCCTTGTCCTCGTCTCTCTGCCAGCCCTGCTCCTGTCTCCGTGATGATGGCCTTTTCAGGCGGGGCTGGCCCCACTCGGGGCTCATGAACGCTCTCGGCCCATCGCTGGGTGCCCCTATGTGCTGGGCTCCGAGTTCCGGGACAGGGCCCAGGTCTGCTGCTGGGGATAGAAGAGGTCCAAAGAAGACAGTCTCCGTGCTCAGGGAGCTTCTGGGCTGGGTGGGAAAAAGGGCTCCACCGGGAGCAGTTGGGTGCCAAGCGCAGCTGCTCCCCAGAGCCTGGCGAGCAGGAGGCAACCCCACCACAGGGGGCCATGTTGACCCAGTCCCTGAGACTCTGAGTGCAGCCTTGGTGGCCAGCCTGAACCATGTGCAGTGGATGCTGGGCAGAAAGGGACCTAGTGGTAAAGACCAGATGGGCAGCCCGGCACAGACAGCAGGAAGGGCCACAGAGACAAATGCCCCATTTCCTGGCCAGCCCCACGCGGGAAGGTGCACATGGGGAGGGAGGGAGGCAGGAGAGGCAGCCGCACGGCCCAGCCGCGGGTGACTGTGGACCTTGCCCCGGCCTTTCCAGCCCCAAACCCCCCAATGTGCAGCCTCAGCCTTCAGGAATGTCCTGTCCATGGCTCAAGCTGCCAAGGGGAATGGACAGGGCCCAGGAGCGGGGGCCCAGGCAGGTGGCCGGCGGCTCTGACACTTTCCTGGCCGAGGTCTGCGTCCCCCGCGGACGTTGCTGGGGCGGTGTGGTGGGCTCCAGCGTCTGGGGGTGTGGGATAGTTTCCAGGCCCCAGCCCATCTGCTCAGGCCCCACTTGGAGGGCCTGTGTTGTTGAGATGTCTGAAATATTTGTTTTCTAAAGGATTAGCTTCCAGATGATTCTGGAAGGGGCCAGGAACGATTGGCGTGGAGGGAGGAAGGAGGCCCTCGCTCCCTCTTGAATCTGGACCAGGAAGGCGTCCTCTGTGCCTTGAAAAGCCCAGGCCACGTCCTCCTTTCTCTAAGCCTTAGTCAGTCCACTTGCTCATCTACTGATCCTTTCATTTATCCAACAAATATCCCTCGAGCTCCTGCTATGAACCAGACCCACGGTCAAGGGCTTAAAACCCCACCTGGTCAGATAGCCCTTTCTCACCAAGCAGGGAGCAAGGGGCTCTCCTCCGCAGGGCATGTCCTGCCCAAGCCCCTGCCCTGGCCTTCACGAAGCCACTCCGACATGTACACCCCTCCCACGTGGTGCCTGTTCTCTGGGACCGCACTGTGAGCCCCAGACAAAGTCTGGGCCATTTGTCCCCTCTGTCCACATCCCTCTACTCACGACCCCTAGGAGCCTGGCGAGGAAGAGGAGGGCCAGCCACCTTTCCTACCGAGAGACTTCTCCAGCCTTCCTGGCTCAGATCCCACTGGCATTGGCGTGCTGAGATTCCAGATAGTGGCCACTCCTGTGGGTGGAGGATGGGGGTCCTGGGGAAGAAGATGGCCCGGACCAGCCTGGCTGGGGCCTGTCCACGAGTGGGAGAAAGAGGACCTGAAGACAGCATGGCTTGTCTTTGAGGGGGGAGGGTCTGGCTCTGGGAGGCTGTGAGTGTTTTGGGAGAGACGAGAAGGCAGCCCTGGAGAGGGTGTCCTGGGGCCACCTTGCTGATGTCAGCGTGAGCCTAAGGAAGCAGGGGCAGGAAAGTGGGGATACAGGAGGACTTCAGAGTCAGGAGGAGGAGAAGTCCCCTGAAGAGAGTCTCTAAGAACTGTTAGCACAGACAACGAGAGAGAGAGAGAGAGAGATCCCAAAGAGAAGACCAGCAGAAAACAAGGCTGGAAGGGACAGAGGCCCAGGGACACTGCGTTCCCAGCTTGGAAGCAGCAACTGTGTCCAGCCCAACAGACACCTCACAAACCAGTGGGGTCCTTGAGTGAGAACACAGGGCTCGTGGCAGAAGGTGACAGTCTTCACCCCAAAAGGAAGAGCTGGATCCACAGGCCCTGGATGGCCGGCAGCAGGGGCACCAGGCCGAGATGTGCTGGTGGGGGAGGCCGGCAGAGACCGGGTGGGGAGGAGGGCTGTAGGGTCAGCAGAGGCTGGGGAGAGGGCTGCGGGGTCGACAGCAGAGAGGCCAGGAGCCAGCTGTGTGTTGCCAAGATGGCAAGTCACCAACACCATGCATGACATCCTCAATGTGACTGACAGCCAGGACCGGCCCCATTAAAACTCCAGGCCTCCAAAGACAGGCCAAGGCCCTCAGACACACCCAGAGGTCCAGGGGCACAGGCAGGCACAGGCTGGGTGTCAGCGGGCACAGGATGAGCCAGAGCTGCTCCGCAGGGACCCCCCAGAGCCTCCCATGTGTGTATTCTGGGGCCCACCATGGCAGGCTGCCTCAATCCTGCCCCTTTCCAACTCTGAACTCTGAGCAGCTAAGAGCTCGCCAGGCTGCACCACACCGTGAGCTCAGGCCAGAGGGGAAACCCCACAGCAGGCCCAGCCCACACCATGCACAACGTCCTCAACGTGGGTGACAGCCAGGACCAGCCTCACTAAAACTCCACACCTGGATTTCCCCAGGACTGTCTCTCTTCTACCTGCCCTGGAGGTGAGTCCCAACCCCGTCTCCTTTCCCTCAGCCAGCCGGTGAGGAGTTGCGTGAACGCCGGCTTCCCTGATATTTTGTGGCTGATTCCCAGGGGAACTCCCTGGTGCAGAAAAGTGAGGCTCAGAGAAGTGGAGGGGCTCGGGCTTCTCACCAGTCCTTGCTGGATGAGCAACTACTCCCAAGCCAGTGACTTAAAAGAGCCGTGACGTGAGCTCTCACAGCTCTGCAAGCCAGGATTCGGGGCAGAGCTTAGCTGGGTACATCTTCTGCCCGTGGGTGACCGGCCAGGCTCCGCCATGCGGCTGCCATCCACCAGAAGCTGGGCTCAGCCGGTCGGTCCAAGTAGCCTTGCCCTCCGAATCTGGCACTCTGGTGCCCTTTCTAGGAACTCTCTCCACACGGCTAGCTTGGGCTTCCTCACAGCATGGCATTCTCATGACAGTGAGAGCCGTACGTGGCTTTTCATGGGGAAAAAAAACTAAGGCTTCTTAACGGTCAGCTTTGAAGTCCCAGAGCAACATCCCACTGCATTTTATTGGTCAAAATGCACCCAGATTTCAGGGGAGGGGAAATAGATCCATCCTCCTGGCATGAACAGAGGTGAAGCTTCCTTGCAAAGGGAGCACGGAGTGGGGAAAAGACTGTTACCGCGTCCCTGTAAGTGGCATGCACGGGTGCCGCAGAGGCAGCTGCGGCTGGGTCAGTGCACCGACGTCAAGGAAATGGCAGCAGACAGAGTCATGGGTCAAACCGTCAGCCTCGTGACATCTCGCTCCATTCCTTCTTGGGCTGAACATCTTATTTTGCTCCATTTTGTGATCCCTGAGATGAAGTGGCTCTGTCAGGATTCAATCAGAGAAGCACCACCTCCTCACGGTCAAAGGGCAGGGGCTTTGTTGGAAGGGATCGGACCTTCTGCCAAGATGGAGCTCCAGGCTGTCTGTGAGACGCTACTGCCCGGCTCTGGGGCTGGGCCTGAAGCCAGCAGGACAGGTGGTCAGGAAAGAAGATGGGCAAGAAGTGGGAAGGGGCAAGGGCCACCTGGACTTCACGAGGCCACACGTGAACCCACGTGGACAGTCCAGTGCCCTACATCTGTCTCTTACCACTTTATGCTGCACTGAATAATGTTCCCTGGAAATTCATGTCCACCCAGGACCTGTGAGTGTCCCCGGAAATTCATGTCCACCCAGGACCTGTGAGTGTCCCCGGAAATTCATGTCCACCCAGGACCTGTGAGTGGGGTCTTCTGTGGACAAGGGCTTTTGTGGGTGCAACCAAATAAAGACAAAGTCACACTGAATTGAGGCGGGGGGAAGCATCCATTCAATGAGTGTCGTCCTTGTAACAAGAGGGAAATTTGCACACAGAGACAGACACACAGTGGAGGAGGCCGTGTGAAGACAGAGGCAGAGACTGGAGCAACGCAGCCACACACCACAGGACACCTGGAGCCCCCAGAAGCCAGAAGGGGCAAGGAGGGGCCACGCTAGGGCCTTGCGAAAGAGGGCGGCCCTGCCCTCCCCTGGGTGGTGAACCTCTGGGCTCCAGAGCTGTGAGAGAGTCCATTCCTATGGCTAAAGCCACCCAGTCTGTGATCACTGTCACAGCAGCCCCAGGAATCAAACCCCTCCAATCCCAAAACACAGGGGACATCCGGAGGAGCAAGCACCCCTCACCAGGGGGCCACAGACACCCATGGCCCAGGACCCAGAGGAGCTGCAGGCTTAGGGCCCAGGGCCAGCAGGCTGAGCCAGGGACGGTGACACCAGGCATGCGCAGCAGCAGCACCCAGGCAGCACCCCAGCAGATGCCAATGTGGTGGCCGCTTCCACCCACTGGTCACGTTGCAGCCGGGTGAGTCTGCCAGGGCTGCCGCAACAAACCGCCATGGACCGGGAGGCTTAAATGAGGGAAATATATCCTCTCCCAGTCCTGGAGGCTGGAGTCCAAGATCAGGGCTGCTGCAGAGCTGGGTCCTCCAAGGCCTCTCTCCTTGGCTTATAGATCCTGCCTTCTCCACATGTCCTCACGGGGTCATCCCTCCGTGTGTGTCTGTGTCCTCCTCTCCTCTTCCTATAAGGACACAGTCCTATGAGACTGTGCTCACCCCTGCTCACATCAGGAGAACGGTCCTGTGTCTCCTCTCGGGACCTCATCTTCATGCCTCCCCCTTGGTTACCCCACGGTCAGGACTCAGCCACCAGCGTGAGCCCACACACCGGCTCTGGAGTGGTGGGCACAGGTGAGAGGGAGGTACAGCTGCCACAGCCAGGAAACCCCAGGACGATCCTGAATGGGCCCAGAGCTGGCTTTTCTCTGTCACGGAGAGAGACATGAGAGGGTCATGAGTGTGAAGATCGCCAGCTCCCAGGGTCAGGGCCCAGCCTCCTTCCATCTCACTGCTCTGGACTCCTCAGTTCCTCATGGAGTCTGTTTAGTGCCTCTCCAGAAAAGACAAGTTGAAGCCCTGACCACCAGCATCTCAGAGCACGAACTCATTTGGAAATAGGGTCATTATAGACGCAATCGATCAGGTCAGACTGCAGTAGGGCAGGCCCTGAATCAAACATCATGGTGTCCTCACAGGTAGAGGAGAGGCACGAGAGAGCAACGCTGCGTGAAGGCGCAGGATGAGAGCATCCTGGAAGATGGGCACGGCTGGGGTGACAGGTCTGGGAGCCTGGGAACACTGGGAAAGTCGGCCAGCACTGGAGCCTCCCTTAGAGCTCGAAGAAGGAGCCAGCCCTGACCACCCCGACTCTGACCTTCTAGCATCGAAACAGGGAGAGACGCATTCCACGTGGTTGTTCCAATCAGCCCAGTTTCTGGGGCTTCCTTATGGCAGCCTCAGGGAACTGGCAAAGCCCAAGTGGGCTATCCCATTACTTATATCTGGGTAGGTCCCAGCCACAGGGGAGAGAGAAGAGAAAGCCCCTCTATCTAATGACACGCTGTACTCATGTCCCACCCGCATGATGTGCCGTACCCGTGTCCCTATCCAGGTGACGTGCCGTACCCGTGTCCCACCCGGGTGACGTGCCGTACCCGTGTCCCACCCGGGTGACGTGCCGTACCCGTGTCCCACCCGGGTGACGTGCCGTACCCGTGTCCCACCCGGGTGACGTGCCGTACCCGTGTCCCACCCGGGTGACGTGCCGTACCCGTGTCCCACCCGGGTGACGTGCCGTACCCGTGTCCCACCCGGGTGACGTGCCGTACCCGTGTCCCTATCCAGGTGACGTGCCGTACCCGTGTCCCACCCAGGTGATGTGCTATGCCCATGTCCCACCCAGGTGACACGCTATACCTGTGTCCCTATCCAGGTGACACGCTGTGCCATGTCCCTATCCGGGTGACACTGTGCCATATCCCTATCCAGGTGACACACAGTGCTCATGTGTCTATCTAGATGACAGCACCGTGCCCACATCTTTATCCCGGTGACAGCACTGTGCCCACGTCCTGTCTTGGTGACATCACTGTGGTTATATACCTGTCCATGTGACATCACTGTGCCCACATCTGCCTCCAGGTGACAGCGCTGTGCCCACATCCCCACCCAAGTGCTCTGGGCACCTTGGCTGGGGCTCTGGCCACTTTCATGTTGGTGCCACCCTGTGTGTGGATCATAGCACCCAGGCACTCACCATTACCGTGGCCAGCACAGACCAGACCCGACCCCAGTAGTCCTCAAAACTAGGTCCCCTGCTGGGTGCGGTGGCTCACGCCTGTAATCCCAGCACTTTGGGAGGCTGAGGCGGGCGGATCACAAGATGAGGAGATCGAGACCAACCTGGCTAACACGGTGAAACCCCATCTCTACTAAAAATACAAAAAATTAGCCGGGTGAGGTGGTGGGCGCCTGTAGTCCCACCTACTTGGGAGGCTGAGGCAGGAGAATGGTGTGAACCCGGGAGGCGGAGCCTGCAGTGAGCCGAGATCATGCCACTGCACTCCAGCCTAGGGGACAGAGCGAGACTCAAAAAACAAAAAAACAAACAAAAAAAAACTAGGTCCCCTGTGCTGTGCTGCTGTACCCCAGCAGTCGCTTCACTGGCAAGACTACTCTTAGCAGGTGCGCCTGGAAGCAGAAACTGGGCAGCTCCCGGTCTGTCCTATACACATGCAAATGCCCCATTAGAAAGCAAATAGCCCGAGGTGTTTGCCTGCTCCCAGGCAAAATCTCCCAAATCTTCCTCCGGGAATCAGTGAACAGAAGAGATGTCCATCACCCCCAGGAGAGTAGTGTCTGAACCCGTCTAACCGCCCAACAGGTTCTCCCTGCCGCCGGTCTGGACAGAGCTGCTTTATCACAACAGGTGACTTGCAATAAAGTTTAATTCACACAGAGTCGGCCGTGCAGGAGACCAGAGTTTTATTATTACTCAAATCAGTCTCCCAGGAAATTTGGGGATCAAAGTTTTTAAGGATCATTTGGTGGGTAGGGGGCGAGTCAATAGGGAGTGCTGATTGGTTGGGTCAGAGATGAAATCATGGAGAGTCAAAGCCATCTTTTTCTGCTGAGTCAGTTCCTGGGTGGGGGCCACAAGACTAGATGAGCCAGTTTATCAATCTGGGGGGTGCCAGCTGATCCACCCAGTACAGGGTCTGCGAAATATCTCAACCACTGATCTTAGGTTCTGCAACAGTGATGTAATCCTAGGAGCAATTTGAGGAGGTTAAAAATCTTTCAGCCTCCAGATGTGTGACTCCATGACTCCTAAACCATAATTTCTAATCTGTGGCTAATTTGTTAGTCCTGAAAGTCTAGTCCCCAGGCAGGAAGAGGGTCTGTCCTGGGAAAGGGCTGTTATTGTCTTTGTTTCAAAGATAAACTATAAACTAAGTTCTTCCCAAAGTTAGTCCAGCCTGCACCCAGAAATGAATAAGAAGGCAAGACAGAGTTGGTTACGTCAGATCTCTTTCATTGTCATAATTTTCTGTTATATATTTTTTTTTTTTTGAGACAGAGTTTCGCTCTTATCATCCAGGCTGGAGTCCAATGGCTCGATCTTGGCTCACTGCAACCTCCACCTCCGGAGTTCCAGTGATTCTCCTGCCTCAGCCTCCCAAGTAGCTGGGATTACAGGCGCCCACCACCATGCCCAGCTAATTTTTGTATTTTTAGTAGAGATGGGATTTCGTCAGGTTGGCCAGGTTGGTCTTGAACTCCTGACCTCAGGTGATCCACCCACCTCGGCCTCCCAAACTGCTGGGATTACAGGCATGAGCCACCACCGCCGGCCGATTTTCTGTAATAATTTTTGCAGAGGCGGTTTCACCAGGAGAACCAAGCATTAATGCGCTGTGGCTGATGTGTAGTAGAGCGGCATTTCCCAATGGGAGAACCCTGGGGCTGTCTAGGAGCCCATGCATGGCTGGGAGCCTAATCCCAGGGACACCACCGATGACAGCTCCCATAGCACGTAGGACAGTGGATACTTGGAGGCAAAGAGAAATCTCTGTTCTGCAGTGGTCATGACTTGGACCCCAAAGAACTTGAGCCCAAGGTCCAGAGGGAGACCCTCCCAACAGGGCCTCCAGCAGGAACAGGGATCGTGGGAGCCTGCCAAGCACAGCGCACAGGTATTTCTGGAGGCTTCCCATTCAGTCTTGGATGCCAGCCTCACCGAGGGCGGCCCATCTTGCTGACCTCACCAAGGGAGGCCCGTCTCACTGCCCTGATGGCGCAGAATCGGCTGTACGTGTGGAATCAGAAGTGGCCGCGCGGCGGCAGTGCAGGCTCACACATCACAGCCCGAGCACGCCTGGCTGGGGTTCACCCACAGAAACGTCCCAGGTCTCCCAGGCCAGGTGCCGCATTGGTTCCCGAGGGTTGTCAGAGATAGACACTCATGCGACTAACATCGGGCTATGTGTTTGATTCACCCCAGGGTGCATTGTTGAAGGTTGGGGAGATTGGAGGAGATGCTTGGGGGACAATGAGGTGTCCCAGTTCCTTGGATGATAGGGATCTCGGCCTAAGCGTGAGACCCCTCCTACAGGGTCTCTGGCAGGCACAGAGCCTGGGGGCTCTTGCATAGCACATGTGTATTTCTGGAGGCTTCCCCTTCGGTCTCACCGCCCCGATGGTGCAGAATCGGTTGTAGTTGTGGAATCGGAAGTGGCCGCGCGGCGGCAGTGCAGGCTCCCACATCACAGCTCAAGCCCGCCCCAGCTGAGGTTCACCCGCGGAAACGTCCCGGGTCACGCAAGCTAGGTGCCGCAAGGTTCACGGGGGTAGTGAGGGATAGAACACTCATGGGAGCCACATTGGGCTACGTGTCTGATTCACCCCAGGGTGCACTATTGAGGGTTGGGGAGATGAGATACTTTGGTGACAATGAGGTGTCCCCATTCTTTGGATGATGGGGATCTCGGCCTCAGCGTGAGGCCCCTCCCACAGGGTCTCTGGCAGGCACAGAAACTGGGGGCTCTTGCGTAGCACATGGGTATTTGTGGACGCTTCCCCTTCTGTCTCACCACCCGGATGGCACAGAATCGGTTGTAAGTGTGGACTCAAAAGTGGCCGCGCGGCGGCAGTGCAGGCTCACACATCACAGCCCAAGCCCTCCCTGGATGGGGTTCGCCCGCGGAAACGTCCTGGGTCACCCAAGCCAGGTGCCGCAGGGTTCTCGGAGGTCTTCTGGGAATAGGACGCTCATGGGAGCCACACCACGTCTTCGTATCGGGCCATATCCACGGCCGCGTGGCCCCAGGTCACACTCTGAGGGCTTCAGTGTCATGGCCTGGGACTCAAGTCACGCCTACCCGCGTGATGAGCACAGCAAATTCCGCCAAAAGCTTATACTTTCCACATCCATCCCAGAGCACAGATCCGACTAAGGACAGCCCCCAAATCCCGAGCCTTTTTCTGAACTGACAATTGCCTCCCCAGTGAACACTCTGAGCTTGTCAATCTTAAGTGGCCAGACATTAACATTCCCATTCAGTGCAGGTTTGAGATGCTAATTTAGGAGCTTGAGATGCTAAAGAGCTGGGAGTGCCACTGCTGCTTTATTCTGGGGTCTAGGATCCTTGTGTTGGCTGAGATAATCTGCTAATGTGGGTGCAGCAGACATCCCGCGGTTTGTGGAATCGATAAAGGATGGGGATCAATGGTGTTTGTGCACTGTGCGGTCTGTGCCCAATTGCCTGCCTTGTGCTGTGGAATCTGTACATCTGGCCAACATGTGCTTGTGTGAGCCTGACAGTGCATTTTCCAGAGCCTCACCTCGGCTCTGCCCTGGAGGCTCTGTGCTGCTGGAATCAGACTCAAGGACCTCATCAGAGGACCATGGCCCCGTATCACCTGGGTCAGGCACTGAAGCTGGGACAGGAGAGCAGAGACTTCCAAAATGAGGGATCCCTGTGTTCTGAGGTGATCATGACTGGGACCCAAGGACTCAAGCGCATGCTCCAGAGGGAATCGTTTCCCACAAGGCCTTTGGCAGGAACAGGGATCCTGGGAGCCTGCCAAGCAGAGCGCACAGTGTTCCTGGAGTCTCGCTGCCCAGATGCCACGGAATCAGTTGAAGGTATGGAAACACAGGTGGCCACGTGGTAGCAGGGCAGGCTCAGGCGTCATAGCCCGAGCCCGGCTACCTGTGGTTTGCCTGCAGAAACATCCCGGGTCAACAGGCCAGGCACCGCATTGGTTCGCGAGGGTCATCGGGGGTAGGACCCTTGTACGAGCCACATCGGGCTACGTGCCTGATTCACCCCAGGGTGCACTGTTGAAGGTTGGGGAGATGAGAGGAGATACTTGGGGGACAGTGAAGTGTCCCCATTCTTTGGATGATGGGGATCTCGGCCTCAGCGTGAGACCCCTCCCACAGGGTCTCTGGCAGGCTCAAGAGCCCAGGGGCTCTTGCATAGCACATGAATATTTCTGGAGGCTTCCCCTTCAGTCTCACCACCCGGATGGTGCAGAATTGGTTGTAGCTGTGGAATCGGAAGTGGCCGCGTGGCGGCAGTGCAGGCTCACACATCACAGCCCGAGCCCGCCCCAGCTGGGGTTCGCCCGCGGAAACGTCCCGGGTCCCGCAAGCCAGGCGCCGCAGGGTTCACGGGGGTCATCAGGGATAGGACATTCATGGGAGCCACATCGGGCTATGTGTCTGATTCACCCCAGGGTGCACTATTGAGGGTTGGGGAGATGAGAGGAGATACTTGGGGGACAATGAAGTGTCCCCATTCTTTGGATGATGGGGATCTTGGCCTCAGGGTGAGATCCTTCTTGCAGGGTCTCTGGCAGGCACAGAGCCCGGGGGCTCTTGCATAGCACATGTGTATTTCTGGAGGCTTCCCCTTCAGTCTCACCGCCCGGATGGCACAGAATTGGTTGTAGTTGTGGAATCGGAGGTGGCTGCGCGGCGGCAGTGCAGGCTCACACATCACAGCCTGAGCCCGCCCCAGCTGGGGTTCGCCCGTGGAAACATCCCAGGTCATCCAAGCCGGGCGCCACAGGGTTCACAGGGGTCGTGAGGTATAGGACACTCATGGGAGCCATATCGGGCTACGTGTCTGATTCACCCCAGGGTGCACTGTTGAAGGTTGGGGAGATGGGAGGAGATACTAGGGGAACAATGAGGTGTCCCAGTTCCATGGATGATGGGGATCTCGGCCCTAGTGTGAAACCCTTCTCGCAGGGTCTCTGGCAGGCACAGAGCCCGGGGGCTCTTGCATAGCACATGGGTATTTCTGGAGGCTTCTCCTTCGGTCTCACCGCCTGGATGGCACGGAATTGGTTGTAGTTGTGGAATCGGAAGTGGCCGCGCGGCGGCAGTGCAGGCTCACACATCACAGCCCGAGCCCGCCCCAACTGGGGTTCGCCCGTGGAAACGTCCCGGGTCACCCAAGCCACGCGTCGCAGGGTTCACGGGGGTCATCTGGGAATAGGACACTCATGGGAGCCGCACCAGATCTTCAGGTCGGGCATTATCCACAGCCCCGTGGCCCCGGGTCACACTCCGAGGGCTTCAGTGTCATGGCCTGGGACTCAAGTCACGCCTACTTATGTGATGATCACAGTGTGTTCCACCAAAATCTTACATTTTCCACATCTATCCCAGAGCACAGCTCCGACTCCGTCTAAGGACAGCCCCCAAATCCCCAGCCTTTTACTGAACTGACAATTGCCTCCCCAGTGAACACTCTGATCTCCTCAGCCCTAAGTGGCCAGACATTAACATTCTCATTCAATGCAGGTTTGAGGTGCTAATTCAGGAGCTTAAGATGCTAAAGAGCTGGGAGCGCCACTGCTGCTTTATTCTCTGGTCCAGGATCCTTGTGTTGCTGGAGATAATCCATTATCGTGGGTGCAGCAGACACCCTGCGGCTTGTGGACTCGGTACGGGGTGGGGATCCTGATGGGGTTAGGATGTTCGATGGCTCGGGTGTGCTCCACGCTCAGGGATCATCACGTCCGGCCGGCGGTAGTTGGCACGTGGAGAGGTGAATTTGCCCACAGGTGTTCCCCGTGCCTGCGCATTGCTGGCAGCACGACCGGATCCTGTGCTAGCCCCTCCCACAATGCCTGGAGCAGGAGCGAGGGGCCTGGGGAGCCGCCTTGCCTGGAGCATTTGTATTTCCGGAGTATTTCCTGAGTCTCCCCTTGGGTCTTGGGTGCTGTCCCCAGTGAGCCCATCTCCCAGCGATGGCACAGAATCGGTTGTGGCTGTGGAGACGGAAATGGCCGAGAGGCGGCAGTGGTGACTCACATCACAGTCTGAAGGTGACCCAAGGCTGGACTCCACTTTTAGCAAAATGTGGGGGTCTGCCTTGGTCTCCTAACTTGGGGGTCCACTCATGGAAAAGCCTGAGAATTTTCATGCCATGGAAATTCCCCCATGTCGTGGGGTTCACGCACGACAAAGCCCGGCGGTCAGTGCTCAGCAGGCAAGCACTCAGCCCTTTCCGGTGGGGCCATGGGAACAGAGGGTTTGCCGAAGGCGCGGCCAGCCCTTCCACATCCCAGAGGGCCTGCTGGGTGATTGGACCCGTGAACTCTGGGTCCCTTGGCCCTGGTGCTCCCCTTCACGGCTTTGACACTCGAGACTTGAGGTGAACCCCAGGGACTGCAGGGCCCCAACAACCCTCACCAAAGGCCAAGGTGGTGACCGACGGACCCACAGCGGGGTGGCTGGGGGAGTCGAAACTCGCCAGTCTCCACTCCACTCCCAACCGTGGTGCCCCACGCGGGCCTGGGAGAGTCTGTGAGGCCGCCCACCGCTTGTCAGTAGAGTGCGCCCGCGAGCCGTAAGCACAGCCCGGCAACATGCGGTCTTCAGACAGGAAAGTGGCCGCGAATGGGACCGGGGTGCCCAGCGGCTGTGGGGACTCTGTCCTGCGGAAACCGCGGTGACCAGCACAAGCTCGGTCAACTGGATGGGAATCGGCCTGGGGGGCTGGCACCGCGCCCACCAGGGGGTTTGCGGCACTTCCCTCTGCCCCTCAGCACCCCACCCCTACTCTCCAGGAACGTGAGGTCTGAGCCGTGATGGTGGCAGGAAGGGGCCCTCTGTGCCATCCGAGTCCCCAGGGACCCGCAGCTGGCCCCCAGCCATGTGCAAAGTATGTGCAGGGCGCTGGCAGGCAGGGAGCAGCAGGCATGGTGTCCCCTGAGGGGAGACAGTGGTCTGGGAGGGAGAAGTCCTGGACCCTGAGGGAGGTGATGGGGCAATGCTCAGCCCTGTCTCCGGATGCCAAAGGAGGGGTGCGGGGAGGCCGTCTTTGGAGAATTCCAGGATGGGTGCTGGGTGAGAGAGACGTGTGCTGGAACTGTCCAGGGCGGAGGTGGGCCCTGCGGGGGCCCTCGGGAGGGCCCTGCTCTGATTGGCCGGCAGGGCAGGGGCGGGAATTCTGGGCGGGGCCACCCCAGTTAGAAAAAGCCCGGGCTAGGACCGAGGAGCAGGGTGAGGGAGGGGGTGGGATGGGTGGGGGGTAACGGGGGAAACTGGGGAAGTGGGGAACCGAGGGGCAACCAGGGGAAGATGGGGTGCTGGAGGAGAGCTTGTGGGAGCCAAGGAGCACCTTGGACATCTGGAGTCTGGCAGGAGTGATGACGGGTGGAGGGGCTAGCTCGAGGCAGGGCTGGTGGGGCCTGAGGCCAGTGAGGAGTGTGGAGTAGGCGCCCAGGCATCGTGCAGACAGGGCGACATCAGCTGGGGACGATGGGCCTGAGCTAGGGCTGGAAAGAAGGGGGAGCCAGGCATTCATCCCGGTCACTTTTGGTTACAGGACGTGGCAGCTGGTTGGACGAGGGGAGCTGGTGGGCAGGGTTTGATCCCAGGGCCTGGGCAACGGAGGTGTAGCTGGCAGCAGCGGGCAGGTGAGGACCCCATCTGCCGGGCAGGTGAGTCCCTTCCCTCCCCAGGCCTCGCTTCCCCAGCCTTCTGAAAGAAGGAGGTTTAGGGGATCGAGGGCTGGCGGGGAGAAGCAGACACCCTCCCAGCAGAGGGGCAGGATGGGGGCAGGAGAGTTAGCAAAGGTGACATCTTCTCGGGGGGAGCCGAGACTGCGCAAGGCTGGGGGGTTATGGGCCCGTTCCAGGCAGAAAGAGCAAGAGGGCAGGGAGGGAGCACAGGGGTGGCCAGCGTAGGGTCCAGCACGTGGGGTGGTACCCCAGGCCTGGGTCAGACAGGGACATGGCAGGGGACACAGGACAGAGGGGTCCCCAGCTGCCACCTCACCCACCGCAATTCATTTAGTAGCAGGCACAGGGGCAGCTCCGGCACGGCTTTCTCAGGCCTATGCCGGAGCCTCGAGGGCTGGAGAGCGGGAAGACAGGCAGTGCTCGGGGAGTTGCAGCAGGACGTCACCAGGAGGGCGAAGCGGCCACGGGAGGGGGGCCCCGGGACATTGCGCAGCAAGGAGGCTGCAGGGGCTCGGCCTGCGGGCGCCGGTCCCACGAGGCACTGCGGCCCAGGGTCTGGTGCGGAGAGGGCCCACAGTGGACTTGGTGACGCTGTATGCCCTCACCGCTCAGCCCCTGGGGCTGGCTTGGCAGACAGTACAGCATCCAGGGGAGTCAAGGGCATGGGGCGAGACCAGACTAGGCGAGGCGGGCGGGGCGGAGTGAATGAGCTCTCAGGAGGGAGGATGGTGCAGGCAGGGGTGAGGAGCGCAGCGGGCGGCGAGCGGGAGGCACTGGCCTCCAGAGCCCGTGGCCAAGGCGGGCCTCGCGGGCGGCGACGGAGCCGGGATCGGTGCCTCAGCGTTCGGGCTGGAGACGAGGGTGAGTTTTTCCCCCTCTGCCACCCTCAGCCCCCACCCGCCCCTCCCCACACAACCAACACGTTCTCCCCACACGACTCTCTCGTTCTCCCCACAGCCAGGTCTCCAGCTGGGGTGGACGTGCCCACCAGCTGCCGAAGGCCAAGACGCCAGGTCCGGTGGACGTGACAAGCAGGACATGACATGGTCCGGTGTGACGGCGAGGACAGAGGAGGCGCGTCCGGCCTTCCTGGTGAGCGTGTCTGCCCTCCCTGCGTCAGGACGCGGCCCTGCCCAGACCGCCCCGCCGGGCCACCATCTCACTGCCCCGACCTCTGTCTTCTACAGAACACCTTAGGCTGGTGGGGCTGCGGCAAGAAGCGGGTCTGTTTCTTTACTTCCTCCACGGAGTCGGCACACTATGGCTGCCCTCTGGGCTCCCAGAACCCACAACATGAAAGGTGAGGGGCTTCCTGCCACACTTGGGGTGGGGGGCACGCGAGAGGAGCTGAGTGGGACCTCACTCCTTCCCCATCCACAGAAATGGTGCTACCCAGCTCAAGCCTGGGCCTTTGAATCCGGACACAAAACCCTCTAGCTTGGAAATGAATATGCTGCACTTTACAACCACTGCACTACCTGACTCAGGAATCGGCTCTGGAAGGTGAGCACCAGCGCTCCTTCCGGAAGCCTCCAGGCCCCCGAGCACCCTGCCCCCATCCCACCCACGTGTCGCTATCTCTAGGTGAAGCTAGAGGAACCAGACCTCATCAGCCCAACATCAAAGACACCATCGGAACAGCAGCGCCCGCAGCACCCACCCCGCACCGGCGACTCCATCTTCATGGCCACCCCCTGCGGCGGACGGTTGACCACCAGCCACCACATCATCCCAGAGCTGAGCTCCTCCAGCGGGATGACGCCGTCCCCACCACCTCCCTCTTCTTCTTTTTCATCCTTCTGTCTCTTTGTTTCTGAGCTTTCCTGTCTTTCCTTTTTTCTGAGAGATTCAAAGCCTCCACGACTCTGTTTCCCCCGTCCCTTCTGAATTTAATTTGCACTAAGTCATTTGCACTGGTTGGAGTTGTGGAGACGGCCTTGAGTCTCAGTACGAGTGTGCGTGAGTGTGAGCCACCTTGGCAAGTGCCTGTGCAGGGCCCGGCCGCCCTCCATCTGGGCCGGGTGACTGGGCGCCGGCTGTGTGCCCGAGGCCTCACCCTGCCCTCGCCTAGTCTGGAAGCTCCGACCGACATCACGGAGCAGCCTTCAAGCATTCCATTACGCCCCATCTCGCTCTGTGCCCCTCCCCACCAGGGCTTCAGCAGGAGCCCTGGACTCATCATCAATAAACACTGTTACAGCAATTTGTCTCGAGGACTCTGGAATCCGGGCTGTGGGCATGATGTGGGGGAGGCCAGCCTTGGGCAGAGGGGGGCTGGGGGGCATGGGGAGGAGTACATGAAAAGGGGGATGGGGGTTCCAGGGTGGGGGATTCTGGGATGGGTGCAGCGCAGCACACACCAGGGGTGGGGTGAGCACAGGGTGTGTGGACCTCAGGGGTGCAGGGCAGGCGGTCAGCATGCAGTGATGGCAGTGGAGGGGCTGTGGGACCAGGGGCTTCACAGACTGGGCGGGGGCTGGGCTTGCGGAGGGGGCCTGCGCTCTGAGGCAGGGGTCGGGGACCACCAAACCATCCCCGAGCGAGTGCCTCCTGTCGCCCCAAAGTCCCATCAGAATGACGCCTTGGTGCTGGCCCCAGACCCCTGAAGCCCGGGCTAGGTGACTGGGGTAGAGCTGGCCATGGCCGCTCTGGGAGGCCCACAAGGTGCTCTGGGCGACCCCACCCCGACAGGGGCACGAACCCCGCGCCAGTCCCGTTCCTGCTCCCCTTTTGCTGTGGGTGGGAGCCGGGGCCACGCCGGAGGGACGGCCCCGCACAAGGAGCCAGGGGGTTGTGGGGGAGCCGGTGGGCTTCTCAGTGGGCAGGTGGCCTTGGGGCAGAGGTCCTAAGGAGGCCAGGGGACCAGGAGGAGGGAGGAAGAAGTTGAGGGTGGCCACAGGGAGGAGGTGAGGAGGAGCGGGAGGGCCCAGGGTGAGGGGCTCCCGGGCTCCCTCCCCGGGGTCTTGCTGCTGGAGCTCCAAGAACCCCGGTATGCAGGGGTTCGCTCCCCAGGTGCCAAGGCAGCCCACTCATGGGTTCCGGGTCAGCTTCCCCGCAGAGGCCAGTGGCCGGCAGCTCCCTCAGCCAGGCCTCCCAGCTCCCGGCCCCTCGCTGTGCAGGCGCTGGGAACACAAGGGGCAGCCCCTGGAAATAAGGGTGGGGTCCCGGCCTCCCCATTCCTTCCCCCCTCCCCCCTGCCTTCCACCCCCATTCCCAGTGCACAGAGCTGTCAGGAAAATTCCTCCCCGACTGACAAAGAACAGACAGGAAGGCGGTTAGGGACGCCCCTCCCCTACCGGCCCAGCCGCCCTTGGGGTCTTGGTGTCCAGGGCGGAAGAGCAGGGTGGTTCCCCACGTCCCTTGGGTCTGGCCTCCCCTCTGCACCCTCTCTTGCCCCCTCCCCATCCAGCTGTGGGCCCTGGGGACTGTCAGAGACCGAGGGGTTTCCAGGGACACACTTGTGTGCTAAAACCTGGGCGGGTGGTCACCCCCCAGGATGCATGTAGACATCCGGTGAGGGAGTCTCTTGAAGTCTCTGGGATGGTGCCCCTGGGACTGGCTGCCATCTCATGGAGGAGGTCAGAGGTCGCTGGGGCCAGCCCAGGGTGAGGCCGCATTCATCTTCCTGACCCTACAGGCCAATTTGACTTACCCAAGTGGGTTTTGGCCGGCAGGATGAAGTAACCCATCCATTACATGTCAAGAGTTAGGTCTATAAACGGCCTTTATTATAAACATCCAACTCTGCAGGAGGTTTACAAAGCAGGGCTCAGGAGATAAAAGCCGGCTTCCCCAGGTGGCGGCTGCAGGGTGCGGCAGGCAGCCCCAGGGGTGCCCAGGGTGGCGGGGCAGGGGAACCGTAGGGAGGGGGAGAGGGGCACCCAGAAAACCTCTCCTGGAGAACATGGAAGACTCTGCCCACTTCAAATCCCTGCCTGGGGAAGGACACATGGGAATGGGGCCGGGGGAAAAGGCGGGCCACCTCGGGCCTTCGTCACCTGTGTCAGCTCCTAGGGATTGTCTCCTCCTGGTCACTTGGAGAGAACAGGCGTGCTGGACACGTCCACATCTCTGGGCCCGGGGTGTATGAATGACACGCTTGCTCTGGAGTTTCCACCTGGGAGCTGTATGGGGACAGGGCTGTTCCTCCTCACACCCGCTGGGGAAGGGACACAGGCCTCTTGGTGGCCCCCACCATCTCCCAGCACTGCCCATGGCTGTGCCCACGCTGGCTGCCCCCTGAGAGCAGGACGTGTACTCAGGGGCAGCGCCTACCTCTGGGCAGCCCAGGTTTCTCTGCTCCCTGCAGCGGAACGGGCTTCCTAGGGCAGTTCCTGGGGTGGTGTCCCTAGGGCAGCCCCTGAGTGCTGGAGGGGGTCTGGGCCACAGGCCCTGAAACAGGGAGGTGGTGGGGGCAGCGTTCAGGGGGCTGAACCTCAGGGTGAGGCGGGCAGGCGGGGAGCCACAGGCCCGGGGGCCCCGCAGCAGGTGCTCAGCCTCGGAGCCTCCTGCCGCACCCCGGGGCGGGGGCTGGGAGCCCGCCCGAGCCCCTAGCTCTGAGCGACCTGCCAGGTTGGAATGTGTGTTTATCTTTGGCCCAACCCGATTTCCTGCTTTTTAGAAAAGGGGCTTAGAGAGGGTTGTTAGACAGGCTCCAGGCACCCCAACACCCAAAGGCACTTTGAAAACGCCCCTGCACTGACTTCAGTGCGGAGAAGCAAACGGGCTGGAATTTCACTCCCAAACCCCAACATGGGGGTGGCGGGGCCGGGGTGAGGGTTGTGGCTGCCTGCAAAGGTGCCAGGAAATCTGGGGAGGGAGGAACTTCCACCGTTCAGGGAGACCCTGAGGGTGCCCTGGCTTCTGGCCACGTCCCAGACCCTGTTAGGCACCGAGGTCTTCACACCCAGACCCTCCACCCACCCAAGTTTCTGCGGCACGTTTAGGTTGAGTGAAGACCAAGTCATCCAGTTAGAGAAGAGGACTTGAGGCGCGTGCTGCTGCTGTGGCCACGCTGGACCCTCGGTGCACGCATCTCCTGGCGAGTCCCCTGTGGCTCTGTGGGCCGTACACACCCGGGGCACGCGACCTCAGCTACCTTGTCACCGAGGACGTGCATCCACAGCTGTGCGTCTGTGCCTGGGAGCGGGGTCTCCACTTGGTGGGTCTCTGCATGCTGACCAGTTAACCCGCCTTTCCGGGCTGTGGAGGGCGTGGGTCCTGTCCGGCCCGGAGATGCTCCGCGGGGTGTGTGTGTGATCGTGGCCCTGTAGCGGGGTGGTGTTCCCTGGAGGGTGGACCCCTGAGCCTGGCTGTGTGTGGCTGTGTCTCAGCATGAATTCCGTGACCCAGGAGCACGTTTTCAGGCAGGGATTAGGGGCAGCTGGGTGTGGGAGGCAGGCACTTGGTATACCACCGAATGGAGACAGAAAATCCCAACTCTACGAAGGAAGTGAAGTCCCTTCAACAGGGACAAAGCGATGTTTTGGGTCTGACTACAATGCACCCTGGGAAGTCTCAAAGAAAACAGTCGGGGACTCAAGGAGGGCAGCCCCCTCTCCCCGACCCCGAGCTCCCAGGAAGATAAATGATTTCCTCCTCTCTAGAGATGGGGGTGGGATCTGAGCACTCAGAGCCAAGGGCGCAGTGGGTCCGGGCGGGGGCCCTCCTCGGCCCTCCCAACATGGGGGCCAGGAGGTCAGCCCCTCAACCTGGACCCCGGCTGGGTCTCAGGGAATGGTCTCCCCCAGTGGCCCAGCTTGCTTGTGTTTTCAGATGGGTGTGCACGGGTGTGTGTGTGTGTGTGTGTGTGTGTGTGTGTGTGTGTGATGCCTGACAAGCCCCAGAGAGCCAAAGACCTGAGTGGAGATCTTGTGACTTCTCAAAAGGGGGATTGGAAGGTTCGAGAAGGAGCTGTGGTCAGCCTTGCTCTCCCTTAAGGCTGTGGTAACCACACTAGGCATAGCATAGGCCTGCGCCCCGTCCCTCCTTCCCTCCTCCGCGCCTCTCCTTTCTCTTTCTCCCCCCTCTACCCCGCTCCCTGGCCTGCTCCTGGTGACACCGTTGGCCCCCTTCCAGGGCTGAGGGAAGCCAGCGGGGGCCCCTTCCTGGAAGCCCACCTGCAGGCCGGCTTGCTGGGAAGGGGCTGCTCTCGCAGAGGCTCCCGCCCGCCCTGCAGCCGTTTCCTGGAAGCAGTCGCTGTGGGTATTCTGTTCCTTGTCAGCACTGTGCTTGCAAAGAAAGCAGACACTGTGCTCCTTGTCCTTAGGGAGCCCCGCTCCATCACCCAACACCTGGCTGGACACAGGCGGGAGGCCGGGTCCGCGGGGAGCGGCGCGGGGCTGGGGCCGGACCAGTAAACACACACGGGCGCCAGGCACTGCAGGCTCCTCCTCCTCCTCCTGCCCAGCGCCTCTGCTCACAGGCACGTGCCAAGCCCCTAGGCCAGGAGGCCCAGCAGTGGGTGCAGAGCAAGCTCCTGGGAAGGGGGTGCAGGGCGGACCCCCGGGGAGAAGGGCTGGCAGGGCTGTGGGGGACGCTGACCGTGGGCCCCACGTTGCAGAAAACTGGCTGCCTGGCTGGAAGATGGGGGAGATGCCAAGCCTCTGAGGCAGCACGAGCAGGGTGCATGGAGGCCGGGGCGCGGGGAGGCTGCACTGCAGCATGCACCCCAAAGCCCAGAGGGAGTGGAGACCAGGCCCTGGAATCGAGAAGTAGAAAGGCGGCTTGGAGGCCTCGGAACCGGCTGACCTCCAACAGAGTGGGGCCGGCCCTGGAGGCAAAGAGGTGCCCGGGGTCCGGCCCTGCCTGGGGGAGCTATGTGTCATGGGCAGCCACAGGATATGTAGCCAGCTCTGAGCATATGGACCCAGGGCAGGGCTGCAAGGCAGGGCAGGGGAGACAGACGGGGGAGCAAGGAGCAGAGAGGGGGCCTCAGGCTCTCCCAGGAGGAACATTCTCCCGACAGGAGGAAGAGACGGCCCAGGGGTGACTGTGGGGAGCCATGGTGGCAGCTGGGGTCGTGGCAGATGGGAGAGAGGCTGGCGAGGTGAAGGTGCAGGGGTCAGGGCTCTGGGGCCCACATGCCTGTGGGAGCGGGCAGGCCCAGGGCTCTCCGCCACTCCCCACTCCCGCTTGGCTCATAGGCTGGGCCCAAGGGTGGGGTGGGATGAGCAGGAGATGGGGCCCAGGGGGCAAGCAGGGCCCCAAAGACATTTAGAAAAACCGGTTTATGCAGGCAGCATTCAGAGCAGGCGGCGTGCGTGGCGGGGGCCCTGGGAGCACAGAGAGGCACACGTAGGGCCCCCGAGGGTCTCCCCATTGGCCGGCAGTGACATCACCCCTGTGTCAACAGTGATGTCTGCAGCTCCGGCCAGCCAGGGTTTATGGAGCGAGACCCAGCCCGGCCTGGGCCCTCACTCCCCAGGCCCACACACTAGCCCACTGTTCAGGGTCCGGGGTGGCAGCATGGCCTGGGGGTCCTGGCACCGCTGCTCCTCTGCCCACCCTAACTTCCCGGCATGGCGGCTGCCCCCTCTGAGCGTCCCCAACCAGTAAGTGTGGGGCCAGCAGGCCTGCCGTCCTCCTCCTCTTCCCTCTAGAGAGAAACGTGGAGGTCCTGGGGCTGGGGGCGCTCATAGCCCTGTGACACAGGTGCATGGGGTCAGGGGTCCCAGAATGGCCCCTGGGAAGGACCTCAGCTGGGCCGGCGGCTCTAGGCTTCAGGGGTCTGTCTGCACAGGGGCTAGCCCCTCCCAGACCTCTGTGAAGCCAGTACGGGCCTCCCCTCCCTGCCCCGTGCTCTGTCCGGTGCTTCCTGGACTGCACTGCGGGCCACTGGTGAGAGGGTGGACAGGGAAGGGCCGCCGTGGTGCCTGTTCCTGCCCACCTGGCTGTGTGGTCCCCTCCAAGTAGGGACAACCCTTCTGAGGGCTTGGGGGCACCCTGGGGTTGCCAGGGCCTCCCAGAGCCCTGTGAGCCCCTGGGGGGTCTGGCCTGATGCCCCCCTCCACGTCCAGGGCCGGCTGTGGCCCAGAACCCCAGCTTCCCAGCAGGCCGGTGTGCGGTGGTGACCCAGGAGAGGCCTCACCTCCACTGAGGGGCCACCGACCTCTGCCAGGCCACAGAGACCCCCAAGGAGTCTGAAGGCTGGAGACCCGGGGCTGGGACCAGGTGGGACTTTCCCACGGAGCCGCCCCCAGGCCCAGCTGGGGACACGTCCCCCTTCTCTCCAGACACACCCTGCCTGCCACCACGACACACCGGCCTGTTGGGGGTCTCTTTTAAGTGCTTGCCACTCTGAGGTGACTGTCCCTTTCCAAAGAGGTTTCTGGGGCCCAGGTGGGATGCGTCGGCCTGAGCAGGAGGATCTGGGCCGCCAGGGGCTGGGGACTGTCTCCTGGGGAAGGAAGCGCCTGGGAGCGTGTGTGCTGACCCAGGACCATCCAGGGAGGCCCGTCTGTGGGGCAAGCGGGAAGGGAGCGGCTGGAGAGGCTTGGCCGCCCCCGCCCTGCCTCCCATTCCTTAGCTCCATGCCTGTCAACCTCTGTCACCCAGTGAGTGATGTCCAGGGGCCCTGGAAAGGTCACAGCATGTTTGAGCGGGGTGAGAGAGAGGGGAAAGGCGGGGGCGGGGAAAAGTACGTGGAGGAAGCTCTAGGCCCAAGGAAGGAGAAAGGGTTCTGGGAGGGAGGGAGCCACTGGGGCCGCCGGGAAGGTCCCTGCCTGCTGCTGCCACCCAGAACCCTCGCCTCTTAGCTAGCCCCCGCAGCCCCAGCCTTTCTGGCCTGTGCCCCTCTCCCCCATCCCCAGCTGTCCTGTGCAACCAGGCCTTGGACCCAAACCCTCCTGCCCCCTCCTCTCCCTCCTCACCCTCCCAATGCAGTGGTCTCCAGCCTGGCTCTGCCCTGCCGCAGGTCCCCTCCCCTCATTCCAGGCCTAGAGCCTCCAGTCCCGGTGGCCCCCAGCCCGAGGGTGAACGGCCTCACCCTGGGTCGTGGGACAGAGGGCACGTTCATCAAGAGTGGCTCCCAAGGGACACGTGGCTGTTTGCAGTTCACAGGAAGCATTCGAGATAAGGAGCTTGTTTTCCCAGTGGGCACGGAGCCAGCAGGGGGGCTGTGGGGCAGCCCAGGGTCAAGGCCAGGCTGTGGGGCTGCAGCTGCCTTGGGCCCCACTCCCAGGCCTTTGCGGGAGGTGGGAGGCGGGAGGCGGCAGCTGCACAGTGGCCCCAGGCGAGGCTCTCAGCCCCAGTCGCTCTCCGGGTGGGCAGCCCAAGAGGGTCTGGCTGAGCCTCCCACATCTGGGACTCCATCACCCAACAACTTAATTAAGGCTGAATTTCACGTGTCCTGTGACTTGGGTAGACAAAGCCCCTGTCCAAAGGGGCAGCCAGCCTAAGGCAGTGGGGACGGCGTGGGTGGCGGGCGACGGGGGAGATGGACAACAGGACCGAGGGTGTGCGGGCGATGGGGGAGATGGACAACAGGACCGAGGGTGTGCGGGCGATGGGGGAGATGGACAACAGGACCGAGGGTGTGCGGGACACGCATGTCACTCATGCACGCCAATGGGGGGCGTGGGAGGCTGGGGAGCAGACAGACTGGGCTGGGCTGGGCGGGAAGGACGGGCAGATGGGATCCCAAGGACATGGAATTTCGGACCTTCTGTCCCCGCCCTCTCTGCTGAGCCTAGGAACCTCTGAGCAGCAGGAAGGCCTTGGGTCTAGAGCCTAGAAATGGACCCCCACGTCCACCTGCCCAGCCTAGACCCCCAGCATTGAAGGGTGGTCAGACTTCCTGTGAGAGGAAGCCACTAAGCGGGATGGACACCATCGCCCACTCCACCCGGCCCTGCCCAGCCCTGCCCAGTCCAGCCCAGTCCAGCCCAGCCCTGCCCTTCCCAGCCCTGCCCAGCCCAGCTCATCCCTGCCCTACCCAGCCCAGCCCTGTCCTGCCCTGCCCAGCCCAGCCCAGCCCAGCCCTGCCCTGCCCTGCCCTGCCCTTCCCAGCCCTGACCTTCCCAGCCCTGCCCAGCCCAGCTCATCCCTGCCCTACCCAGCTCAGCCCTGCCCTGCCCTGCCCAGCCCTGCCCAGCCCAGCCCTGCCCTGCCCTGCCCAGCTCAGCCCTGCCCACCCCAGCCCAGCCCAGCCCAGCATGCCTTCTCTGGCTGGAGAGCACAGGCTTGACCTTAGAAAGAGGCTGGCAACGAGGGCTGAGGCCACCAGGCCACTGGGTGCTCACGGGTCAGACAAGCCCAGAGCCTGCTCCCCTGCCACGGGTCGGGGCTGTCACCGCCAGCATGCTGTGGATGTGCATGGCCTCAGGGCTGCTGGCTCCAGGCTGCCCCCGCCCTGGCTCCCGAGGCCACCCCTCTTATGCCATGAACCCTGTGCCACACCCACCTCTGAGCTGTCCCCGCTCCTGCCGCCTGCACCCCCTGAGCAGCCCCCTGTGTGTTTCATGGGAGTCTTAGCAAGGAAGGGGAGCTCTTCAATCTTGCCAGTCAGGGTGCTGTCTGCTGAGTAAGTGTCCCCGTGCTGTGCCCCAATGTCCCCATCCTTTGGCAAACAGCCATCAGCCTGTGGATCCTGCACTCCCATGCGGTGGGAGAGGGAGACCTGGGCTCACCTGAGCCTCCCCACAAGCCAGGGAGAGGGGCTGCCCAATGGCGGGAGGCCCCCATGGATCCCAAACGGCAGTTGCCCGCACTCCTACCCAGGAACTTTGTCTGTGATGAACAGTAAGGAATAAGGAAGCGGGTGAGAAAGAAGGAAGGAAAGGCGGTGGGGGGCATGGCGGGGGGCGGGGAGGGTGTTTGGAAAGTTCCAGAAAAGAGTCACTTCACCAGAAAGGCCACAAGCTCCCCGTGCCCCCAGCCCCTGCTCGGCTCCGAGGTGAAGGACTTGGAGCGTCGACGCTGGCGTGGGGACCAGCTGTTCTCCTTGAGTTTGTTTCCTTCAGTTCCTTCCGGGCCTCACCCTCCTCTTCCTGCCACACACACACTTTTTTCCTTTTTAAATTGTTTTATTTGGGGCCAGGTGTGGTGGCTCACACCTGTAATCTCAGTATTTTAGAAGGCCAAGGTGGGCAGATTGCTTGAGTCCAGGAGTTGGAGACCAGCCTGGGCAACATAGTGAGACCCCATCTCTACCAAATATCAGCCAGGTGCGGCGGCGCGCACCTGTATTCCCAGCTATGTGGGAGACTGAGGTGAGAGGATCACGTGAGCCCAGGAGGTTGAGGCTGCAGCAAGCCATGATCATACCACTGCACTCCAGCCTGGGCAAGAGAGTGACACCCTGTCTCAAAAAAAAAAAAAAGTAGAAAAATTTATTTTAAAAAATTGTTTTAACATTTGAGTGCTGCAACTGTCCAAGGAGGAGCAGACGGCCCGTGTCAGACAGCCTGAAGCCTGACTGTCTGCGATCAACGGCCCCGTGGCCAGCTGTGTGCAGCAGTTTGGCCTGGCCTGATGCCTCTGTCCTTGGCACCAGCTCACAGCCCGTGCCCATAACAGACCTGGGGCACCGAAGGAAGGGCAGATCCAGCCCCCACCTGCCCTGGGTCTGAAGATCTCCCAGGAGGCTCCATGGGGTGCCTTGAGTGGGAGGGGCTGGCCGATAGCCTTGAGGAATTGGCACGGACATGCAGAGAGGGGCATGTCCCAAACTCGGGGCGCTGTGGCCTCCAGCTGCCAGGAGGTAGATGTGTTCTGACTTCTGGGTTCCCACCACCAGAACTGCAGGGGATATGAAGCAAGCTGGACTTGGGGAGACATCTCTGCTCGAGTGCACGTTGGCCTGATGACGACTGCTCTTGGGTTCACGGGTTCCAGGCTCTGCCCGGGAGCCTCATGCAAACTGGTCCCGTTCTACAGACGAGGAAACTGAGGCACAGAGTGATTACGGCTGTCCCTGAGCTCCTGCAGCCAGTAAGGTGATACACCAGGATGTGTTCCCAGGTTGTCCGCTGGGCTCAGTAACACAGTCTCAACTGCCCTGTGACACTGCGTGTCTGTGCTTGTGGGGAAGGTGACCAGAGGCCCCCTTTCCTCCACGCGGTGAGCCTACCAGCAAGGAGACAGTCCTCAGGTGTGAGGATGAGCCTCGTAGTAGGCACAGAGAAACAGGAGGAACCTTCTGGAAGGTGAAGCCTCCCACGGCTGGGACTCTTGGAGAAGGGCGGATCTCTGTCCACTCCTGCCCACTCCCCAGCACAGACAGAGCAAGCAGGACAGAGGGCCCAACGTCCCAGGATACTGCAGAGCTCAAAGGAGGGCAGAGAGCATCGCCCCACATGGGCGCCGGGAGAAAGGTGGGCGGGGTGCTCAGGGGCCCCTGGCCGTCCTGAAGTTTGCCTCAGAGAGGTGTGGGCTTCTCCTCCCTCCCATACACAGTGTCTCTGAGGATGAACTGCCATGTGCCCGGCGGGGATGCCGTCCCTGGCCCTTGCTGAGTGCCTCTGGGACGAGGTCAGCTGAGCCTGCCATCCTAACTCAGACACCATCTCACTCTCCAAGTCCCTTCTCGGTGAGACGGGGGGCCTTGCACCCACCTCCCAGCCCCCACACACCTGAGGGGGTCCCCGTTCCCCTACCCCGTGGCTCCACCACGCCCCACGCATCCTACCTGAGGGACAGAGGGGACTGTGAGATGCCCCCCACAGGCTGGTTTTCCTCTTTCACCCATAACAGGCCCAGCAAATTCTCACCTCCAGAGGCCAGGTCTGCCCCGCAGGTCTTAGGAAATACAGCCCTACTTCCATCCAGCACACCAACCCAAGGAAGTGCCTCGGAGCCCTGGGGCCCGAGGGGGGCCTGGCCTTGGTCTCACGGCGGCAGCTCCACCTGGAGAGGAGTGAACTCAAGCCAGGACGCCCCGTCTCCACAGCGGAAACCGTGTTGCCGGCTGCTCCCTCCTGGGGACTCTGGGCCTGAGGTTCCTGTGGGAGTTGGGGGGATAGCTGAGTCCTATGGAGGTGCCCCTCTCCTCCCCGCCCAGTGGAGCTTGGGGTGGGGACAGGCGAAGACAGGGTGAGAAGCACGGGGCATTCCCCCTCCACACAGCGCTGAGAAAGTAAGGGAGCATCCAGAAAACGGTGCCCACTTCCGCGTCAGGCGGATATCACGGGCACCAGCTCCAGGTGACCCTAGCCCAGCCAGAGAACAAGGACCAGGTTGTGCCGCAAAGCCCGTGTCCGCTCCCTCCCGCCTGGGACCACTGTGGCGAGGGGAAGGGAGCGTGGTGGCCCTCTCCTGACTCCTGAGGCCTGAAGTCCAAGCTCCCGGCCCTCAGGCAGGCCAGGGTCTAGACACCGCTGCCCCAAACACACCCCCCAGTCCCCGCCCGCAGGCTTCCTGCAGGATCCCCCAGTGCACCTGGGGGCTGAGGAGAGTGAGCAGGGCGCAAAGAAGCTTCGTCGGGAGGGCGGTCCCCACCCGCCTTGGACCCCCGGGGATAGTGTCCTGGGGCCTGGGCTCAGATGCACCCTGGGAGGAATGGTGCGGAGGCTGTTTTTTGCTCCAAGAGGACATTGCCTCAGCAGAGGGCTGCCGAGCTGGGAGGACCCACAGTGCAAGGCCGCAGAACCCCCTAGGAAGCCTCAGAGCCTTCAGGTTCCGGGCTGAGGCTGTGGGCGTGGACCCTTGTGCAAACCCCACTGGAAGAAAAACCTTACAGCTCAGGAGGAGGAGGGGCCCCACCCGCTCCCAGAGCCCGTAAACGAGGGGTGGTGCCCACATGAGGCCTGGGGAAGGGCTGGGGCTGGGACACCCCCTCACCACCCCCAGATACCCCAGGCAGCCCCTCCCTCCACAGAGAGACCCACTGGGCCTGACCCTGCCCTGGGCACAGGGTCGAGCCAGGGACGGCCCGTGGGAGAAAGACGGCTTCATGGGCCGCTGGCCGGGCCAGGTGCGTCCTTCCCCAGTTCTAGGTGGCAAATGGGGTGGGGCCAGAGCCTTCTGGCTAGGGAAGACACTGGCCTGGTTGGTGTGGCAGGGGCAGCGAAGGAGGGTCAAAGGCCACTCTGGCCTGGAAGAGTCCCCAGCCACCTGGACGGGGGTAGCCAGGCCTGGTCCCTGCCCCCACTCTCCAAGGGGTCGGGGCAGCCGGGCAGAGCCAGTAAGTGTTTGTTTTCAGATGACATTTGTAAAGAAAAACAGCCTCCCACACTGCTTGACCCTGTGTCTGGAATGTGGGGAGGCAAACAGCTGTGCCCTTCCCAGACCCTGCACAGCCCCTGGTGGGGGCAGGGCCCTGGTGGGAGCAGGGCCCAGAGGTACAGCCTGGGGAGGCACCGGCCATTGTGGTTGGAGCGCGGCAGCCAGGCTCTGGGCTCTGTTCCGGGCCTCACTGTGTCCCCAGTGGGGTGCCGCCACCACCCCCCCAGCCTGGGCCCCGCCGGTCAGACACCCGCAGGGACAGCTTGTCTTGGCTAGCTGGCTACAGCACCTCGCTGGAGTCCAGCAGACACGCGCTCCCGTGCGCACGCTGCGCCCCAGGCCAGCCCTAACGCCGCTGCTCGGGTCAGGCCCCCCGCCTGCCGTGGGCTGCTGGCTGCCTTGGCCCGCCCCAGCTCTCTCCGCGCCCCTGCCTCCAGGGAGCCCTCCTCGAGGACTCCAGCCACCCAAGCTCAGCAGGGCCAGCCCGAGCCCCTGCCCCACACAGCCTGTGTGGAGGGTCCTCAGCCCCCTGATCCCCCAGACCCTCCCGGCAGAGGCTGGGTCCCTGGGGCTTGGGGAAAGCCGGCTCCATGGCCCCTGGCCTGGATGATTTCCCAGAGGCCGGTCCCCTGCCAAGTGCCTGGTGACCCTTGTTCCTACCTGGCTGCCCATGGTCCTTTGTGCGACCCCCGCCCACAGCCCAGGAGCTGGGCAGGAGACTCTGATTGGGTGGCAGCAGAGCCATCCTAGGGCTGCCCCTGACCCTGGCCCTGACCCTGCCCTGGAGCCTCGTTTCCAAATCTTGCCTCATGCTTTCGCCAGACCCCTGTGGCCCCTTCCCGACCCTGGAGTGCCCCTGGGGCTTCCTGGAAAGGGCCTCTCCTTTGCTCACAGTTGGGTGCCGAACTTCACCAGCATTGACCACCCGAAGGCGCAGGGACACCCCCGCAGTCCCTCTCCTGGGGGTCCCATCACCAACTCCCCATGGGCGGGATATCAGAAGAATTCTCTGCGCAGGTGCTCCGCCCCTTCAGGCACAGGGGAGGGCGGCTCAGGGGCCAACGGCAGACGTTGGTGCCTGCCCCTGCAGCGGGGTGCCCCATGCTGAGACAGCACACACGGGGGACACTCCGGGCCTCGGTCCACCCTCCATGTGGCAAATGAGGTGCTTGGCGGGGCTTCTTAACTCTTCACCCTGGGCTCCCCACGGGTCCCTTCCCTTCCCCTTGGGGGCCCCGGCCCCAGGTCCCCAAGGCCTAGACCTGCCTCTGCCACCCTCAGAGCAAGGATGCGCTGCAGAGGGAGAGGGGCTGCAGCTCGGCCCCAGAGCTCCGGCTTCCTGTCTCCCAGACCACAAATCACTAAAGGCCGTGGGTCCTGGGACATTGAAGGCCCAGGAAGCTCCTTGTGTTGAGTTAAACATAGTGGAGCAGAGGCATGGAGCTGGCATTTCCCACGCTTACGACCACTCTGCTACGGGCTGGGGTGGGGCTGGGAATCAGCTTCCCCTGCGCCCCGCCATCCCTTGTCCAGAGGGACCCGTGGGAAGGCCAGGTTGAAGAGTTAAGAAGCCCCGCCGAGCACCTCATTTGCCACACGGAGGGCGGACCGAGGCCCGGAGTGTCCCTCTTGCGCACTGTCTCAGCATGGGGCACCCCGCTGCAGGGGCAGGCACCAACGTCTGCTGCTGGCCCCTGAGCCACCCTCCCCTGTGCCTGAAGGCCCAGCACTTCCAGGGCTGCCCGAGCTGAGGACCTGTGCAGAGAACTCTTCTACACCCCACAGAGGAGGCTGAGGGGTCGAGGCGGCTGCGGGAGCCCCAGGGGGCCACCACACAGCCATGCCTGCCCCTCTCCTCGGTGGGTGTAGAAAGCTCTTAAATGGTGGAAAAACAAGGGCATGGCCACATTGCACAGGCACAGAAGGTTCCAGAAGGAGTGAAACAATGGCATGGAGGGAGCAGAGCCTGGGCCGGTGGGGGCACAGGGATGAGGCCAGTGAAGGCCACGGGTTGGGGGGTGCCCTGAAGCCAACGACCCCATCCTTATCGCCTGTGTCTCTCTGCACACAGCGTCTCGTCTGCAAAGTTAGCTGAGCAAACGCCAGGAGCCAAGGGTCGAGGCAACGATATCCGTGGGGCCACTCCACACCCCCTCTGCCTGCCCCATCAAGACCTGCTTTCCTGGTTGAAATCCAACTCACGATTTGCCCCCGGGGGCCCAGCAGCCCTACCCAATGGAGCAGCTGCACCCACATTGCCCAGCTTCCCAGGCGGACAGGGGCTTGGTGAGCCTTCCTGTCCCCACTGGAGCATGGCCGGAGTGATTTTCTGCTTCTGCTGCAGATCACCCTGGTGGGAGCAGCTGTAATCGCATTATCCCCAGTTATGCCTCCACTGGGCACTGGGGTAGGGACAGGACTGCCAGGACACGATTCCATTTACCTAACGCCAGTGGAGCCCTGGGGGCTCTCCTAGGTCCACGGGGAGGGGTGGCCATCTCTCTAGGCCCAGGGACCCCAGGACAGGGGTAGAAAACCACGGGAGAGTTAAGGAGTTAAGGCCAGAAGGGGCCAGTCCGGCCAAGTGGGGCAAAGCTGTCCACCGTTGGGCAGGGCATGACTGAGGGGCGGTGTGGGGAACAGCTGCTCATCTCCCCCAGGCCCATGCCCGTGATGAACTGTGTGACTACCCCCAGGATCAGTCAGGAAGCTTGGCCCAGGAGCCTGTGCAGACCTAACAGCCAGCTCCAGCCCCGAGGCAGGGCAGCTGTGCTCCAGAGGGCTCCCGGGGCCGCACTGTCCCTCCCAGGTGGACACCCTCGTGGCACGTACGCCCCTGCTCTCAGCCCTCTCCTTCACTGGATGGAGAGACTCGGGACCCGCAGAGGTGGGTGGCGGGCAGAGGAGGTGGAGCTGGTCTGAGACGCAAGACGTGGCCTGTGGATTCTAGGAGCAACTGGTGGCTTCCAAGGTCCCCCACCCACTCCACACATGTTCCCAAACCCCGTTTTGCAGATGAGGATGGCAGGCTCAGCACAGGGGCCCATGTCTCTGTCACCAGGCAAGGTGGGGGGGCTCTAGGGCCAGAATCGCTCCCACCTCCAGCCGGGGATCAGAGGTCTCTGGTTAGCAGCCGAGGCGAGCGGGACACAGGCTGAGGGATGGGGACAGCTGCTCGCCCGGCACAGACAAGGCTCCCCTCCCCATGCTGGAGACCCCGGCTGCCCCATCAGTCACGGCCCACCCAGGACCATGCAATCATCCTCCACTTCTCCTAATCCTCCTGCCAGCTTCTTCCCAAGAGTCCAAGCAGTTGGATGCATTTTCTAAATTCTCAGGCCACTGCTGTTTCCTCCTCAAATTCCTTGTCCCCCACCCGTGGCCCCCTCCCAGCCATGGGAAAGGACTGCTGCGGCCTCCCCACAGGCCTGTGCACGGGTGGGGCTGCGTCCAGGCAGCTGTGAGGTACCGGGGACCCAGGGGTAAGAGCCCCGATTACAGGGGCGTCATGGGAAAGTGGCGAGGGGAGGCCACCCAGGGCCCCCACCACAGCCCCGCTCCACATCCTCCCCTGATCTCTGGCCCTGGAAAGAATCAGATGGGACCCCCAGCAGCAGTCACTTGAGTCCCACTGCCACCGGCTGTGCTGAGGATGCCCACTGGGCCGTGCTGTGGCCACCTGGCTTGCAGTGTGGGCACCAAGGTATCGGCCCAGATTCCTACCCATCAGAGCACCAGCACAGGGCCGAGCCAGTGCCACAGAGCCCCTGGGCTGCAGCACGTCCTGCACGTCCCACAGACCGGCCTGCCGGGAGGGAGGGGTGCTGCCCAGGGCTCGGTGCCCTCCCGGAAGGGGCTTCAGTGGGGCTGTTTGCCAGGTGGTGGCTCTGACGCAGGAGAGGACAGATGGGCAGAGCCCGAGGGCAGCCCTGGCCAGGTGCGTACAGTGGTGGCTGTGACGCCCTCTCCCACGCCTGTCTCTGGGTCCAGGAGGAGTGATGATCTCCAGGCTCCAGAGGACTAGGAACAGCAGGCAGGCTCGCTGCTGATAACGGGGACTTCTCCACCTGGTGGGGAGTGATGAGGCAAGACCGGATGGCAGGCCCCAGGCCTCTCCTCTCCAGGGACAGCCATCATCTCCTCGCCTGTGCAGGTCTCAATCAGTCAGTGATTACGCAACCAGCAACCAGCACTTTATTGCCGGTTGTGAAGATCTGGAGGACATGCGGGTCCCCGGGGCCACAGCCTTCCCGCATGGGTGAGCAGTAAGCTGTGCAATTAGCCCTCAGGCCGTCATCGCCAGGCCCTGCCTTTGTTCCTCCACCTGCCGCCCGCCGGAAGCCTCCCACAACCTGGCCAGCCTGCTCTTTCTCCCCCTCCACTCTGACCCCTTCCTCCTCAGGGCCCTGACATGCAGCTATCTGGCACCCAGTTTCAATACCTTTTTCTTTCTTTTTTTTTTTTTGAGACAGAGTTTCACTCTGGTTGCCCAGGCTGGAGTGCAATGGCTCGATTTCGGCTCACCGCAACCTCCGCCTCCTGGGTCCAAGTGATTCTCCTGCCTCAGCCTCTGAGTAGCTGGGATTACAGACATGCGCCACTACGCCCAGCTAGTTTTGTATTTTTTGTAGAGACACGGTTTCACCATGTTGGTCAGGCTGGTCTTGAACTCCTGACCTCTGGTGATCCACCCACCTCGGCCTCCCAAAGTGCTGAGATTACAGGTATGAGCCACCGAGCCGGGACTTCTTTTCTTTTCTTTTTCTTTTTTCCAGCCCTCAACTATCCGTTTCATTAAAAAATTCAGAATTCTCTCCCCTGCCTGCCAGGATGGGACCCAAAACTCGGGCAATAGGCCTGCCCGAGTTGTGGCCCTGGGCCTGTCCCCGACAAGTCACCCTACGTTTTCCATTCCACCATCCTCTCTCTGCACCTCAAGCACCGTGAACCCTCTCCCACCTGCCTGACCTCGCCGTCTCCAAAGGAGAACCTTTCTTGTGTCATCCCGCCCTCTCTAGGCCCGCCGTCTGCCTGGGGGCTGCCCTGGTGGCTGTGCTGTGTCTCCCACTGCTGTGCGCACGGTGCTGCCTGCTCTTTGCCTCAGAGGCACTGGAGCCCATGTGCTCGGGGGGGTGTGGCCTTCGAACACTGTGAGTCCCCACATCTTGCCTCCAGAGGCCACAGCTGGCCTGGGCCAAGCCTGGGCCACTTCCTCTGCAGTGACCAAGAGCAGGGCTGCCTCGAGGGTTTCGGGGCAGGAGAGAGGGAACAAATCTCCTGGAGGCAGATGGGGGCCACAGGGAGGCTGGAGGCCTGGAACCCCTCCCAGAGAGCCAGTGGAGGGATGCTGCCTGGCAGATGGGAGATGGCAGGCGGGTGCTCCAGGGGCTCCTCCCTCCTTGTAGCACCTTGGACATGTTTTGTTTTATTATGGTGAAAATATGTAACAAAACTAGCCATTATAGCCATTGAGCCACTGAGCCACGGAGCCACGGAGCCACGGAGCCATGGAGCACACACATCAGTGGCACTCAGTCCATTCTCACTGCTGCGCAGCCATCGCCACCATCCACCTCAGACCTCCTCCCTCTTCCCAAACTGAAGCTCCCTGAAGGTGCCCAGCCTCCTTGCCAGTAGATGAGATGGGGAGGCAGCCCTGCTCGACCAAGGAGGCAGAAGTCTTGATTGTTCTCCCTACAGTCCCACGGGAAGCACCTGCAGCAGGGCCCTGGCTGGACAGACGGCCACAAGGGGTGTGGTGCAGTGATCGGGTGCCCTGGCCTGGGCAGGAGAGTGGCGCCCTTGGCCTGCCCAGCCCCTGCCCTGCGGCCCGCCTGACAGCCGAGGGGAGCTTCACCTTCCAGCCTCTGGCTGTCATTAGCTGCTCCCGGTGGGAGGTGGGACCGGCAGGGGAAGCTCAGTCCCACAGCCAGTGAGGATCCAGGCTCAAGCGGAACCACCTGGACCTCATTATTCTTAAGTGGTCCAGTCTGAAAGTTTGGGAAGAGGGGAGGAAAAAACTGCCAATCCCCACGCCTGGGGAGCCCCACCCCCTCTTCAAGCCAGCACTGAAGCCCTGGGGGTTTCAGCCACAATGGAGAGCTAAACCGGGCCCACCCCAGGGCCCAGGAGGGGCATCTGTAGAGGGTTCAGCCCCAGGAGGACTTGGAGGTCAGGCAAGCCAACGGGAGTTCAGAGCTTAGGAGGGGTGAGAGGTCAGACTCTGGTCCTTTCTCATCACCTGGGGTCCGTCTGTCCTTCCAGGTCACCTGGGGTGTCTACAGTCAAGGCCAGTCTGACAGGTGGGATGGTGCTTCCCAGCAACCCCACCCTGAGGAGAACCCTGCTGCCTCTCCCTGCTCTCCACCCCCAGCACAGGCCCCGGGAAGCCTCCAGCTGATGACGACACCAGGACGGTGCTGAGTGGACCCTGGGGCCAGCATCACAAGGCACCCAGGACCCCAGACCACCCAGCCACACCCCAGGCTACGAGGAGGGGGCGCTCCGGCGAGGCTGGGGTGCCTTCAAGGTGCATCCTAGCAACATCCTCCACCTGCAGGAGGGACACTCGGTCACAGCTTGGGGAGGATGTGCTCAGACGGCATAGGAAGGATTTGCTCAGACCCCATGGGGAGGATTTGCTCAGACCCCGTGGGGAGGACTTGCTCAGACCCCATGGGGAGGACTTGCTCAGAACCCATGGGGAGGACATGCTCAGACCCCGTGGGGAGGACATAGACCCCGTGGGGAGGACTTGCTCAGACCCCGTGGGGAGGACATGCTCAGACCCCATGGGGAGGACTTGCTCAGACCCCGTGGAGAGGACATGCTCAGACCCCGTGGGGAGGACATGATCAGACCCCGTGGGGAGGACTTGCTCAGACCCCGTGGGGAGGACATGCTCAGACCCCGTGGGGAGGACTTGCTCAGACCCCGTGGGGAGGACTTGCTCAGACCCTGTGGGGAGGACATGCTCAGAACCCATGGGGAGGACTTGCTCAGACGGCATAGGAAGGATTTGCTCAGACCCCATGGGGAGGATTTGCTCAGACCCCGTGGGGAGGATTTGCTCAGACCCCGTGGGGAGGACATGCTCAGACCCCGTGGGGAGGATTTGCTCAGGCCCCATGGGGAGGACTTGCTCAGACCCCGTGGGGAGGATTTGCTCAGACCCCGTGGGGAGGACATGCTCAGACCCCGTGGGGAGGATTTGCTCAGACCCCGTGGGGAGGACTTGCTCAGACCCCGTGGGGAGGATTTGCTCAGACCCCAGGCAGGCATCATGAATGCGCCCAGCCCGGACCCCAGACTGGTAGCTCCTACCACACGCGGAGCAGCAGAGGCTGGCAAGAGGGACTCAGGACTTGGGCTGGGGACAGAGGGCCCTGCACAGCTCTGGGGTCCTGACCCAATCCTGCATTTCCATAGAGAGCTGCCTGGGCACCCATGCTGAGGGTCCCTGCACCCCCTGGTGTATCGGAGACCCTTCCCCCACCCCCTATCCCCCGCCACTGAGACACAGGAATGTACAGGATGGCTGTGAGGGCAGAGGCAGGCCCAGGGCGCAGCAGGCAGGGCTGGGCGGGGCTGGGGATCTGCAGGAGGTTGGCCCTGGAGATGGGACATGTCTGGACCCTCGGTGTCATCACCTCTATGTTTTGACCACTGAGCAAAATTACACTAAATGAAGCACAAATTAGCCAAGGGGACAGTCGACTCTGTCCTTTCTTCTTAATCCCTCTGGCTCAGGGTTTCCCAGCCTGGACAGCCTGTCCGAGGGGAAGGCTGCCCAAGGGCACACGGGCATCGGTCCGGGGACATTCAGGCAGTGACCAATCCCTGGCCACCCTGGTGTGTGCCCGGCAATGTGGGCCTTTTCCCAGACAGCCAGTGGGGGAGCGGCTGCTGTGGGTCCCTGAGTCTTAGCCAGATGGTCAAGGATAGGACAATGATGGAGACCCGCATGCGGCCGCATCCATGGGTAAAGGAGGCGGAACGGAGGACAGCTCTGCCATCCCCTCAGCCAGCCATGAAAAGCAACCCTTTCCCCTAAGGCCCCAGCACCACCTTGGAGGCCACCATGGGCTGGAGCCCAGCACAGCCACCATCGCATCTTGGCTGTCCAGCTCAGGACGGCCAGTTCCAAGGCGTCCAGGCTGGAGCTCTGGGGGCGGAAGAGCACAAGCTCCTGAAGAGCCTCTGGTCCAGCCCTGGCAGCGGAGGGCCAGGTGAGAGCCTGTTGAGGGCTCTGAGGACTCCAGGAGGGACTGGCTGAGGACACCGGTGGGGGTAATACCTCCCCCTCCAATGGCCGCTCGCAGGAGGCAATTCCCAGAGCCCCGCTCCATGGGCCACCAGGTACCCAGAGCCTCATTTAGAAATGGCCATGCCTCCCCACAGGCCCCCGCTGGGATCCTGGTGCTTCAAATGTCCTGCTGTGGTCCCAGGGAGGAGCAAAACCCCCTCCCAGTCAGGAAGCATCCTCAACCGCATCTAATTCCAGATGCTACCTCCCACCTTGGCTTTCCAGGAGACGGAGAACGGAGCCGGCCCCTCTCCAAGGCCCCGAGGCCCGGCAGGGCACCCCTCGGAGCAGATAAGCTCACCCCTGCTCCCAGGACAAGCAAGCTCCTGCTGAGGCTCTGCTACTGCTAATTGGCCCTTGGGATAAGCAGACCTGTCCAGGAAAGAACCCTCTCCCTGATCTCCTGGCCCCAGCCCCATCCGGCCGGGAGTTCTGACTTAAGCAAATAATCAGTCCAGGGAATTGGAGGCTCAACAGAATCGTCCTCCAGGAATCTGGTCTTCGTTCCTCCACCCTCCTCCTCCCGTCTCCGCCCGGGGTCTTGAGATCAACAGCAAGGTTTTGCACTCGTAGGGGCTTCCCGGAGACACCCTCCAGCCTCAACCCAGAGGAGATGGGTGCCTGGGCCGTGACCCCTCACACAAGAGGACCAAGCCCAGAGAGGAGACGGGAAGCCATGCGCCCGGCCAGCTGGGGTCTGCGATGGACTCAGTGGGGTCCAGCCCTCCTCACTCCAAGGGGAGCTGGGAGCCGACCCGGTGAGGGAGGGCATCCTGGGAAAGTGACAGGAATCAGGGAATGGCCCTGGGGCTCCGGACCTCCTCTGATGGAGTCATTCAAGGCCCTTGGCAGAGCTGGGCATCCTCTGGGCCCCAGGGAATAAGGTCCCCTCACTCCACCACAGAACAGCATCTGGGCACCTACCTGTTGGCCATGGGCAGAGCAAAACTCTCTCCTGGACCCCAGTGCCCAGAGCCCTGGCCTTGGGAGGGAGCTGTGCATCCTCAGGAGCCCCCCCGGGCTGCCCCCCACCACCCTGCAGGCAGCTCACCCTCCCACCCCACCAGCTGCAGGTGCGGACACGTGTCTTCTCCTTCCCCAAATGCTCGTTCTGCACCTGCTTCGGGAGGGCAGTCCTGCCTGCTCACAGCCCAGCCCTGCCCGAACTCCTGGCCATGTGTGGAAACACACGGGCGTTAGAACATGGCATCCCGGTTCCCTTCTATGTTCAGGAAGACGACACCCATCTGGCTGAGGGGATGGCAGAGCCCCTCTCCCCACAGCCCCCTCTGCAGTGCAGCTCTCCTTTCCTCTCCCCGCATGCCTCTTCCCGAGGGCAGCCCCTTCTCTCCATCAGGATCGCATGCCTCTTCTCGAGGGCGGCCCCTTCTCTCCATCAGGATCACCCTTCCTGGGCCTCCGGGGTGCAACGGGCGGGCGCTGTTTCCCCCAAGCCCTCCCTTCCTCCCTCGGGGTGGGGCCCTTTCCTCCAGGCTCTTCTCCGTCTCCTGGTCTCTGCCATCTCCCAAAACCCATTCTATTTCTCCACATGTCTACCTCGTCCCCCATCCGTCTCCATTCTCCTAGTCTCCCGCCTGCCAGCCCGGCCCTGGCACCAGCCACTTGGCAGCCTCCTCCTCCTCCTCCCAGAACCTTCTCTTTCCTTCCTGGTCCCATCTCAAACTGCAGCAAGCTGGTCGAAAGGTGAGACCAGGCTGGGAGGAGCTGTGGGCCACGGAGATGGTGGCCGGGGGAGGTATGGGAGGTGGGAGGGCAGGCGGGCCAGGTGGGGAGCAGGGCATCTTGCCATGGGAAGGGCTGGAGGAAACACCGCATCCAGGGATGGCCAGAGCTCGCCTGGAGCCCCTGAAGGTCTTGCTTTTAGAGCCGGGTGGGGCTGCTGTGTGGCCAAGCCGGGCGAGTGGCCCCATCCCCGGGTCCTGGGCTCCTGGCGTCTGCCCTGGAGCCCACCATGTTGCAGTACTGTGTGGCCGTCCATTGCTGCTCTCTTCACTGTATGACCGGGGGTTCCCTCTGTGCCCCTCAAAGCCCCAACTTGCCTGGACTTTGGGTCTGCAGCTGGCGCATGGGAATCTTCCCACATGGCAGCGTAGGGTGACTATGGAGCCGACCAAGGCTGCCAAGGTCTTACTTGAGTAGAAGACGTCCATCCTGAGCGATCCTGTTGGCCGGTCCTCCGGATCCAGCCTTCCTGGGAATGCGGCCACCCACAGGACTCCAAGCGGGTCTGGGGTCCCTGGTCCCCCAGGTTGACCACCCCTTGCTGCAGCTGCTCCGGAAACAGAGGGTGCTGCCCTGGCCATTTTGCTCCTTGCTGGGTGTCTGGGAGGGCTGCGAGGGGAGGAAGAAGGGCAGGGAGAGGTGAGAGACCCGAGAGAAGGGGGAAGGAGTCTCAAAGGAGGGGAGGGACGGCCGGCCAGCACTGTGGCGCAGTGTGCAGGAGGGGAACATGGCGGTGCCCGGCACGAGGTGGGGTGCGGGGCAGCCCTGGAGCCCTGGCTGCCTCTCCCAGCAGTGGGTCCGGCACTAGCTAGCCAGCTGAGCTTGCTGTGTTTGGAGTCTGCAGAAAGTGCTGCCCCGCCAAGCCCCACAGGCCAAGCCAGGCCCGAGGGACAGGAAGGAGCATGGGGCCTTCACTCACTGCCCAGCCCGGGGCACGGCCGGCCCATCTCCCATTTCCAGGGCATCCGGGGACGGGCACGCCCCGGATACTTACTGCCCTGTCACTGGAGGTTAGCATCCTCCCTCGTCCGGTGCCCTGCCCAGGTGGCTGTTACCTCCCCTACCTCCTCCAAGACCCTGAGCAGGGGGAGAAAGAAAGTGGACAGAGGCACCCGACCTCCTGACCTGAGTGTGGTCCCCGCTTTGTTCCCCCTTCCTCTGCCCCCAGTTCTCACTGCGAAGGAGGAGAGGGCTCACCTGGGGTGGCCCCACGTGCCTGCCAGCCTTGGTCCAAGACTGCAGAGAAGGGTCCCTGAGGAGGTGGGGAGGAACCCAGAGGCAGATCCTGAGGGTCTTCCCTGAAAGAGGAGGGCTGGTGGGCAGCAGGAAGATCCGGGATTGTGCCCTCAGCTGCCCTCTCTGTCCTGACGTGTCACCCGCTAAGGGTCATGGGCCAAGGAGGGAACGGGCAATGTCTGGGAGCCATAGAGTTGGGATGGCCCGGCCAGGCTGGGTGTGGGGTCTGTTGGGGATCCCAGGTGAGGGGAAGGAATTGGGAGTGGACCTGGGCCCGAGGCAGGTTGGGTGGCTGGTGCAAGGCAGAGGGCTGGCCCCGGGGGCATTCTGTCCTGGTTCCTCTGTCCCCTCACCCAGTTCGTGAGCATCCCTCGTGGAGCAGGCCCCAGGGAGATCACGGGCGGCGGGTGGGCAGATGGAGTGCAATATCCCCCAAGGAAAGTGTGTTGTGAGGTGGTGGAGGGCAGGGCCGGAGAGGCCCCAGCTGTGGAGCAGGACGCTGGAGGGCTCAGGGCAGCCGAGCCAGGGCCCGGGGCAGCCGCAAAGTGGCACTGTGTTCTTTTGGGCCGGACCAGAGCCCAGGCAGTGTCAGGAGGTGGATGGTGTGGAAGAGAGAGGAGTTCCAGGGGCGCACTGGGGGGCCCTCTGTGTGGCTGGAAGGTGGAGGGGCGCTGGGTGGAAGGGCTGGCTTCGGGCTGGCGGCTTGGGCTAAGGCAGGCTTGCAGGGGCTGGCTCCTGAACCCACGCATGGCGAGAAGTATGGGCTGGAGCGGCCACAGCATTGGGGAAAGACAGATGGGAGGGCTGGACAGGAAGCAGGGCTGTGGCCAGGCCGGGGCCCCGGGAGGACAGGGACGAGTGGTGGACGTGAGGGTGCAGAGGAGCAAAGTCCAGGACTTGGCCCGGATCGGGATGCTCAGGAGGCTGGGGATGCTCGGAGGAAAGCAATGGGGGAGCCCGGCTGCCTGCCCCACCCCTGCCACCCTCAGCTCCTTCTGCCCGCCAGGACTCCCAGGCTCCATCAGGTGCCGCAGCACCCTGGCTGCGACATAACGAGGTGGGACAGGGTCAGCAAGGTGACTTCTCGTGCCCCAGTGTTTGCAAATCCCCAAAATGACCCAACAGACAAGCTCGAGGCTGGATTTTCCAAGAGGGCCCCTTCAAGTACCAAAGGACACAAAGAGCAGGCCCTTCTGAGTCTGCGGCCCACAGATGGCAACACGGGCCCCGGACCCCAGGACCACCTTGGGCACAGAGCGGCTGGGCCCAGGAGGCTGGCCTCTCCCGGGGATCCCACGGCTGGCCTGCGGGGCTGCAGCAAACACGTGCAGGGCTTTCCAGAGCCCCGCACAGAACAAAGAACAAAATGGGGAGAGCAGGGCCTGGGCTGAACGGACCACGGGCGGGTGGGCGGAGGGGCACAGCGGCATGGCACCCACTGCCAGGCCGAGGGCAGCTGCAGGGGGCTGGGCTGGAGCAGACCCGGGGTGGGGGTGGGGGCTGGAGGAGGCTCTCACGGCCGGAATCAATAACTCACACTGGGGGAGGGCGGGAGACGCTTGTGGCGGAGCGGGGAGGGGGTGCCGGACAGGGTGTCCCTCCACCCCCAAGTTCAAAGTTTTATGGCGAGCAGGCTTGACTTCCTCCCGCGTCCCTCCTCTCCAGGTGTTATTTGAAAAAAATACTTTTCAAACTACATGCTGAAAACTTCAGCATGAAAATTTAATGTCAGAAACTCTGTAATCTCTTTCCCAGAGATAAGACCCAGCCCCTCGAGGAGGGGCGAACTCGATCCCTCTAACACAGAAAGCAGACGCCAGGCCGGGAAGGCAGGGGCCTGGCGGCCTCACTGGGGGAGGCTCAGGCTCACGCTCCCTCCCTCCCTCCCACCCGCGGCTGGGAGGGGGTGACTGAGAGAGGCCCTGCAGGGCTGGAGCTGCAGGGCTGGGGCGAGGGGTCCGGCAGGAGGGGCCGTCCTAGTGCAGCCTGCAGGCTTCGGGCCTTCGGGAAGCACATCCTGCCGCTCTCCCGCGTGCACCCCGCTCCCCGGAACTTGGAGTGGGTGCCGCTGCTGCCAAGGCTCGGGTTTCCATGACGGCTGAGGCCCCTGGCCCTCTCACTCAGACCCTAACTTAGGCCTCGCTGAGGGCTCAGGTTGTGGACAGCTAAGCTGGGGAAGGACAACGTGGCCACCACCGCCCACGGCCTTTCTGACCGGCAGCGCCGCCCTGGGTTGGGTGGCGGGGGCGTCCTGCACACACGACTCCTGAGGTCAAGCCTGGGTGTGGGGGTCTTGGACTCTGAGCTGCCAGGCCCGCCGGGTCCTGGCCTCAGGGAGAGGGGAACGGAGCTGCCACACACCCGGCTCTTGACTCGATTTCTCTGTGGGGGACAGACATAACTTCTCCAAGCTGTTTCCAACAGCCCCCACCCTGAAGACGGCCTCCACCTCAGACATCAGACAACGCCCCGAGCCCCCCCTGCCCAGGGCCGGGAGGGCAGGCTGCCCGGAAGGAGGGTGGGGCTGCCCGGGGGCTGGGTGTGCGCTCCAGACCTGTGTTCTGGGACTGCATTCCGGGGGAGGGGGTGGTGGGAAGGCGCCATGTGGAGCAAACCGGCTGGGCTGGGGGCAGGAGGCCCCCCAAGCGGGGAGAGGGAGGCGTCCGACCGACCGCACTGCTCTGCTGCCCCCACCAGGCAGGCCGAGGCCGGCATCCCCGGAGACCGGGACCTGGTGGCCCAGCCCAGCACTCCTGAATGAGCCTGAGGCCCCCGTGTCCTGAGAGGCAGGGGGCTCCCTCCTTTGTAGCGGAAGGAGACAGAGGCCTCCTAAAGGGGCCGGACGCCTGCCCAAGGCGCTAGTCGCCTGGAAGCTCCCAGAATGTGGGTGTGGGAGAGGCCAAACTGCTTTCTCCCCAAACCCCAAAATCCTGGGTGACCCTGAACCCGGGCCTGGGCACTTGGCCCTGTCTGCCCAAGCCCCCTACCGGCCCCCCCATGTGCTTTGCGTGGTCCGAGCCCAGCGGGTGGGGCAGGGCTGGCTTGAGGCTGCCGAGAGGGTTTCTCCCCAACCGTCCTGCCCCCTCCAGGGGACATGCAGAGCCAGACTGGTCTGTTGTCCTGTGTTTGCCTGCCTCTCCCGGTGTTGCCGTGGTGATGACACACCAGGCATGGCTGGGAGGGGTCATACCTCAGGCAGACCAAGAGTCCTGCGTGTCCACCACAGACGGCACCCCCTCAGGATGCCCACGCCCTGGCCCCCGGCTCCCAGGCCTTGTCGAGAATGTTCCATGAGCCTGACGGACAGGCACGAGGTCCAGCGTGTGAGGCCCAGGCCGCTGCTCCGGCGCCTGCCCTTGCATCCCCACAGCACCCCGCCCAGCCACCCTATCTGTCCTCGGGGTCCCCCCAGCCGTCTCAGGTCCAGGCTGCTGGGTGTGAGAAGCGCCCTGGGTTTCTGCTGTGTCCCTGCCCCCTGACGAGGAGCGCTTCTCTTCCTGCACCCACAGCCCCACACAGCCCCTCCACGCCCCAGGGTCCCCCAGCCAACCCAGCGTCCTATCTGCTGCTTGCAGCTGAGCCTGCGGCGGGGGACCCCAGGCAAATATGAGGAAGCCTGGGCAGAAGGTGGCCCCTGCAGAAGCTGCTGCCCACGTGCCCCCGCCCCATGCTGCCAGGAGAGGCTCGGACCTCAACAACTTGGGAGTGGCAGAAATGGTCTCTGCATGACCAGTGCGGCCCCTTCTTAGCCCCTTCCTGGGGCTTCCGGAGGGCCTAGCAGCTTCCCTGGCTGGGGGCTGAGGGGCCTCCGGGCGGCGACTCTTGGAAAAGCCTGAGGTCAGAAGAGTTCAGAAACGGCCGTGCTGGCTGGGTCCTCTTGACTGATGTGGACAACTGTGTCCCATCTCCCTGAGCTATTTCTGTTTTCGCAGGAGTCAGGGGAGGGCTGGAACTCCGGCTTCCCGGCATCCCGGCGGGCAACCAGATACCCTCAGATAAAGGGCATTCCTGCAGGCCTTCATCACGCTCCCCGGGCAGCTGCTGGCCCCTCACCCTGCACAAGTGGGCACGTCCTCCCTGAGCCCCGAGGGAGGCTCGGAACACATAGTTTCCCTGTTATGTACCAGCTGAGGGGCCCGGTGGATTTAGCTGGGGTGAGGCCCAGGGGCCCAGGCGAGCAGGGGATGTTCTCGTAGGGAGGACAGGGCTGAGATGGGAAGAGCAGCTGGTCCTAAGCCCCACAGGGCCCCCCCACAGGGTCCCCTCAGGGCCCCGAGCCTGGGTTTTATTTTGGGAGGCACCTTCTAGAGTGTAAGCTGCCTCATCCCGCGGGCACGCGTGGGGTCGCCCAGGACCTAGGGGATCCTTCAGCCGGCTGTCCAGCTCCGGGACTCTGGGTTCCCGGGAACCCTTGGGGGCTGATGTTCTGAGCATGTTTGCTCCGCAGTGTTCTCAGCCACACCTGCACCCTAGCAGGATGCCAGAGGGCTTTTCCCAGACTTCAGAGCTGAGGCCCGGGCCTGGCGGGCGCCCCCTCCTCCAGCAGGACGGGAACCAACCATTCACTCAAGCCACGAGCACCCCACGGGCTGCCCTGAAGAGCTGTTGGGAGGAGAGGGTCCATGATCCCAGGCTCTGAAGACCTCTGTGCCCAGCAGCGGGGCCTCTGGAGGGTGAGGAGGGATGCGTATCAGGAGCAGTCCATTGCCGGCTGGTGGGGTTTGTTTTGTTAAACCGAAAGAAAAACAGCAGCAGCAGCACAGAGCCCCGGGGCAGCTGACCTCCTGAAGCCAGGCAGGGTGCCTGGGCAGGGCCCCAAAACCACAGAGGAGCCCCAGCCAGCCCTCTGGGGAGCAGGGTCAGGCACCCCGACAGAGGGTGACCAGGACACACGACCCGGCGGCCCTGCAGCCCCCCAGCACCTCCTCACTGGGGACCAGCCTGTCGGCAGGAGGCAGCCCTGGGGGTCGGGGACACAGTCCCAAGGAAGGCTAGGACCTGGAACGCTCCTTAAGGGGTGAGACACCCCTGGGGGGCAGAGCTAGGCCCTGACCAGGGTGGGGACTGCGGAGGAGCTGAGCTGGCTCCAATCGGTGCATGGCTGGCTGTCTAGGGGCAGCACAGAGGGAGGTCCCATCCCAGGCCAGCAGTGGCAATGCCATCTCTGAAAAACGGTCCGTGCCATGAGGCCTGAGCCTCCGGTGCCCTTGCCTGGCATGCTCTGCCACACCGTGGCCGCGTGAGGGACAGACAGCGCGGGACAGAATCCCACCTGGCAGGGAGGTGGCAGGCTTGCCATGTGCCAGCAGGCACCGGGGGAGGAGGGGCTGGGTATCGGGGGCGGGGACCCTCAGGGCGAAGCTCGATGTTAGGCGGGCTTCTTCTGGAGGGCCGTGTCTCCTGGGCAAGCATTATCATCTCCACGTTTTATTTTATTATATTATTATTTATGTATTTATTGAAACAGAGTCTTGCTCTGTCACCCAGGGTGGAGTGCAGTGGTGCAACCTCCACCTTCCAGGTTCAAGTGATTCTCCTACCTCAGCCTCCCGAGTAGCTGGGATTACAGGCGCCCACCACCACACCTGGCTAATTTTTGTATTTTTAGTAGAGACAGGGTTTCTCCATGTTGGCCAGGCTGGTCTCGAACTCTTGGACTCAAGTGATCCACCCACCTCAGCCTCCCAAAGTGCTGGGATTACAGGCATGAGCCACTGCATCTGGCCTCGTCTCCACATTTTAGACAAATCAAGACAAAGTGACAGCCAGGGGCCTCAGGCTTGCAAGGCAGCAGCTCAAAGTGGAAACCCGGACTCCTGGCCCCTCACCCAGGCCGCACACCCACAGCCAGGCCTCCCTCCCAGAAGCCGCCACCAGGCCTGCTCCGGGGCCCCAGCTTCCTGTGCTCCCGGTCCAGGCGGTGGCCATTGTCTGCCAGCCATTAGGAACCAGCTGGGGGAAGTGCCATGCCCCAGCCCCTGGGCAGCCCATGTGTCCCTCCTACACCCGCGGGCAGGGCCCTCGAGTCCCAGGTCCCAGTGGCCAGCCATCGGTCCTCTCACTAACCGCAGGATGGCCACTGAAGGCCAGAAGGGTGGGGGCCTTGGGGGCTACCCGAAAATCTCTCCCACCATGGCCCAGGCCCATGGGCGTTCTGTGGCTCCAGCCTGTGGCTCGGGGTGGGCGGTTGGGGGGCTGGGTTTTCTGACCCCGGTGGTGGTGAATGAACAGCAGAGCCCCATCTACGCCCCCGGCCTGCCGGCTCGCTGGCCTTCCTAATGAGCGTGTGTTTCCAGAGCCCTTTGATCTGGGGCTTTAATGACCATCCCCTACCGAGGAGCCACCAATCAATGGGTCCGCCCCCTCCCCAGTGTGTGCACAACCAAAGCCGGGCTTATCCAGGCCCCCTGACCGGCAGCCCTGAGGCTGAGGGCTCCCACTCCCGCCCGGGGTCACCAGGATGTTCTCAGGTGGCATTCCAGGTGGGACGAGCCCAGCTCCTCCTCAATGCCTCGATGCCCACGGCCAGGCCCAGCTGCCCTGGGGTCATCTGGGCACCTCCTGGCCCATGATGGGGGAGGGAGTGGCCGAGCTGTGCTGGCTCCCACCTTCGGGCACCGGGGGGTCTGCTCGGAACATGGAAAGAAGACAAGACATGGCCTCAGCTCTGACTCAGGGCATGGGAGCAGCCTGCGCTTCACACGGTCGGTCCCCCACTCTGCTTGGGGGGCCCTCCTCCCGAGCTCCATCCTGGGTGGGCCAGGGCCCTCTCCCCGTGGGGTCTCCAAGCCCCAACACTCGGCCCGCAGTGTTCGGCGGGTGTGCCATCCATACTGTCCTGCTGGCAGAAGCCGTGCCCTCCGCTGGCCCTGAGGAGACCGCTGCTGCTGTTCCCGCCACTGGGGACACCCTGACTACCAAGCGTAGTTAACAAAGTGGGGGGCGCAACAGGCTGTGTCTCCAATGTGGCGATGGGGGGACCCACGCTGTCCCTGCCGACGGGGAGGCGAGGGCCGCAGGGCAAGGCGGGAGCCCCAGCGGGGACTGCAGGGGTCCAGCTCTTTGGGGCCACCCTTCCCCCAGGGCACCCCTCACTCGCGCCCACGCACGCGCAGACGGGAAATGAGACCTGCGAGGCCGGGCTCGGCCCTCCCCCTCTCTGGCAGCAGGCATGGGGTTTTATGAGTGCTACAAATCAGATATCACACAGTTTGGGGCTGACATGGTTTTTGCAAGAATTATTTAAGGCCCTGGCCGCCGGTAAAGTCCCAGGGAGAACGGGGCAGGGCGCACCCAGCTGCTGGGGCCGTCGGAATTCCAAACACTTCGTAAAGCTAAGGTATGAGCCGCGAGCACCTTGTTCTGTTTAACAGGCTGCTTCACCCCTGCCCTGGGCCGCGCGAGGGCTGCCGGGAACACCTCCCCCAGGCCAGGAGGAGGGGGCCGCCTGCAGCTGGGAAAGCTGGGGCCTGCCTGGGCGGCCCTGGCTCCAGGCTGAGAAGCTGAGAGGGAGTGAGTTGAAGGGTTGGCCCCGCTAGCATCTCCTCCCAACCCCGAAGCACTGCCCAGGGTCCTGCTGTCAACCCCACACACGGGGCCTGAGCCGCTCCTGGTGGTCTCCTGTGCTCCATCCTGGGCCCGGCTCGCTCCTCCTGGGGTCTGTGGCAAACTCTCGCAGGCCGGGACCATGCCCAGTGCCCACGCGCCGGGAGCACGGCGGTGTCCTCGCCTGGAATGGGCCTCACTCGGCATCTGTGACTGGTCAGTTCTGCCGGCCGAGCCTGCTGCTAACTGGGCCGTGTCACGGGCTCAGGCTGTCCTCTGGCTACTTCCCTGCTACTTCCCTTCAGTGGGCCCAGGCCAAGGCGGGGAGCGCAGATGTGCCCAATGTCACCACTGCCGGAGGAGGGACGGCCATGTGGGTGGCCCGGGGCACCCCAGGTACACCCCAGGAAGCTGCTCATGGGTACCCATTGGTGAGGAGGGTGCAGGGGGAGGCACACGCCAATTCATCAACCTCAGGGATGCGTTCAGGTTTCTATCCTGGGATATTTGAGCACTTCCATAATTATCCAAATACCAGTGGCGTCTCGTACTGACAGACAATGGCACCCTTCCTTCTGCGATCAGTGCTAAAACCCACGACACTGTCATCACGCAGAGTGCTGAGCAACCGCGCTGAGAATACGGGACGCACGGACACGAAGCCCTCCCAGTGAACCTGTGGGAAGGAGGCGAGCAGCATCGCGTGACCGGGACTGGCCCGGCTAAGGGGGCTCTGCAGAGCAGGGCCATGGGCTCCCCAATCTGGAGGGGAGGCTGCTCACTCATTACCTGGCCTCTCCACCCACTGAGTGCCCTGAACCAGGCCTCTGCCTCAGGGGTGCCCTCAGGGGAACTCAGAGGACTGTGCAAAGGTGGGCTTCGAGTCCCTGACGCTGCGTGGAGGGCCTCTGCCGTGCGGATGCCAGGCAGGAAGGAGTGGAGAAGCAGGAAGGGGCGTTACTGTCGGACCCAACGGGCCCATCCCTTTCCAGCCCCCAACTTCCCTGGGGTGACGGGGCCTGGACCTGTGGACCCCTGTCTCTGCGGGAAATGTTTGCTGCAGGTCCCACGGCTGCACCCTCCTGGGACAGGCTGCGGACCCTGCACATCTGAGCTTCTATGAATTCCATGTAGAATTCCATGGGATTTCTGGAATCTTCTGTCTCATGTCTCTCAGTGAGGGAGGATGGCAAAGAACGTCAGAGGGAAGGATGGGGTAGCGGCTCTGTCCTGGGCCTGAGGGACGTCTCTGAAGGCCAGCGCCCCCAGCCTCCCACCATGGGCGCCCCAGAGCAGGGGTCACTCTAGCCATGGGGTGAGCCCCCTAGGGTCTCAGCTTTGCAGAGCTGGGCCCAGGCCAAGGCAAGGAGTGCAGATGTGAGGGGGAGAACGGTGGGGGGTCTCCCACCCTCTCGCAGAGCTGGCTTTGTGCAGGGAGAATGCAGGCCTGGCCGGCCCTCCCCATTGGACACAGCGTCAGGGCCCCAGCGTCCACGGAGGCCAGGGCCAATCAAAGCCAGATGTCGGAGAAACAAGAAAAGCTGACTATTTTGACTAGAAAAAGCCCTATTTACAAAGAAATAATGAAGCGATTTGGGGGGACTGGTGCTGGGGATGATCTCAGACAGGGTGGGGTGGTGAACGCAGATGCCCAACAGGTCACTCAGGGCCCGTGTGTCCCCACCCGGCATGGTGTGGTCTCAGGCCTCGCAGGGTGCGGCTCCTGACAGGCTGAGCTGGGTGGGAACCTTGAGGGACGTCCCCTCAGACACCCAGACCCAGGAAGCAGCCGTATCTGGAGGCGCAGGAGAGGCTGGAACACGGGGGCCCCAGCAGTCCTGTCCACCCGGCATGCCATGGCAAAGTGCAGCGTCCACTATGGAGAGCATCCTAGGGCAGGCGGAGGGGTGGAAATGTGGTCAAAGAGAAGAATTCTTGGCCTTGAAAGGACTCTTAGCCGGCTACGGAGATGAGACGGGCACTCACGTACACCGCAGCCCAGGCCCTGGCCACCACGCACAGGGCACTGCAGGCATCGTGCTTGCTCCCAGGGCCCCAAGACGCAAAGGCGACAATGCAGGGAATTCTGGGGGTGCGGAGCTGTGAGCGGTGCTGGAGACAGAGAGGCAGGGACCGAGGGTGCGGCACCTGGGGAGGAGGAGGACAGAGACACGAAGATGGCAGAGAATGACAGGGAAGGGAGCATGCACAAGGCGGCCAGAGCCCTGGGGCTGGGCACCTCGGTCCAACCCCTGAGCCCCAACCCGAGCCCCAGCCCGGGCCAAGCTCCCAGCGCCCTGCAGGAACCGCCTGGGGGCCAGCCCAAGAGCAACACGCCATCCGCATCCACGCCTCTCCCCAGCTTCCAGGCCACTCGGGAGCCCACCTGCGCCCCTCGTGAGAAGCAGCCCAGGAAGATGTCGCCTTCATGAGCACACCATCTGGAGCTCCACGGTAGGGACGTCTGTGGAGCCGGCCCCATCCCTCGGCCGCCCTCAGGCACCTCTAGAGCCTGGGACAGTCACTTCCTCAGTGAGGCTACAGCAGCCTCACATGCACACCCCAGGCAAGAAAATGCCCGATCCCTCCAAGAGAAACGGCAAGTTCACATCCACGTAAAAATGTGCACACACGTGTGCACCACAACCTTGCTCACGAGAGCCAAAAGGCGGAAGCCGCCACGTGTCCACTGATGGACGGCGGATGAACACGCGGACCGTTCACCCAGTGGAGCACGACTCAGCCACAGAGGGAAGGAGATCCTGGGGCAGGCTGCGACATGGGTGCGCCCTGAAGATGCCACACCAAGTGAAATAAGCCAGACACGAAAAGCCACACAGACCCTGAGTGGTTCACTCATGAAACATCCAGAACAGGCCAATCCAAAGCAGACCAGTCATAGCCAGGGGCAGAAGGGAGCAGGGAGCTGGGAGCTCCAGCTAAGGGGTGCACATTGCTTTCTGGGTGATGAAAATGTCCTAGTAGGCTACACAACTCTGGGAATATACTAGAAGCCATTGAGTGGGTGGATTTTAGGGTATGTGAACTTCATCTCAATAAAGCTGTTTTTTAAAAATAGAAAAGAGCATCCCAAGGCCAGTGCTCTCTCAGATCACTGCAGCCACAGGCCTCCTGCTCTGGGGGACCCCCCATGGCCAGGCAGGGATGCCAGGCGGTGCTCGGCTCACGCCACCTGCCCACTCAGCCAGGCCCTGGCCAGGAGCACCCACCAAAGCCCGAGGAAGAGGATGGCAGCCTGGCTTTCCCACCTGGCCAAGCTGACTTCCTGAATCGGGCACTCACTCACTCACTCGTTCACTCAGCTAATACGGCTGATGGTTGCAGGAAAGGTGGGAGGTGGGAGGGCAGTCCCAAGATGGCAGCCACTACAGCTACCTTCAAGGGGCTGGCCTTCTCCAGCCTGTCCTCACTTTAAGCCCTGGGGTGGACCAGGAGGAACCGCTGTGTCCCTGGCCTTCGTCCCCTGCTGGAGGCCAGAAGATGGGAACCCCCAGTGCAGACAGGCAACCGCGAATGTGACTTCAGGTTCTAGACTGCAGAGGCATGTGTTGGCTTGAGGCAGAGGGGCCCAAGGAGGTGGGTGGGGGCAGGATGGGGCAGAGGAGGAGCCCAGGGAGCCAGGGACAGGAAGAGCCCACTCCTGCCCCAGCACCTGGCTGCTCATCTGCCACCAGGTACGGAAGTGATGCCATAGATGGGACACTATCAAGCCGCCCCAGGAACACTGCCAGCTCCCAAAGAGGAGAACCAGATGCCCCAGATGCCCTCAGGAGGCATCTGGAGGCGCAGGAGAGGCTGGAACACGGGGGCCCCAGCAGTCCTGTCCACCCGGCATGCCATGGCAAAGTGCAGCGTCCACTATGGAGAGCGTCTTAGGGCAGGCGGAGGGGTGGAAATATGGTCAAAGAGAAGAATTCTTGGCCTTGAAAGAACTCTTAGCCGGTTAGGGAGATGAGACGGGCACTCACGTACACCGCAGCCCAGGCCCTGGCCACCACGCACAGGGCACTGCAGGCATCTCTGCAGGGCCCCAAGACGCAGAGACGACAATGCAGGGAATTCTGGGGGTGCGGAGCTGTGAGCGGTGCTGGAGATAGAGAGGAGGGGACCGAGGGTGCGGCACCTGGGGAGGAGGAGGACAGAAGACAGAGGGGTTTCTGCTCCATTCCGGCAGCTTGGCTCTTACCTGGAGCTGCCAGGGCATGGGCTCCTGTGGGCCGTAGAGCTGGGCCCATCATGGCTATAAACTCATCAGCATAGAGAAGTGGGGCCGTCCAGCTATGAGCACAGCCCGGTGCGGTCCCGAGGGCCCTCCACCCCTTCCCATGCACGCAGCATGGCACTGCCTGGGCCTTGCATCACCCCTGCATGGCAATAAATGAACATGAATGGGGACACGGAGCAGCGCTGTCGGCTCTCTCCCTCGTCCTGTTGCCTTTGTCTCTGGCTGTCCCCGACCCTGCTCCCAGCTGGAGATGTCCACGAGGGGAAGGGCTGTCATGTTGGGGGCGACCGAGGCAAGGCCGCGGGCCCACTTGCTATCTCTTGGGTCAGGGTCCCTCTCCCACTCCTGCCACGCTGAGGATGTCCAGACACAGGCGGGAGTGGTCCTGTCAGCCTTGGGAGATGCATCTTTCCGGGCGAGTTCCTTCTGCAGGAACAGCCTGTTTGGGTTGGACAGGGGTCTTGCCCAGGTGTGGGGGTGGTGAGGTTGACGCCCGGGCCGGAGGGGCCCTGTGAGACCCTCTCTGGTCCCCATGCATGAAAGAGCCTGTGTGAGCACATGCGCCACGACAGTGGGCCCTCGTACTGGGGAAAAGACAGACCTGCCCAGGTGCTGCTCCCTCCCTCCCTGAGCCTCCAGGCAGGAGCGGGTCACGGGAGCTGGCGCGTCCAGCCGGTCCCTTCTGTGGGCTGTGTGTGTGCCTGAGGTGGTGGGAGCAGACCCCCAGCTGAACCCGAGCATCCCACTCCACCCAGGGCCCTTCCTGTGGGCCCTCCCCGCACAGCCCTGGTTGGCTACCCCAAGCTCAGCTCCATGGGTGCGGCACGCAGGGCTCTTGGAGAGGCCAAGCCTTCCAGACCCTGAGTGGGGCCGCCTGCCCACCCCGGCCTGCTCCGCGCTCCTCTGCAGCAGGCATGTGAGGTGGGTGTGGATGCTTTGGGGAAGACTACCCAGTGACATGGCTAGGTCATGCCACACGCGGCTGGGACAGATACCCGGGGGCCTCAGTTCTGACACCCGGCTCAGACCAGAAACCATTGGTCAAGTCAACGACCCAGAAAGTGGGGTCTTGTGTGAATCACCCACCCCCGCCGAGGACTGGCAGCCCTGTTTCTCACGCTGGACCGCCACACGCCCGTCCCTATCCCCCATTCTTCAAGAAATGCGCCCAGCCTCACCCCGTGCTCATCCCCGCATTTTGGTCTTGCCTCCATCTGGGCACCCCCTGGGACTGGGCCCAGGCCACGCACTTGGCAGGCCCCTGAGGCTATTATCTCCCCTAAGGCCCGGCCCTCAGCCAGCCCCTTACCGGGGTCAGTGGGCTGCCATGCAGAAGGATGCCCAGTGACGACTGGGGAGTGAGGGAGCCCCTGGTGTGCTGTGGAGATGGGGGTGCAGTAGCTCCCCAGCCCCTTTCTCCTCCCTGGCAGGGAGGCCTGTGGGAGACATGGGGGCTGCGACGGGACAGCACAGGCCGGGGTGAGACAGGGCGGGAGGAGGATCTGGAGGCCGGGGCGGCTGGAGCCGGAGTCAGGGCTGCGTCTGGGGGTGGCGGCCGTGATGGAGTGTGCCTGGTGCGCTGGCCGCCAGCAGGGCTGCTAACGGCCCCTGTGTGCGGGGCTGGACGTGCCGTGGATGAAGGATGGGATTCCTCTTCCCCTGCCGTGAGTTAGGGTCCTCAGAGCTCTAGGCCCCATGAATTATTTCTCTAAGGAAAACACAGTTGACTCCATTTCTCCGGCTCTACTTCCTGACCTTCCCCATCCCTTTAAATCAACACTGAAGGGTGAGCTTGCCCGGGCCTTCACCCCCTAGCCGAACACTTCCCCCGCCACACCCCCTCCTGCCTGCACTCCGGGCTGGGGGAGGGGAGGCTGAGCCAGCTGCCACGCCATCTCCTCTTGCAAGACCCTCGGAAGGCTGCCCAAGCAGAAGGAAAAGCCAGGACCCTCACTCAGACCACAACAGGCCCACGCTGCAGATCAGGGTTGGTCCCAAGGCCACGTGACACCTGTGTTCTTCTGAGCATTCGCATGGGGAGGCTTACACGGCAAACCCAACTTCGTGCAAGAAAGCCGCGCCGTGGGCTTTCCCCCAGACGCCCGAGTGCGGCTCCGTCCTGGTCAGGGTGGAGCGCAGATGGCTCCCGACGTACACGTGGGCCCTGGTTTTGATTCCCAACCCCAAAGCCGGAGCTGCCCGCACACAGCAGGGAGGGGGCCTTGCTCTGGCCTCCATGTTGGATTTTCTCGGGAAGCACTGGAACCAAGGACAGACTAAGAAAAACAGAGGGGCCCCCAGGCCTCTGCAACCCGTCCTGAGGACGCACCAGCTGCCGCATGGAGACGGGGCCAGAAGGGGCTCTGGAGGCCCTGGGCCTCACCAGATGCAGGGGTTCTGGGAAGAGGGGCTGGAAACCTTCCGGGCTCCTTGGAAGGTTCTGAATAAGACATCATTAAAACCAAAAATCAATTCTGTATCCAGCTCAGGGCCCCCTGGAGGCTGCCCCGGCTGGCCTGTCCAGCTTTGCTGGAACGGGAACCCAGGCCAGTCTGCCAGGTTCAGGCCCCAAAAACGGCGGCCGGGCAACCCCCTTTTGCTCCCACAGGCCAGGCCAGGCTAGGAGAGGCAGCACAGAGCCTCTGGCAGGGCCACAGGCTTCCACGCAGAACCCTTTAGACAAGAATCAGAGCAGGGGCCGTGCGTCCTGACCTGCCCTGGGCCGACAGAACAAGGGTCTAGACCCAGGCATCCACCCAGACACTGCGAGGCCACTGGGCACCTCCAACAGGATGCTCAAGCCCACCCTCTCCTCTCTCGACCTGTCCACCCCCAGGGCCGAGAAGCCCACAGAACTGTTTTGCAGTGGTTGCTGGCCACACCTTGCCCCCTGCCCTAACCACCTTTCCAGGCTGGGTCCTCCCTGTCCCCTAGGCCCAGCCCCGGGCCTGTGCCCGACGGCACCTCTCCGCCCGACGGCACCTCTCCGCCATGGCTCTCCTGAGACACTGCTGCCCTCGGATCCCTTCCCGGCCCTTCTCGGGTTCTTGCTGCCAACAGTGCCAAACCGAAACCCACAGGCGGGCCGGAGTTCCCTCACCAGGCCCCCTGAGGGCTGCTGCCCTGGCAGCCCCTCCCCAGAACTTCTGTCCAGGCCAGGCCGTTCTCTCACCCGGCGCCGCCCCGTGCTCACGCTGACCCCTCCATTCCTCCCGACGCCTCTGGGCTCAGGCTCTGAATGTGGGCGCTCAGAACTATCTTCTGGGTCTTTTCACCTGCGTGTCTCATTCCCCACCTGGCATGCAGCTCCGAGCCTGTGTGTGGCCCTCTCTGGCCAACCCGCCTCCCCAGCATGGGGCCACGTCTCAAGTCTGCCCACCCTCAGTTCCCCGTCAACTCAGAGACCAGACCCCGGCCGCGCCCACTGCCCAGACCCTGGGAAAGCGGAGCCAGGCCACGTGGCGCTCAGAGCTGGGGGGTGGCTGCTGCGTGTCTGGCACCCAGAGACCCAAGAGAAGAAGGAAGCAGAGCTTCCGGCTCTTTCTCCTGCAGCAAGACTTTTATTTAGGTGTCGGGACTGCTCTGCCACAGCTGCCCACCTGGGGCGCGTCCCTGCTGGCCGCCCCGTCACGGCCCGAACCAGCTGGGGATGCCGCCCCGCCGCGGGTCGCTGCTCTGCCACAGCTGCCCACCTGGGGCGCGTCCCTGCTGGCCACCCCGTCACAGCCCGAACCAGCTGGGGACGCCGCCCCGCCGCGGGTCGCTGCTCTGCCTCTGCTGCCTCTCCTCCTCGAGCATGCTGTAGAGGTCGTCGGCAGCGCTGCCTTCAGGGCTCTCGTCTTTCTCGGGAAACAGATCTGGGAACGTGAAGGTCTGTCCATGGGCCTAAGGGGGAGAACAAAGGCTCCAGCCAGAGCTGCAAAGACTCCTCAGCAGAGGGGTCTGTGGGGGAGCCTCATGCTTTCTGGCAGCCCCTTTCTGCCGGCGCCGGATTCAACTGCTCAGAGGTACCTCCCTGGGCCTCCTGGGGCAGCGTCCCTGCCTGGAATGTAAGCACCCCCACGGCCACCGGCCCCCGGCTGTCACGCTGCAGCAGAGGCCACAGCTCCAGGACAGGGCCGCTTTCCCCACCATTGTCTCTTTAGGGCCTGGTGTCTGCCCCCGCCCTGGGTGCACCCATTTACTAGCACGGGGCCACCTGGTTGGTGGGGGGCAGAAACAAGGCATGGAAAAACATGACACAAATCACGTCTGGTACCATGCTGAACCTGTCCATCCAAAATGCCTCAGGCTCTACTCACATTAAAGCTCCCCCTCCTCCCAGCCCAGAGCCTGGCAATTAAAGTGAACATCACGTACGAAGAAACATGCACGTGCGGCAGTTGATAAATCAGGACCGGCTCTGCCAATTAACTGGTCTTACATCTTCTGCTGAGAGTTCAGAATATGTCCGTGTCAGCCAAGCCCCAGCCCAGGCCACAGCATGTGGCTCGGGTTCACGAGAAGGAGGGGATACTGCTCCTTGGGGACCTAAGCAAATACAAGAAGCCATCTTAACTTGCTAATGATTACTAAGTGCTCCAAAGCTAAGAGGCAGAAAGAGCAGACCAGAGGAGAGGGAAGAGAAGAGGGAGGAGGAGTGAGGATGGCACCCGAATCTGGAACCCTTTAGTGAGTAAAATCAGTCAGGTACACTTGGCTCTTGCAGACCCTTTGTGTGTAAATAAATCTGGATGTGGGCAGGCAGCCAAGTATGATCTGAAACAGGCCCAGATCCCACCCTGCGAGGGAGGTGTATGCACCCTGATCCCTGGCGCAGAGCGCAGGGGCTGGCGGGGAGAGTGGCACTGCGTGCGCCGTAGCCGGCCTGCAGGAGGATTGCCTTACACAGCTCTGAACTTTGCGTCTTTTAAAATACCAAGGGGCAGTCGTTTACACGTGAGGCTGACTGCCCAGAATGGGAGATTCACCTTGACTATATGGAGGTGATTCTGCTAGTTTTCCGAGGCAAGGGGAACCCAAAATGACAGTTTAAAGCACAAACATGGCCATTTGTCACAGCTTCGGGAAGAAATGGGGAAAGGTGCTGAGAGAAAATCCGTTTCTTACAGGAGACAAACACCGTTTGGGGATGCCAAGCATGGTTTCCCAGGGGCTTCCCCTTTCTAGAAGAGTTCACCTTGTACCTAAAAAAAAAAAGCCCTTGATCCTTCCAAAAAGGAGAGAGACAGCTGATCGGGGTAAAGAACAGGAATGGAGAAAAATGTCCCAATGACAAGTAAACAAGGCAGCCCTGCCTTCAGGAATCCCAGGGCGCCCTGGGGGCTGCCGCCTGCCTGGACCTGGAGGCCGGAGCCCCGAGCACGGAGCTCGGCCCAGCTGGCGGCAGCGGTTTGTTCTGGAGTTGCCTCTCATGTCGTGCGCCCTTCATTCCTGCGCGCCCTTCATTCCCGCGCTGCTCAGCATCCACACAAGCCTCGGGGCAGCGGGCAGTCAATGGTCTTTTTGTTGTGTGGGTCACTGAGGCGCTGCTTTCAGCTCCCAGGACTTTGGGCCAAGGAGATGCTTATCAGGTTGTCGGAGAAAGAAATGTGGGACTCCCGCCACGTGGGACAGGGCCTTTCCACAGCGGCCAACTCCAAATAACGTGGATAATTTTACCTTTCCAATGCTCCCTCCCTGGGCTTTGCAATTAGCAGTGATTCTAAGCCCTGGCGCAGGGCCCAGGGGGACACGCTGAGCAAGGTCTCAGCAGACACGAGACAGGAAAGGGCCTTGAGAGTCCCCTCTGCGGGCAGACAGGGACCAACGGCCACGGCCCATTTCTAGGCTGTGCAAAGATGTGCTGGAGTTCAGGAAGGGGGGTGAGGACCCGTTACAAATTTTCATTCTGGAACAGGAGGATCCATGCCCAACTGGGACCCTTCAGGCTCCCAGTTGCCCTGCCCTGTCTCTGGCTGCCTGGACTTCACAGAGGGAGAACAACACGCGGGCAGCAGCTGCAGACACCGGATCCCGGAGCTGCTGGGTTCAGTTTTCATGGGAGGTGGGGCCCAGAGGAAGAACGCAAGGGCTCGGATGACTTGAATGCCACTTGTAACCGTAGCTGCCTCTGAAGTGCCCGTGGCGGTGCCGGCACACGGGATGTCCACCCACATGCCATGACAAAGACAGATGGGCCCGACTGACACTGAGCACACAGAGGCCTTTATGAGGCCAACGGCTGCTCTCCCCACCTGGATTGGCTGATTTCATGCACAGCAAATATCAGGCCAAATTATTCCGGGGGCCCCTGTTTAGAACAACAAATGTGACTGTTTTTCAGAAAAGCTGCCATGCTAACTTGGCCTTTTTCACAAACTGCCTCCTTAGCCCCACAACAGGCCGGCTGGCCCAGGAGGCGGTTTCCACCATCGTGTGACTGCCATCTAGTGGCAGGGCCCGCCGGCTCGGCCTCCAGGGACCATTTACACCGGAAGACAACCCCATCCCCACCCAGTAAGGCCAGCCCCAGGGGCAGAGTGGGGAGGCCCAGGAGGCGGCCGGGGCAGGCTGTGGACATCTTGGCCCAGAGAGAAAGTGCCTCTGGGTTTGCCTGGGACTCAAAATGAAGAGCCCAAAGAAAGGCTTTGAAACTGTGGGTCTCACTCCTGACAAGTCTGGGTTTCAGAAACTGAAGGCCCAGGCAACGTGGGGTGAGGGTTCTTCCTCCCCAGAGCCCCCCAGGATACGTAAGAAAGCACCTGCTCAGAAGCAGCCTGCTGAGCCCTAACAAGTACGTGGGACCTGCTACCCTGCAATGCAGGACATGGGCCTCAGCCAACAGCCCGGCCAGCCAGACCTGCCTTGGCACCAAAGACCTTTGCCCTCAGGGGCCTCACACTCTGCCTCCGAGGCTGAAACCCAGCCAAGGACAGGCTCTCCAGAGGCCGGGGCCTCCCATGCTCTGACACCCTGGTGTGCGTTGGAGTTGAAACCCACTAGGCCTGTGATGGCTGCCTTTGCCCACAGAGAATTCAAACTTCAAAATCACAAAACGGCCGGACGCTGAGACGTGCCCCATGTGCCCCAGTGCTCACGTGCTCCCAGCGCCACCACTAACACCCCCAAGGCCGTGACGGAGCATGACCTTATGTGGAGCCTGCCTCTGCGCTGAGGCCCTGAGATCCGGCCTCACGGGGGCTCCCTGGGCCCCAGCGCAGCGTCTCCGGCACAAACATCCCCAAGGACACAGTTGCGAGGAGCCCCTCGGAGGCCCCGCTGGGGCTGGCCAGCTCACACGCACCAGCTGCACGTAGGCGACCTTGTAGTCCGGCTTCTTGATCCTCACGTTTCTGTGATCTCTTCTCTTGTTAGAGCCTGCCGGAAGGGAGTGAAAAAAAAATCAGAACTTTAAAAAAATCAGAACTTTAAAAAATTACATCCTCAGAGGTCAATGCCACTAAAACGAACCTCTGCTCTCTTAAAAATGTAAATATGTTTTTAAAAACTCAAAAAGGCGATTTCTCAGGGAAATGGGCACTGTAATCAAACGAGCCAGCACAGCAGGCTCCCAGGCTCCTCCCTTCTCCCAACAGAGGCCAGCAGGTTCTCAACAAAGGAGCGGACGTGGCACCAGCCAGGGCACACGACAGGGGCTTATGGAACAGACAGCGCTTTGCTCCCCAGCCTCAGCCACTGCAGTCCCACCTCGGGGGCTGACGGCAGGAGTCAGGGCTCAGAATGGACCCCGGGCCAGCCCAGTTGAATTCCAATCCCTGCTCTGGCACGTAAGCACCGTGTGACCCTGACAAGTCACCCTGTGCCTCAGTTTCCCATGAGCCACGTCAGACCAAGACCCCCATGCAGTAGCTGAGGCTGTGGCTCGGCGAGGTGGGCATGTGGCACAGATGGGCACGACACCAACAGGAGAACCTCCCATGGGCACTCACCATGCTGCACCCGTGTCCGCACAGCAGCCACGGGCACGTTATAGATGCCCTCGAGGTAATTCCTGAGGTCCACCCTTGTCATTCTGGAGGCGAAGGAGAAAGAAAACGGCATCTTAACCAGGCTAAAAGCCAAAAATACTGTCCCAGATGCACAAGCACCCGAGGCTGAGAGGCCGACAGACCAAGACCCACAGGGGGCAGGGAGGAGGGCTGGGTACATCAGCGGCACTAGTGAGGCCAGGCAGCCCCAGCAACACCAGTGCTGCTGGCTGCAAGACTCCCTACTCTGGGCACACCAGCATGGGGTGGCAGTGGCACAGACCCCACAGAGTGGGAGCACTGCCCAACCAACCCCTGGCCTGCTCCACAGCCCCACATGGCTCCCTGCTCCGGGCAAGTGCCTGTGAGAGGAGGTGACAGTCTCTGCACGCTCCTGGCTGGCAGGTGCCCCACCTCGTCTGCCCCGGGGCCCAGTGGCCGCATCAGGGTTAGGCCTGCTCTGCGGCTGATGGGACTGATGCGGTTCTAGGAAGTACCTTCTGGAAAGGCCTGCCTGGCATTCGGTGCGTTAACTGCAAGTTCCCTCTACTGCAGAACCTCACGGTCACTGTCAACTCAGCTTCTGGGCCCCTGCAGGCTGCACAGGCCTGACCTTCGCCCCCAGGGGAGCTCACGCTGCTGCCCCGCCTGGCTCGCATCAACCCTGAGCTGGGGACCTGTGAACTTAAACACTGCAGAGCAGCACCCCAGTTTTGCTCGTAGGGACTGTGCATTTCTCTGAAGGTCAAGCAGGCTCTTCTGAGCGGTTCTGTACATCACGGCCTGCTCCCAACCCAGCCTCTCAGGGCGCCTCTCCTAAAAAGAAGCTGCAAGAACTCAACAGAAGACGCGAGCACAGAGGTCCAAATTTTAAGGCTTCCAGTGAAGCCGTCCCCGGGTGGAGGGCGGCGTGCAGCCTGCCTGCCGGGCTCCACACCTACAGGCACTCCATCAATACTTGCCGGGCAGGGCCGCCTGAGGTGCCTTCCCAGCAGGAAGAGGCTAGCACGTGAGCAGAGTTGTTTTAACTCAGGACCCAGGCCCCCCTGAGGGCACTCTCCCAACCCAGCGGGAAAACTTCCGGGCTCACTCCACGGGGATCCCCCCGAGGGTGCTCCCCAACCCCAGCCGGAATCCTCCCGGACTCACTCCATGGGGATCCGGAACTGCACGGTGTCCTCGGGCTGGGCCACACCGGGCCGCACCAGCTGAATGAAGAAGTTGGTTCGGAACACCCGAAGTTGTGGGCCACCCAGCCGGTACAGGGGGTACCTGTACAGAAGAGATTGGGTCCATGTCACACACTTAGGCCAAGGCAGCCCGACACACCAACCCTGCAGACCTCCGAGTGTCCACTCACAACAGGGTGGGCAGAAAAGGGGGTAGCTAACACTGCGGATCCCTGAGTGTCCACTCCCAACAGTGGTGGGCGGGAAACGGGGTAGCTAACCCTGCAGACCCCCGCGTGTCCACTCCCAACAGTGGTGGGCGGGAAACAGGGTAGCTAACCCTGCAGACCCCCGCGTGTCCACTCACAACAGGGGTGGGCGGGAAACAGGGTAGCTAACCCTGCAGACCCCCGCGTGTCCACTCACAACAGGGGTGGGCGGGAAACGGGGTAGCTATCAGCAGGTCACCACCCAAGGACACAGAGGTCCCCACAGCCCCTTTCTCACATGGGCCTGCCAAGGTGGACGGCCAGTCCCTAGCATCGACTTAAGGAGCATGCGCTGTTGACCCCCAAGGTCAGACTTTAGAAAAGGCCAATGGACAAAAATCAGAACCCCGCAGACAGCATTCCCCCAATAAGCTGATGGCAAGGCTCAAAGACGTGTGTTGGGGCACTGATACCCCTGGGAGAGCAGACCCCACGCGGCCGGCCCACTCTCCTGCTGCTCGGGTGAAGTGGAGCTGCAGAGAACCACACACCATGGGACAGAAAAGGCCAGCTCCGCACTCTCCCGGTGGCAGCAGGGCCTAGCTCCTCGGTATGGAGAACGCAGGCTAACCAGGCTTAGGCTCCTGGAAGACGGTGCTGCCAAGACTCTGATTCAGTACACTAAATGTGAGTTGAGTGCACCACACCCCAGCACTCCACTAAAAGCCAGCAGAGGCAGATGGAGAGGTGCCAAGTGGCCACCGCAAACTAGACCAGCACGCTGCCTGGGCTGGGGGGCCAGGTGACGATCGTGCAGAATCTCTAGCCAGTTGGTTTCGTGCATTCTCCCACGTTCAGCTGGGTGGACAGGCAGCACCGTCCTACCGTCCCCCACCCCCGTTCCCGCCCCTGCCACTGCCGGCACACCCTGGCTCTATCTGGGCCTCAGAGCTGGGGGGAGGAGGGGCACAGGAGAAACTCAGGCCTGCTGGGTCTCGGGGGATGTGGGGTCTGAGAGCCTAGGTGCAGGTCTTGGTGGACGGGGAGCACAGGGGCTCTTGAGGGGTCTCTGGTGGCCTTATCTGAGGCACTGCACATGGCCCTGGCCTTGGGAGCACCCAGCACCAAGTTAAGAGGGGCTCCGTGAGGCCAACGCTGCCCCAGGCTTCACATGAATTTCACGCTGGCCTCTGCCTGTCTAGGGAAGATGAGGAGGAAGTGAGGGTCAGAGGCCTTGGGTGGGGTGTTCCTGAAGGGCCAACAGTGGTAGGCAGCACTGAGCCTCTGGGCCTGAGGGCCTGGCAGGGGCCAGGAGCTGCTGGGACCTCTCAGAGGCAAGGCGCCTGTAACAAAGCCCGATCACTAATCATGTCCACCCCAGGCCTCCTGATGACCACACTGACACATGGCAGCCTGGTGGCCGGGCCAGTGGGGCTGAGTCTTCACTCACCCAACCCCAGCAGAGCCTCCTCTTGGGCATGGCCTTGGCCTTTCCAAGCCTCAGAGTGCAGCCTTCAGGGGTGGGCCCCAGTGAGAGGCCGAGAAGAAAGGGTGGGCTCTGGAGGTGGAGGGGCCTGACTTGTTTTACCCACAGGTTCAGGCTAGCCATGGCCACCCGAGGGGCTCACACATTCCCTCTGGTGACCAGCTGTGGGACTGCAGGAGTGGAGACAAAGTTTGGGGACTCCCAGTAAACAGTAGAAAAGAGGGTTCAACAGCTCCCAGGCCATTAATTTTCGAGTCTCCAGGCTTGGGGCCTGAAGGGCACACTTTGCTAAGGGTCTGAAGGGCCATGTGTGGGCTTGAGATGAGAGGCTGGCAGGGGTTGGGCCAGGACGATTCACTGTCCTTGTTCCCACAGGCCGAGCCTCTCCAGGCTGGAGCGCCAGCTGCCTGTGCATGGAGCCTGCAGATCTGGAACAATCTGCACTGTCGACACCCAGGGCCCCAGGACAGGGCTCTAAGGCCTCTCTTTTGTTCTCGAACCCTTGTGGGCCCACCAGCCCTCAGTTCCCTCAGTCCCACTCTCCCCAGGGAGCACCCCAAGCACTCCGCATGGGATTTCACAAGCACCTCCACGGTAACCTATCTCAAGTAGAACTCTGCACTAACTTCTTCCTCAAAACACAAAAACCTGGCTCACTGCCACCAGCCTGCCTCCCCACGGCCCCACGAGTGACTCACCCAGGATCCCACCCTCTCGGCACCCCCACCCCAGCTGCATCCAGTCCACAGCAAGTCCAGTCAGCGCTCCCTGCAAAGGCTCCCTGGCAACAGGAGTGTGTGCACTGCTGGGCGAGCGGGCCCCGCTGCCTCCAAGGCAACCACACCTGATCCGTTTCCAGGGGCCCACCACCCTTGGCCCTTCAGGAACACCCCACCCGGGTCCTCTGACCCTCACTTCCTCCTCATTCTCCAGGGACAGGCGAAGGGCCAGCGTGGAATTCACGTGAGGCTCAGGGCAGTGTTGGCCTCACTCAGACCTTTTCTTCCTTGGTGCTGGGTGTTCCCCAAGGTCAGGGCCACGCGCAGCACCGGTCCCAGGTGTCTGCTGAAGGAAGCCTCCTCCACTGGGGGTCCCACCTGCCACCCTCCCCTCTCTCCCCAGCTATGTGCAGGGGCCTCCAAAGCCACACCCTGGCCCCTTGACCGTCCCTCTCCAGAAACACTGATTACTGTTCTCCAAAACCCACCCGGGAGCCCACATCTACTGATTACGCCTGAGTCATTCGTTCACCAAGAAATATGCAGGGCTTCCTGCTTCAATTTGGGGAGGGCGAAGTGGTGCAGGACAGCGCCCCGATGGCCCCCTGGGAATCCAGAGAACATGCAGAGTGGGCGTGGGGGGTCTGGGCTGAGCAGAACCGGGCCTCCCGCCCTGCCTGCCCCAAAGCCCTGAGGGCTGCGGTCAGCTGCCCTTTCCCACTCAAACCCAATCTGGATTCCCAGCTCCTCTGCCTCAGGCCGCGCCCGCGCTGCGGTGGGGGCCGCCCGGGCCTCCCCGCCTGGACCCAACAGCCGACGTGGCCCCCGCCCCGTGACGATCAGAAACGTCTCCAAACAGCTCCCTCGGCCCTGGCTGCGGGACCAGCCCCGGGCCTGACCCCGGGCCACCCTCCCACTCCCCACGCGGGGGCACCGTGGCCTCCATGGGTTTGGCTCGGACCCTCTGTCCCCAGCCCGGCCACGCCCGCCCCCTGGGGTTGCCCTAAACCTGGCGGGGGGCTCCTCCGCCACCCGCCTCGCGTGTCTCAAGGCATGACAGGGGGTCCCGGAGAACCCTGCCTCGCCCGGGCCAGGAGGCGGCCCAGGGACGCCCACCCCGCTCCCCGGAGTCCGCGCGCCCTGTGGGGTCCGTCTGCTTGTGACACTAAGGGGCGCCCCGCGACGGGGGGGTGACGACCCCTACTCACACCACATTCCGCGCCATGGCGGCCACGCGCGCTTCCGGGGTCCGCGAGGCGGAAGGAGCAGCGCGCCCGCCCCGCACGGCCGCCGCCTGGCACAGCGCCCCCTCGCTTCCGGAGGCCGCGCCGCCCCCCCCGCACGCGCCAGCGCCCGTGCCGCGCGCCCGTGCCGTCCCCAGCCCTGCGCCCGCCCCGCCCCGCGCCGCCTTCTTCTCCCTCCCTGCCCCCCTCCTGTCCCGCACCCCACGTTCCTCCCCGCCCCGACCCCCACTCCCCGCGCCGCAGACTCCACAGGACGCGGGGCCGCAGCAGTCCCGCCCCGCACTCCCGGCCCCACAGCCTGAAGCCCGGGCCCGCGCCCCTGCTGCTCGCGCCCCGCCCACGCCCGCACCCCTCCCAGCCCCAGAGACCTCCCGCCGCCGTCGCACTCTTTCGGGCCTGTCTGCCCTGCCTCCCGGGACCCCGGCCTGCACGCCCCCCACACCCGTGCCCCTGCCCTTTGGCAGCTCCAGGCCACAGCCTGGCCCCGCACCGCTGCGCTTGCAGCTGCTGGGAGCTGGAAGTGGAGAACCGGGGCTGTAGTGCTGGGGAGGGCGGGTCCCCGGGCCTGGGGTCTGAAGCCCCTCTCTCCATCTGGCTGTTTTTACCCGGGAGCCCGGAACCCCAGGGCCCCTCACCTCGCCCTTCTGGCCAGCCCGGTTGGCAGCCCCCACGCTGGCCACACCAGCCACGCTGTCCATCCTCGGTGCTCCCACCACGCCTCCTCCAAGAGGGCCACTGGCCTCTTCAGGCCTTGCCGTTTGCTCACCCCCTCTCCACCCTTCTGGCCAGCCCCCTCCAGCCTCTGGCAAGGCCCTCTCTACAGGGACCCCCGTCCAAGGCCCAGTCCTCACTCCTTTCCTTGGGTAGTGCTGGCCAGGAGGGCTGCTGGGACCCTTCGGGAGTAGAGGGCAGCAGCCTCCCTCCCCTGTCCCCAGGCCTCTCCCTCCTCCCCTGGTTTCCTCTGCCTGGTGGCTGGATTCAGGCCACTTCTCCATCTATCTCTTTAACTGCCCGTGCCCCCCACCCCCAAGCCTGGCTTGTTCCCGCACCCAACAGCACCCTAAGTGTTCTTCAGAGCAAGAGGCAGGGGTGTCATGCTTCAGAGCAAGAAGCGGGGCCATGGGTCCTGGTTGTTGCTGGGGGCAGGGGGCCCAGGCCTGCAGGTGGGAACAGGGCTGCGGGAGGGCACTGGGGTTGATGGAAATTCAGGAGGAGGAGAGGGCACTGTGCCCCTCCGAGGGCCTGGGCCGGGTAGGGCTGGAGTTCCTCCTGATGGGTGGGTTTGAGTGGAAATGACTCCAGGGGGTCTATCTAGCATGAAGGCATTGAAGCAGGATGGAGTGAGAAGTGGGCCAGAGTGGGCAGGGAAGGTGGTGGCAGCCGTCCCCACTGTTGTCCAGGCCTGCGTGAGGTGGAGAAGCTCCAGGCTGCCAGTGGCAGGGTCCCAGGAGGCTGGTGACCAGACAGGCCTTTGCCCAGCAGCAGGTGCCCTTGGCCAGGCCCAAGGAGCAGACCGCAGGACAGGGATGGAGCTGGAGAAGGGGGGTCCTGGGGCCGGGGGTCCTCAGGCTTCCTTTTATGTTCATGCAATGCTGCCTCTTTCGGCAGCCACATTGTGCAGTGTGCTTAGAGATATGTGGCTGCTGGAAGTTGGGTTCAGAGTTGTGGGTGGCCGATGTGGAGAGGAGGGTGATTGGAGGCCGAGCTGTGGGTCACGGGTGGGTGCTGCTCAGATCACTGGGGCTGCTGGAGGGCGGCGGTTGAGCTAGGAGCTGAGGTCCTTCCTCAGGGCGAGGCAGGGGTGGGGTCACAATGGAGCAGACCCCTCACCACTCCTTCCATCCCTGTTTCTCTGATAGTCTGCTAATGGGATCCTCCGGAAGGCATGCTAAGTATGGGGGGTCTCTGAGATGCCTGGGGAGCCAGTGGAGACCTCCTCTTCCTCCTTCCCACCTGCCATTGAACACAAATGCCAGCGCGGCTTCCGCTCTGCCTGCCTCTCCTGAGATCAATGGTCTGCACGGGGTTGAGGCTGCCAGATAAATACAGGCCCAGTTAAATCTGAAGTTCAGATAAACAACTAATAAATTGTCATTTTATTTTTATTTGTTTATTTATTTGAGACAGAGTCTCACTCTCACTCTGTCGCCAGGCTGGAGTGCAGTGGCGCGATCTTGGCTCACTGCAATCTCTGCCTCCCGGGTTCAAGCAATTCTCCTGCCTCAGCCTCCTGAGTAGCTGGGATTACAGGCGTGCGCCACCATACCCGGCTAATTTTTGTATTTTTAATAGAGACAGGGTTTCACCATGTTAGCCAGGATGGTCTCCATCTCCTGACCTCGTGATCCGCCCACTTTGGCCTCCCAAAATGCTGGGATTATAGGCGTGAGCCACTATGCCTGGCCCTTATTTTATTTTATTGTATTTTATTTTTTATTTTTTGAGACAGGGTCACGTGTAGCCCAGGCTGGAGTGCAATGGCACAGTCTTGGCTCACTGCAGCCTCCACCTCGTAGGTTCAAGCAGTTCCCCTGACTCGGCCTCCCGAGTAGCTGGGATTACAGGTGCGGGCCCCCACGCCCAACTGATTTTGTATTTTTAATAAGGATGGGGTTTCGCCACGTTGGCCAGGCTGTTCTCGAACTCCTGACCGCAGGTGATCCACCTGCCTCGGCCTCCCAGAGTGCTAGGATTACAGGCATGAGCCACTGCACCTGGCCCAATAATTGGTCCTTTTTAAGTAGACCTTATCTTTTAGAGGAACTTTGGGCTTACAGAAAAATTGCTCAGGGAGTATACAGAGTTCCCACAGACCCCCTCTCCTTGAGTGCCCCTCCATTATTAACATCTTGCATCGTGTGGTGTGATCTGTTCCAATTGATAAACCAATACTGATGCATTACTATTAAGTCCAGAGTTTACCCCCAGGTTTCATCCTTGCAAAATGTCCTTTAGCCACCACTATGGTGTCACACAGAAGTGTCACTGCCTGAAAAGCTGCCTCTGCCCTGCCTGTGCATTCCTGCCTCCCCCGGCCCCTGGCAGCCCTGGCTCTTTCCACTGCCGCCTTGGCATTGCCCTCTCCAGGCTGTGGTATCATTGGAATCATACAGCACGTAGCCTTTCGAGATTGGCTTCTTGCCATGAGTGAGATGCAGCTAGGGCTCCTCTGGGTTTTTTTGTGGTTTCATAGTGCATTCTTTTCGGGCCGGATATTGTTCCATTGTCTGGATGTACCTCGGTTTATCCCTTTGCCTACGGAAGGACTTCTTGTTTACTTCCAAGTCTCGGCAGTAATGAATAAAGCCTCTGCAAACATGTGTGTGCAGGTTTTAGGGTGGACACAAGTTTTCAATTCATTTGCAGAAACACCCAGGAGGGCCATTGCTGGTTGTATGGTAGGAGGACGTTTGATTTTGTAAGAAACTGCCCCGCGGTCTTCCAAAGTGGCCGCACTGTTTGGCGTTCCCACTGCAAAGGTGGTGCTTCCTGCTGCTCCACGTCCTCAGCAACTTCTCATCGGTGTGTCGGGACATGCTCTTCTGCTTCCACCTGCTAGACCTGAGCCAGGAGCCCCGCTGCAAGGGCAGCCCCTAAACTGAGCTTTGCGAGTCAGGCTGGGGGAGCTGGGGCGTTTTTACAGTGAGGGTCCCTGAAGGGTTTTAAGGGAACGTACGAATTCAGCTGGGAAAGCACTTTCAGCCTGCAGATGAGAATCAGGTCGTGGGGGAGAGGGGCCGTTCACACATACACTCACTCATTCATTCATTCGTACAGAGGGTGGGGGGAGGGGCTGTTCACACACACACTCATTCATTCATTCATTCAGAGGGTGGGGGAGGGGCCGTTCATACATACACTCATTCATTCATACAGAGGGTGGGGGAGGGGCCGTTCACAGATACACTCATTCATTCATTCATACAGAGGGTGGGGGGGAGGGGCCGTTCACACATACACTCATTCATTCATTCATACAGAGGGTGGGGAAGGGGCTGTTCACACATACACTCATTCATTCATTCATTCAGAGGGTGGGGGAGGGGCCGTTCATACATACACTCACTCATTCATTCATTCAGAGGGTGGGGGAGGGGCCGTTCACAGATACACTCATTCATTCATTCATACAGAGGGTGGGGGGAGGGGCCGTTCACACATACACTCATTCATTCATTCATACAGAGGGTGGGGGAGGGGCTGTTCACACATACACTCACTCATTCATTCATAGACTCATTCATTCATCCCGCCAATAAACACACAAAAAGGTGCAAACACTTGTAGCGAAATCACTGTAAGCACAAACCAGTGAGCCACCATGTTCAAATGCAGGTTTTCAAAGATTAGGAAGAAATGGCAACCCCCTTGTTTTACCCAGCACCTACTTGTGCCAGGCCCTGGCTGCAGATCACCGGCTCTCACTGTCCAGGAACCAGACAGCCCAGGGGAGGCCAGACCCAGGCACCAGGATCCCTGGGGCAGAGCAGGCAGGACTCACAGGAGAGGCACAGGCAGCTCAGAAGGGTTGTTGCCAGCCCTTGCCCATCCTGCAGGCCACAGCGTGGACCACAAACCCTCCTTGCCTGCGTCCAGCATCCTCAGACCCTGTGTACCGGCTGGGTGACCATGGCTCTGGGAATGTGGCTTGCTCACATCCACAAAGCCATTGTGCATTACACCAGGATAGAACCCAGAAGACACCACCCCCCCAAACAGCCTGCGGCCCTCCCCAGAGCTGTGATAGACACACCCATTGCCCCAAAATTTTTCTCGTGCCCTGTGTGGCTCCCCATCCCATCCTGGATTTCCCAGTCTCAAGCAAGCAATGTCCTGGTCGGTTTCTGCTTTTGTATGTGTGTGTGTGTGTGTGTGTGTGTGTGTGTGTGTGTGTGTTTTGAGACGGTCTCACTCTGTTTCCCAGGCTGGAGTGTGGAAGTGCAGTGGCACAGCAAGAGCTCCTTGCAGCCTCAAAGCTCCTTGCAGCGCCAGCCTGTGATCACCAGCCACACACGTGGCCACCTGGCTTTTCTCCCAACCAGAAGAGAAGGCCCCCCACCCACATGGGAGGCTGCGTTTGGACAGGACCAGGACAGCAGGCGGGGGTGTGTTGGTGCTGCCCTGACGAAGCCCTTCAGAATCAGCTGCCATTAGAGACTTCTTGTCTCCCCATCAGCCCCTCCCTCTCCCTCCCCCCTCCCTCCCACCTTCCTCCCCCACTCCCTCCCACCTTCCCAGCCAACCTGGCCCCTTTGCTGCAGCAGCAGAGCCCCTCCCAGCACCTGCTCCTGGTGGCCCAGGGCTCAACAGTGCCTCCATTCTAGGAGTCCCATCTTAATCCCAGTTCCCCCCACCATTCTTGGCCTCCTAGGCACCCTGCTCTCGGGTGCCACAAAGAGGGGGTGGCAGAGGTAGTCAGCCTCTCACATGGCGTGGTCGGGGGCCTCTGAGGGTCCACGTGGGCCTTCTTGTGCCCCTGTAGCATGTGGGCTTCCCGGGCCGCAGGGCCTGGGCACGTGCTGACCCCGCACACTTGCCATGCCCTCTTCCCACGGAGGCCTCATTCACCCACCTCATTGAAAACTGCAGCCTCGGCCAGGCACGGTGGCTCACACCTGTAATCCCGACACTTTGGGGGGCCAAGGTGGGTGGATCATTGAGCCCAGGAGTTTAAGTCCAGCCTGGGCAACATGGTGAAACCCCTGTCTCTACAAAAAATAGACAAGTGAGCCAGGTGTAGCGGCGTGCGTGTATCGGTTGCTCATATTTCTGATTCCAGGGCTTGGCTGCTTCTGTCTGTCGCTCATGTTTTCTGCAGGCTGAATTGTGTCCTGCTTAAAATTCTTACCTTGCGGCCGGGCACAGTGGCTCACGCCTGTAATCCCAGCACTTTGAGAGGCCGAGGCGGGTGGATCACCTGAGGTCAGGAGTTGATCAGCTGGCCAACAGGGTGAAACCCTGTCTCTACTGAAAATACAAAAATTAGTCGAGTGTGGTGGTGCGTACCTGTAGTCCCAGCTACGAGGGAGGCTGAGGCAGGAGAATCGCTTGAACCTGGGAGGTGGAGGTTGTAGTGAGCCGAGATCGTGCCACTGCACTCCAGCCTGAGCGACAGAGTGAAATCCGTCTCAACAAAAAAAAAATCATATGTTGAAGCCTTAGTCGCTAATACTTCAGAATGTGACTGTTTTTGCAGATGGAGTCTTTAAAGACATAATTAAATTAAAATGGAGTCATATGGGTGGGTCTTAATCCAATAGGACTGGTGTCCTTATAACAAGAGGAGATGAGGACACAGACACGCACAGAGGGATAGCCCCGTTGGGGACACAGGGAGATGGTGGCATCTGCAAGCCCCGGAGAGAGGCCTCAGGAGGAACCAGCTCCACAGCACCTTGATCTCGGACTCCAACCTCCAGGACTGTGAGAGAATAAATGTCTGTCATTTAAGCTGCCCAGACTTGGTGCTTTCTTATGGCAGCCTGAACAAATTACTTAGGGTGGGAATGTTTTCCTGACGTGTTTTTCCAAGTGTCTTTAATGTATGAATGACATGACTCCTTCTCTGTCATACTTGATTCAAAATATTTTCCCAGTTTTGTCATTTGCCTTATACTTTTTAAAACCACCTTCGTTGAGGGTGTCATTGACACGCAGCCATTGCCATGTTTAAACTGCACGATTCCATCCATCTTAATCTACATAGACAGCCATGAAGCCAGCCCCATCAGGAGACAAACACCCTCATTGCCCCAAAATTGTCCTCGTGCCCTGTGTGGCTCCCCATCCCACCCTGGACCTCCCAGTCCCAAGCAACCAATGCCCTGGTTGGTTTCTGCTTGTGTGTGTGTGTGTGTGTGTGTGTGTGTGAGAGAGAGAGAGACAGCGTCTCACTCTGGTTTCTACGTGTGTGTGTGTCTGTGTGTTTGAGACAGGGTCTCTCTCTGGTTTCTGCGTGTGTGTGTGTGTGTGTGTGTGTGTGTTTGAGACAGGGTCTCACTCTGGTTAGTTTCTGCGTGTGTGTGTGTGTGTGTGTGTTTGAGACAGGGTGTCACTCTGTTTCCCAGGCTGGAATGTGGGCACGCCGGCGTGTGTGTGTGTGTGTGTGTGAGACATGGTCTCTGGTTTCTGCTTGTGTGTGTGTGTGTGTGTGTGTGTGTGTGTGTGTGTTTGAGACAGTGTCTCACTCTGGTTAGTTTCTGCTTGTGCGTGTGTGTTTGAGACAGGGTCTCACTCTGTTTCCCAGGCTGGAGTGTGGGAGTGTGTGTGTGTGTGTGTGTGTGTGTGAGACAGGGTCTCTGGTTTCTGCTTTTGTGTGTGTGTGTTTGAGACAGTGTCTCACTCTGGTTAGTTTCTGCATGTGTGTGTGTTTGAGACAGGGCCTCACTCTGTTTCCCAGGCTGGAGTGTGGGAGTGTGTGTGTGTGTGAGAGAGAGACAGGGCCTCACTCTGTTTCCCAGGCTGGAGTGTGGGAGTGTGTGTGTGTGTGTGTGTGTGTGTGTGTGTGTATGTGTTGTGGGGTCACACACCTCAGATGATGTTTCTTTGTGTGTGTTGTGGGGTCACACACCTGGGATGTTTCTGTGTGTGTGTGTGTTGTGGGGGGTGATGTTTCTGTGTGTGCATGTGTTGGGGGGGATATTATTTGTATGTGTGTGTGTGCGGGGTGATGTTTCTGTGTGTGTGTGTTGTGGGGGGTGATGTTATGTGTGTGTGTGTTGCAGGGTCTGCACATGTGTGTGATGCTATCTGGAGGTTCTGTTTTGTCCTCTGGGTCCTGGCCTTGTCCCCAACCCCATCGCAGACTGAGGGGGCCGTGCTGCTCCCCCCCATCCCCCGCTCCTTGGCCCCCATCCCCGGCAGCAGAACTCCCGGATGTGGCCGCCCGCCCGCCCCTGAGTCTTTCTGGGGGCCGTTCTGGACTCCAAACCTTCCTCTGTGAATATTTTGCTGTACAAGTCTCTGCGTCTTGATCCAATTTCTATGATTTATACTTTCCATAATTTTCTCTGGTCAGGATTTTCAGATTTACGACCCGCGTGCGCTCTGCTGTCCTGCGTTCCGGAGAAGGCTGTCTGTGTCTTCCCTGCCTGCTGTCTGCTGGGAGTGCACTCTCCTGCACTGTTTTTCCCCGACCAGGGCCTGGGGTGCACCCCTCACGCAGGAGCCGCTCCCGCCTGCCTCTGCCTTTCTGGGGGGTGGCAAAGTCTCTTTCGCAGCCCTGCCCTCCTCCCTCACCCCCTCCCGAGGCAAAGTTTCTCTGCCCCCAGTGGATTGACAGCTGGCGCAGATGGCCAGGGTCTGGGGCTGGGGGTGAGGCCTGCAGATCACCCCCTTCTGCACAAAGACCCTATGGGAGTGGAGAGTGGAGGGGCCCTATAGGCTTGCGCGGGGATGGAGCCCACGTTTTAGAGGGAAAAGCTGTGGGCAGCGTCTGATGGGCATCCAGGCACCGCCCTGGCCGTAGCAGCAGGTGGCACGTGCTGGCCAGTGCCCTCCTGAGCTGGCCCTGCGCGTACTGGCCAGTGCCCTCCTGAGCTGGCCCCGCGGATGACCAGGACGCTGTGCCATTGGCTAGCCCCTACCTGCCTCCTCTCGTGTCCTCCGGGGCCCCCATGCAGAAGCAAGTACAGACTGTGAAGGGGGTTCTGCAGCTTTATTCACAGGCCCCAGGGGATGAAGGCAGCAAGGACACAGACGCGGGGGACGCCCCGGGATGGCCTCTCCACCCCCAGGACTGTCAGGGAGCCCCTGACAGGATTGTGGGGGCTGGAGGATGTGGAGTCCCACGAGCGGCCCTGGTGTGCAAGAGGGCGGAGGGTCTCTGCCTCGAGGGGCCTTTCTGGCCTCTCTACTTCCAGCGCCCGCCGACTTTGCCCTTGGCTGGGGTCCCAGCCTTCTTGCTGCTGCAAATGGGAAGCAAGTGATCCTTCAGGGTCAGGGCCTCTGGCCATGCCCCTCCTGGTCCCCCACCCTGGGCGGACTCTCAGCCCGACCCCAGGCTGCTCTCAGGGCACAGGCCCGGCCCAAGCTTGCGGCCCACACCCAGCTTCAGTCCGGGCAGTGCCCACTCACCTGTGCCTGGCGGGCCTAGGTCGTTAGTGTGGTTAGGGGGCTGGCACGTGAGCCCGGGGCACCCTCCCTCTGTCCTCCTTTCTTTGCCTGAGGTACCACTGCAGACAGACCCCTGAGCTGGGGAAGACTGTCTTAGCAGATAATGATATAATCCTAGACGCTTGGCCTTGAAAGAGCTCATGCCCCTCCAGACGGTGGCCTCTGAGGGGCCCAGGAGCCTGCCCCATTTGTCTGAGGTCTTCATGTGGCCACGAGCCGGGAGGAGCTGGGTGCGGGTGAGGGGTGAAGGCGGGTGGAGGACAGGAGTGCTTCGGCCCGCGAGGCCGGCCCCATTCAGACGCGGCTGCTCAGCAGGACACCTGGCTGGCAAAGGCCGTGCCCTCACACACGTTCCTGGGCACTCTCGGCACATGCACACATGCACACACGCAGGCACATGCACACCACGCCGACTGCCCACCCTCAGAGGGGTCTGCAATGACCCCTGACGGCACAACAGGGAGGCCGTGAGGTCACGTGCACCACGGAGGAGCCCGCCCTGGGCGCCGCAGGGAAGCCAAGGCGACAGGAGGAGGGAGAAGAATCCCAGAAAACATCGAAACTCCAAGTAGCCCCCAAACACTGCGATCCTTGGGGAAATGGCACTGGCTGTGCAGCTGGGCTCCATGACAGGATCCCCAGCGTGGCATCGCCGGGGGCACCCTGGGTGCAGCCCCATGCAGGTGGTCGAGTAGCTGTGTCAAGGGATCCCACAGCCCCCAGGGACACGATTTTATGGATGAGGTTTCACCATCCTGAGGAGTCCATGATTTTGCCCAGCGTCACAGAGGGGCTGGTGATGAAGCCCTGACTGCTTAATTCCCTGTCCTAGGTCCCCTTGGAGGGTGGGACACTGGCGGGATACCCTGGGGCCCAGGTTGGCCACACCAAAGGCCCCCCGAGTAGCCCCTTCTAGGGGTCCCCTGGCTGCCCTCTCCCTGCAGCCAGTGCCAGACTCGGGGCGAGGGCGTGACAGGCAAGCCCCATTGGGATCCCTCCTCCTGACTCTGCCACCCCCCAGGGCTCCCCTGCGTGCAGGAGAGGGAGGAGGCTCCGGGTCCCTGGCCACAGGCCTGCGCATGCTGGCCTGGGTGGCCTGGCCGGGTTAGTCTCGTTACTGCCCTGCCGAGGCCAGCCACCACCGGCCCTTGTTAGGGACTGGCTACAGCGGCTGGCCCCAAGGGCCCCTGTGCCCAGTGCGGAGCGAGGACGGCAGGGCTACTCACTGCTTCTGGGCCTGGTCAATGCGGCTCCTGAGCGTGGTGATCTGTGAACAACATGAGTGACTCACTGCGACGACCCGAGGGCCAGGCCTGCGTGTACTGGGTGAAGGCCTGTCTCCACCGCAGGGTGGGCTGGGCTGCGCGACCCAGGGCTGCTGGGCCCCCATGAGGGCTCCTCGGCTCCCTTACTGTCTCCTGGCTCCTTGTGCAGGGGGACACCGTCCCGTGGCCCCTGGGCTCATGCCTGGACTTACTCTCGCCAGCCTGTACTGGCCTGGACTGCCACACACAGCAGCCCGTAGCTGGCCACTTACCTTCAGCCTGCGGCAGGATGTGGGGCGGGGGGTACGGAGCACGGATGGGGCTGGGGAGGGGTTGCAGGTGAGGCCTGCGGACCCCTCCTTCTCAGCTCCAGCTCCCTTCAGCCGCTGAGCTCAGAGCTCCGAACGGCCCTGCTGCTCCTGGGCCAGCCGCTCCCGCCCTCGTGCCTGTGCCCAGGGGCACTCTGTGGCCGCTGCTGGCTTGAGGCGGAGCTCCTGGGAAGGTGGGGGCCCTTCCTCGCTTGCCAACAGGGCAGCGGCCACTGGGAAGCCCCCGGCTGCAGGCACGAGGGGAGAGCGGGGGCAGGAGGAAGGCTCCAGGCCCCCTGCCGCCAGCATCCTGAGCGATCCAGGTTTTTGCCATGCGAGAGGTTCACCTCACCGTGCAACGCACACCCACGGGCCTGGCCCAGGGCGGACCCGGCTACTTACAACTTGGCCAGCATCTGCACTCTGGCCCGGACATTCATGATCTAGAAAGACCAAGATGGTTACAAGGCTGGATGGGCGGCTGGGGCATCGAGGCCCGGCTGTGGGCTAGCTTGGCCTGGTGATGGCCCTCCAGGCTCTGGAGCCCCTGGGGGCCCGCTGTGGCCGCATCTATCCAAAGCCAGTGGGTCCCTGATTCAGCTCTGGGAACACAGCATGGGAAGGACCTGGGTCCTGTGCCGTGAAGCCCGTCTCAGGGCCAGCCCCTCTGGGAGAGCCCCAAGGGTGAGGTCAGGGCTGTCCCTCATGCCTGGACCCCCTGGGGACAGCTCTGGGAGGGAGTGTAATCGCCCTGCCTCTGTCGGAGGGGAGCTCGTGGAAGCTCAGGTGGAACAGGTGGCCTGCCCAGAACCCCCGAGAAGGAGCTCGGATTTGCCCGGCTGGCTTGGACTGGTCGCCCCACACCTGCTGCACCTGGGTAGAGCACAAGCCCCGTGGGCACAGCCGCCCTCCCCTGGGGCCTCTGGCGGTGCTGGAGGGTGGACATCGTGGCCCTGATGGTGATGCTGGAGTGTCTGCATTTGCCCCGAGCACGTGGATCACCCATGGCTGCGCCCCTCACCCCTCGCCCCTGGAGCCCAAACGGGTGTTTGGGAGGGTGGGAAGCAGCTTGGCTTCCACCCTAGCTCCCACATTGTACCCCAGTCCCTGAGGCCGCCCGGGCAGGCTGCCTTCCCCAGTCCCAGCTTTGCCTGCGGTGATAGTGCCTGCATGGGATGGTGGCTCTGCTCCGTCCCAGACGGGCACAGTCCCAGGCCCCTTTTCCCAGCCACAGGGTGCAGTGTGTCACCCCTCTCTGTCTGCCCTGAGGAAGCAGGTGTCCGGGGCCCTGGTGGAAGCCAGAGTCTGGGTTTGTGGAGGAGGCTCTGTCGAAAGGACGCCCCACACCAGACGGACTCGGTGCCCCGGGGCCGAGCTGGGTGATGATGGGGACTTTCTATAAGCTTAAAGGGGTTCCGAAAATGAACCCTGAGTCCACTTGGCCATGGCTGCTCTGCCACGACAGTCCTTTTGGCAGGGGTAACCAAGGCCGCCCAAAGGGGCCAGGTTCATCGCTCAGGGCGCTGCATGGCCAGCCAGGAGGACGGGCTCTGGCCACAGTCCCCAGCAGGAAAGCAGCCTCAGCCAGGGGTCCGTGGCAACAGCCTGTTTGGGCCTCTCAGGGTCCAGGTCCCTGGGGTGGGCAGGTCCAGAGTTTGGTAGGGACGCAGGGAGATGGCTGCTCTGCTGGTGGGTGAAAGCCGCTAGGGCCCCAGGGCCGGAGGTGCCGGGACTCACGTCATATTTCTGGCGTTTCAGCTTCTCCCCAAACTCGAACTTGTCAATCTCCAGCTGGTGCAGGGTCTCCCAGAGCTCCTTGGCCTTGTCCCTGGGGCAGAGGAAGTGGTGAGGCTTCGTTGAATAAGCCCCAAAGGCAGGGCCAGGCCCCTGGAGTCCTCCTGCAGCCACTGGGGAGCACGGTCCTTGGCAGCCTGAGGAGCAGTCGGCAGCTCCTGCAGGGGCCACCCCGTGGGGCTGAGCCCCACAACACCCACCCCTCACCTCAGTTTGTCTTCACCAAGGTGATCGATGTTGAGCGGCTTGCGTCTCTCAGCCAGAATCTTCTTCTTCATTTCCCGGGCTGTCTGCTTCTTGCCTCTCTTCTGGTCAGCCTGCAGCGGACAGGCCCAAAGAGAGGGGCCTGGTCTCAGGAGGGCACAGGGCGTAGCCCACACTGAAGGCTACCACCGTGCTCCCAGCAGCGGCACACACCTTGGCCAGGTAGCTGCTGTAGTTGGCTCCCATGGAAGACAGAGCTTTCTTCTTCTTCAGGTCGTCCTCTGCCCTCCTCTTGGCATCCTCCTCCTCCCTTCTGGCCTTTTCCTCCTGTGGAGACCCCATTCCCAAGATGCTCAGGGATGGAGAGAGGGCTATGCTTTCTGGGCAGGCTTTAGGGACCCACCCTGGGCTTAGAGCTGTCTGGAAGGGCCCACCCTGGGCTTAGAACTATCTGGAAGGAAGCTCCAGGTCTTGGCCAGGATTTGTTTTCTGGCAAGGGGTTCTGCAGGGCGCCGGGGCCTTAGCCAGTGGTTCTGATCATTGGCCAATGACAATGGGAACCCCGGGAGAAGGAAGGCCTCAGCCCCCTGCATTTCTCTGGGCCTGGGGCTCATTCTCTGATGAGGCAGCAGTGCGGATGGTGCCCTCACCGCCAGTCTGTTCTGGCGCTCCCTCTCCTTCTCTGCACGAATCCTCTGCTGCTCCGCTCTCTCTGCACGGCGCTTCTCCTGCAGCCAGAGAAGGGGGTCTGCTCAGCCCTGTCCCCGGCTCCTCCGAGGGAGTCCACCAGCCCCTGCTGCAACCTGAACTGCCCCACTCACGATTCTCTCTTTGAGAGCGACCAGCTCCTCCTCCTCCTTCTTCCGGGCTTCAAAGTGGCTGTCGATGAGGGCCTGGAGCTCCATTAGGTCTTTGTTCTGACGCTTCTTCTGGATGTCCTGTGGGCAGGGGCAGTGGGTGTGAGCCCCACCCCTCTCTCCAACCTCTGCCCTGCCTGGCCTGCCTTGCAGCAAGAGGTCCCTTCCTTTGCCCCAGCAGAGAAGCCCTGACTCCCTTGGCCACCATGAAAATGGCAAGTGGCAAGGAATGTTTTGCCTTCTCCACATTGCCATGGCTGCTATCCTCATAGGGGCCGAGGGTGGCCTGATTCCTGAGCCACACAGCAGGGATGGTGCCCAGCCATAAGGTCCTCAGCATCCTTAGGATGGACTGGCCCTGACTTGGCTCTGTCATCATCCTCAGAGATGCCCTGCATGGGCCTGGCAGAGAGAAGACTGCAGAGTGAGAGAAATTGTTGGATACATAGGTAGGCATGTGAACAGATGAGCTGATGGATGGGTGGATGAGTGAGAGAGGATGGAGACAGATGACTGGGTGGATAGATGGATGATTGGAGAAATGGATGGATGGATGAATGGATGGATAGGTAGATGGGTGGAGGAATGATTATGTGGATTAATGGTAGAGGATGCGTGGATGGTGGGTGAGTGGGTGGGTGGGTGGATGGGAGGATGAATGGGTGAATGGGTGGGTGGGTGGGAGGGTGGATGAGTGGATGGTTATGTGAGTGAGTGGATGATAGATGGATCGATGGATGGATGAGTAGATGAATGAGTGGTATGAATGGATGGATGGATGGGTGGATGGGTGGGTGAGCGAGTAGGTGAGTGGAGAGATGAGTGAGTGGATAGGTAGGTGAGTGTATGAATGGGTGGTTGGGTGGGTGGATGGATGGATGAATGGGTGAGTGGATACGTGGCTGGTTGGATGGATGGAAGTAAGGCAGGATGGATGGATGGATGGATGGATGGATGGGTAGGTGGGTGGTTGGGTGGATGAATGGATGGATAGATGGTTGAGTGGATGGGTGTGTGGGTGGGTGTATGAATGGATAGGTGAATGGGTAGGAGCTTACGTGGGTGGGTGGATGGATGGATAGAAGGATAGATGGAGGAGAAGGGAAGAGAGATGCTTATTCTTAGAGGGGTTTCCTCTGGCCCAGGAATAAGCTATGGTAGAATTGCCCAGACCCAGGAGGCCCCGGCTCTGGCTACTTGGGAGGAAGTGACCTTCTGAGGCCTAGAGCCCAAAAGCTGGGGTGTGGGGAAACCGTGGACATGTTAACCAGAGTCCTGTAAACTTACATCGAAGTCCACTTTCTCCCCTTCTGGGATCTTAGGAGCAGTGAGTCTGAAGAGGAGACAGAGAGGCCCGTGAGCAGAGACCCGGAGACCCACCCCAGAGGGTCAGCCTGGCGCTTTCCCCGCTGGCCCCTGCCAACCCTGGTGCCCTCCTGCTCTGGCCCCCAGCCAAGCATGCCCGCCTAGTGACACGTTTGCCCCAGCTTTATTCTTATGAGGTTTGTAGCCCACCATCCTGAGAGTGGCTTGAGCCCCTCAAGAAGGCTTCCGCTTCCAGCGCCACCGTCTGCCTTTTGGCTTCTGGCCATTGCAATGTCACTGCACCCCAGCTACCAGGGAGGGCACCTCTGTTTCCTCCTCAAACAGATAAACAAATGCAGCCATGTCGGGTGAGAAGCGATGGCCACTGTGGGTGGCGGTGGCCTCCCTGGGCAGGAATGGCTGCTGCGAGCCTGTGCCTTTCCCCAGCCCCTCTTTCATCTTTCTCTCTGGGGGCCCAAAGGAAGGAGGAGAGGGGGCTGGGAAGAAAGCAATCTGAAGGGGAAATGAGGCCCCCTCTCCGGCTGGGTGTGCAGTCCCCTCCTCTCACCAATACATTCCAGATGCAGCAAAGAGTTAAAACAACAACAATTTTTTCCAACAAACCATAGAAGAAAGTGGAACTAAATATCAATCAGAAACTGGAGCAGGAAAGGGTTTCCTAAGCTCAGGAGCACCAGAAGGTGCCTCTAAGGGAAAGAAGGCCAGATGACACCACGCAAATGAAAAACGTATGTATGTGAAAAAAAAAAAAAAAACGGAAAATGGAAAGGCAAAAAAAAAAGACTAAAAAAAATTTTCAGCAAATACAGAGAAGACTTATATCCTTATGCAAACTGATGACTAAGAAAACACAGAGATTCCTCCACCAGGAGACAAATGAGCAATGGCCGTAGCTACGAGTTCTCAGAGAAGAGACGACCCATCCCAAACTCAGGGAAACGCTGGCCCCGAGTGACTGTTAGGGCGCAAAGCCAAAGAATCATGAGGTGCCGTTTCTCATCCATCAGAGGCTGCAATGTAAAAGCACGTTCCTGTCCCTGGGTGAGGAGGGTGTGGGACACAGACCCGCTCACATCCCACGTAGGAGACGGCGTTGGCCAGGCCCTTGTGGAAAGCAATTTGGCAGTGGATGTCAAAGCCTTAAGAACATTCATACTCTTTGACCCAGTAATTCCAGTTCTGGGAATGTGGCCTACGGAAATAACCCTAAAGATGGAAAACGCTTTCCAACCAGCGTTATTTATGATAGTAAAATATTGGGGAAAGCCTGCAATAGGGGAATGGTTAGGAAAATTATGGTTTGTCCAATTGATGGAATATTATGTGGCCATTCAAAATATTTAAGAAGACTGTGTAAAAACATGGAAAAATACTTATGAATAGTGCTAAATTTTAAAAAAAGCAGAATTCAAGGCCGTAGAGACGGTATGATGTTTGAAAAACAAGGCCGACTTTAAATCTTTTTTTTCCAAGCGCTATGCATGGAAAAAAGGAAGAAATAAGGCTTTTTATTTCTTTCTGCTCTTTTCCACAGTCTGGCTGGCTGGGTGGGAGAATTATAGATGACGTTTTTTCTTCATTTGACTTTTATATATTTTCCAAATTTTCTTTCATGAGGTGTCTTATTTTCATAATGAAAACACAAACAATTTTTCTAAAATGAGAAAATATCTCATGATCCAGCATTACTGTACTTAAAATCACTGAAAAATACAGTGCAAAGGGTGGGAATACGCCGGCTGTACCCTTCAGATGTTCTCACTCTTCTGAGAATCTGCAATGCTCCCCAAGTGGGAGCCAACAGTGAGTGTGTGTCAAGATGCTCTAAGATTCCACTTCGCACAGAGCAACACACAGGCAAGAGCACTCGAGAGATAAAAGGGTGAATCACGTAGCGAGTGCTGTGGCTGGTGAATACCGATCAAAAGCAGAAAAGTCAGAAGAGCTGCATTAAAAAAACCAACCCACGAAGTGCTCACAAGCAGGTGCGATGAGGACAAGCTCCTCTGAATTCTGCCCCAAAGGGGAGCAGGGGCCCCTGCACAGTGAGCTCTTCTGGACACGGTCAAGGTGTCATTCTGAAGTGGGTTTCTGGGCTGAGTCCCCCACCTTTCTCCACTTCCGGACTCACTTTCCTGTCGCTTTTCAATCTAGGACTCTGGGAGTCCTAGAAGTATGGCGGGGCTTGGTGTGGTCCCCCGAAGGCCGTGGGGTGTTGCGGTGGCCAGACTCCCTGCACCAGCTGCCCCGCCTTCCTTCCTCAACTCTCTCCCACCCACCTCTCCTCCCTCCTTCCTCGTCTGCAGCCTCCTCCTACAGGAAGCCCTCCTTGTCTGCACTGGATGACCCTGGGCAAAATCACACCCTGCTGGGCCTCCCAAGCCCATCTCCCAGGTGACCCTCATCCCTCCCACCCTGCGCTCTGAGCGTCCCTCCGAATGCAGGCTCCAGGCATCTGGCCCTGGCCCTCTCCTCCGCCTCCACCACGGAACACACGAGGCGCTGGGCCTGCCAGGACCCCACACTCACTTGGCCACCGCCACCCCAGAACACACTCGGCACTGGGCCTGCCAGGACCCCACACTCACTTGACCACCCCCACCCCAGAACACACTCAGCAGCGGGCCTGCCAGGACCCCACACTCACTTGGGTCTCGGTTTCTCCTCTGGTCCACACAGCACCAGCGTAGGGAGAGGGACACCAGCGTGGGGAGAGGGAGAGAGACAGCCTGGGTGAGACTGGGCGGCCTGCGGCCCTGGGTTCCCCTTCACTGAAGGCCACCGTCCTTTTCAGCTGGGAGTACCCCCAACCCCCAGAAACAAGAGGGTCCTGTTTCTGCTCTAGGCCTGCAAAAGCCCCTGGCAGGGTTGGAGGGGAAGAGCTCAGGGCCTGGGGCCAGGAGGAAGGGTGAGGAAGAGGTAGGGAAGAAATAGGAGCGAGACAGGCCGCGTCCTTGAAGGCTGGGAAGGGAGGAGACGGAGCAAAGAGGACAGGGGCTCGGGAAGAAGATTGGGAGGAAAGGGGCTTGGGAGAAAGGGGAGGGGGGCGTGCCCGGCCCGGGCTCTGGCACTGCTGGCTGGTCCCGCTTACTCCCCCTCCGCTGTGTGGCAGAAACTTGGAGCGGTGGCACCCGCGAGGCCCTGGCAGCTCGACCCCAGCGGCACCGTGCGGAGCAGCAAGGCCTGGCCCTCCGAGGCCCCCGTGCCAGGGGAAGAGAAAGAGGACAGAGGGAGGAGGAGGCAGGGCAGCGAGAGACCCCAGCCTGTCCTCTTTCCCTCGCGTCGGCTAGAGCCAGGGTCCTGCACCTCCGGCGGCAGGGACGGGCCCTTACCTTCCGCGTCCTCCTCTGCGGTGTCTTCCAGGTGGCAAAAGGCACAAGCACACATGCAAGAGAAAAGCCAGTGCGGCTGCGGGGGAGCAGTGGGCAAGGGGCCTGTGGCGGGCAAGGGGCCCACCCCTCTCACTCGGACACTCTCTTCTCCAGGGTGTGCCTGCGGGGCCCTACAAGTGCCCCAAGCTGGGGCCGGTGAATCAATGCCTGGGGAGGGGGTGGAAGGGGCTGGGTGCCCAGTGGAGCTCCTGCCTGGAAGACCTAGTGGAGAATAGGAGGGACACGGGGACCTCGCGGGGCAAGGTGGGGGGCTAAGGGCACTGGGTCTCATCTGTCCCCCCGGTCTGTCCTCTTGGGTCTGGCAGGGCCAACCTTGGCATCTGAGACCCTCTCCACCAAGAGGGCGTTGCAGCCGGGGTGGGTGCAGCCCCTTTGCTTCGTGCTTCCCGGAGCCTGACCCCTGCCTGTAAAGGCTGTGTTACTGGGTGGAACCCAGCAGTTCATGGAATGACTACAGCCCTCAGGCCTCAGGAGCCTCTGCCGGCAACGTGATGTCTAACTCCTTGCTGGTCTCAGCCCCAGGAGCCCCCGCCTGAGTCCGGAATGTCCACCACAGCCCCCACCCACAGGCCAGGAGCCCAGGCGCACTCATCCCTGACCTCCCTGGGGCTTGCCCTCTGACTGCCACATGGCTGCTGTCCTGAGACTGGGCCCCTCTGGGACCCCCCTGCTACCTCTCCCTGGCCACCTCTGGGGTCTGCCTGGCCTGCCCTGGCCACCCTAATAAGGGGTGGCTTCCTTTAGGATACACTCTGCTCCTAGACCCTGGGGTGGACCTGGCTGGCCTGGCCCAGCTGGGGCCCAGGAGGGGGGTCTGCCGCTGGCCTAGTGGCACCCGCCCATCCTGTCCCTTCAGTCCCTGCTCTGGGCCTTAGGTGGCAGCAAGGCCGTTGACACACGATGCCCTCGGCCCTCCAAGTCTGACCCAGCGCTGTCCCCTGCACTTGGCTAAGGCCAGCAGGCCTGGGCCCGGGGGTGGGGGTCCTGCCTTGCCAGTGCCTGGCCTGGGGTGCACTGGTCCTTGAGTCCTCCTCGCTGGCAGATACCTCGGTTGCCTGGGAGCCCCCTGCACACCACAGAGAGCCCGCCAGCGCTCTTGGTTTTGCAGGTGGGCCTGAGGTCACCCGTTCCGGATGCCTTGGGGCACATGTGCACCGGGAGTGAGCGGTGGGGCATCCTGAGCGTTCCAGCCAAGGGCCCGGAAGGAACAGCGCGGTGAGGACGATGAATGGGCTGCCCGCCCTGGCCTCCCTGACTTAGTGGTTTTGCTGGACGCAGTGCGTGGCTGAGGAGCCCCTCCGGGTGGGAAGGCCGGCCAGGGAGGAGGGCGAGGTCGGGTGGGAGGCTGAGCAATTTCGGGGAGCGAGCACACAGCCAAGCGGCAAAAGCTGTCCTGCGGCCCTGCCTCCTCTGCTCCTGCCCCACCCTGCCCTGCTGTCCGTCTGTCCGCTGGCCTCAGTGCTGGTTCCAGAGCGGCCCAGCAACCCTGTCATCCCCACAGGCTATCTCCTGGACACCTCCCTGCATGGCTGGAGTCCCATCCCCCTCCCAGCATGTCCCTTCTTGTCCAGGGGCCTCTCCGAGGCTCGAGTCACGCAAGAGCTCAGGCCCGGCAGGGAGGAGCCCCTCAGCCCCACGGCCCATGAACGGGGGGAGCTGAGAAGCACTCCCCAGCTGGGGCCCCTGACTTGAATGTGCAGCTCTCTGACCTCCACCCAGTACAGCCGGCCCCACTACCAGGGAGGGCAGGCCCACCCAGGGGGCCTCCTCACTCCGGGTGTGTCTGGCTCAGGCCCAGGCAATGGGTGGGATGCTGGGACCTGACTGGGCCTTTGCACGCATGGCCCCTGGCTGTTCCGGGTCCCCAGCGTCCCCACCTTGGGCCTCAGCCTGCTTTTCTGCTTCACTCCACTTGCCCCTCCACCCTCCCTTCCACCTCACCCCTCCCTACCTTCCCGCTTCTGGCTTGCTAACTGGGGCAGGGTGGAGGCCTCTCCTGCGCTCTTCCCACCCCACCCTGGTGGATCCAGAGGGTCCCAGTGGACCCCAGCACCGTCCTCCCAAGGCCTGCTCTGCCTCGGCCTCAAGGCTGGCCACCCCCACCTCCCACCTTCCTGTTGGCAGCCCAGGAAGGGCCTCATTGTCCCCAGGCTATGGAATCAATCCTCTCTGCCTGGGAGACACAGAGGAAGCCTGCACTGTACCGGCCAGCCCTTCCCAAGCCAGGGTCCTCACTCTGTCCCCAGCCCAGAGGCCAGAACGGGTTCAGTTGTTGGTGGCAAACGTCACAAGGGGTGGGCAAGAGGGAGGAAGCAAGAGAGGACAGAAGGGAGGACGGAGACTCTGGCCTGGAGGCGGGGGAGCGCCGGCGTACCTTCTTGAACTTCCTCTGCAGAAGCAGCGTCATGGTGGCAGAAAGGGCGGGAGAGAGAGAGGACCAGTGTGAGTGGTGGCAGCGCAGAGAGGAGGGCGGGCAGGGCCGAGGCGGCGGAGCGAGCAGGCCAGGCTGTGCAGGGTTACGCGGCCCCTCTTGTTCCTTCTTGGGTCCTGCACCCCCCACATGGCCACACGTGCCCATGTGGCATCGAAGTCATGCACGTACCTGGTTCATGAACTTCACGGGCCAAGGAGGCCACGGAACAAGAGGCAAAACCGCGGGTCAGAGGTCAATGGAGAAGCGTCCGAGGTTAATGGAAAAGCCCGTCGCCACTCGAGGCCGAGGGTGGGGTGCGTGCGGGGAGCGAGCAAGACACGGTCAGAGTTAGCCCAGGCGCGGCCACCGCCCCAGTCCCATGTCCCCAAACCCTGCTCTCAGCATCTGGGAGCACCCCAGGTGGGGAAACTGAGGCTCAGAGGATGGCCGGGAGCTGTGGCTCTTGTCCTTGGTGGAGCAGGCTCAGTACTGGGGCTGGGCCTTCCTTTGCTCGCCCCCATCCCCTGTCTGTCCTGGGGCGCCCCCAGAAGGGTGTCCGCGCCTCTGGCCGGGGCACCAAGGCCCACGTGCGAGGTTGTAGCCTGGCCGGGTGGCACCAAGGGCCCACAAAGGCAGTGCTGGTAGCCCTGGGAGGCAGAGCCATGGATGGGCCATGGAAGGCGTCCCCAGGACCCCCACTTCCTGCCATCCCAACGCTGGGGGCCCACTCGTTCTTTCCCTGATGGAATTCTTTCCACCCTCCAAGGGTGCTGGCAGCCCTGGGCACCAGTGATGGCTCTGCCTGCTGATCTGGGCATGGGACCCCAGCCCTCCCATCTGCTCCCAGCCTGTGTGCACCTCAAGGGTCTCATAGCAGAAGGCTGTGAGGGGGCCTGGGGGGCTGACGAGGGCATGCTCACGAGGGAGCTGACTGTGCCAGGCTGCAGGGTTCTGCCCCCAGCCGCCTTCTCTCCCCTCACTCTGTGCCATCCCAAGATGTGGCGGGCGTCCTGGCCAGGCCCAGGGGTCGACGCCACCACGGGCTCTGGACTGCCTACCCTGGGGTGGAGGACTAGGGTGGGCCTACGTGTCCCCTCTGCCCCATGCTTGGGGACACCCTGCTGACCAGCAGCCCAGCCTGCACCTGCCTGGGGAGTCCCTGGCCCTACTGCCTGGGGGGCTGTGGGGAAGGGGGCCCACCCTCGAGACCCCATTCTCTCTCTGGTCAAGCATTGGCCGCGGTTAGTGGGTTACATTAGGGCCACATGTGGGGGCCCCTTGGCTGGCTGGTACCTCGTGGCTTCCCCACCCTCTCCCCCTCTCCCCCACCCCCACATGGGCTCCAGCCAGGCCCCGGGCCCCACATGGGGACAAGAAGTCCTGTGTCCTCATACCTTCCTCATGGACTTCTGCAGCTGAGGAGAGCCGGGGGAGAGAGGAGAGGGTTAGACAGGGGCACACAGCAATCCTTAGAGGCGGGGTGGAGGTCAACTTTGGGTGGGGCGGGAAGGCTGGGGAGTGGGCATGGGGGCCGGGGCCTTGGACCCCACTTACCTTCCTCCTGGGCTTCCTCTGAGAGCCGGAGAAGCCAGGAGCAGGAGAAGGCGGGGTTGAGGGAGACAGGGAACAGAGACAGTGATCAGAGTGTACTCAGGCCGCAAGGACAGGAGGCCGGCTGGCCGGGAGAAGAGGGCCTGGGGCTCGCTTGGCAGGGGTGAAAGATGGGGCTCAGTCCTGCATCTCTGGCCAGCCCCGGGGAGCACGGACTCCCACCAGCAGAGCTGGTCACTGTCAGCTGGGCTGGGCCCGGCCCCTGAGAGGGGTTCTGAGGCCCCTCCCACCCTCCTGGGGGCCTGGTATTCCCATGCCTGGAGGCGCCTGTGCACGGGGGCCCTTGTTAAGTCCTGCTCTGCAGGTGACACAAGTGAGAACGGGGACAGAACCCACAGGGCCTGCGGGAAGCCCCGGCTCTGAGTGCACCCGGAAACAAGGCTGGCACTGAGGGGTCTTCAGAGACATGTCGCACGAAGACCCTTCCGTGGCCTCCCGGCCTGCCACGTGGCTGCCCCAAGAGAAAAGATGGCTCCCCAGTGCCATATTTCCCTCGCAGAAATGAGTCTTTCCACCTTTTCGGCAGAAAAATAAATGTTTTGCTCACGTTGTTAGGGTAGCCAAGTGTTTTCAAAATATTTTCAAAACATAGCACTCAGGACTCCTCACAGGACAGCCCTGCCTGCTAAGGTTGCGTGAACGCGCTCCCCAGTTGAGTGGGTGCCAGGGATTCCAGGGCAGCGCCGTCGGCCTGAGAACCGCCACCCCACACGGTTCCCAGGTGCGCCCACACCCGCCCACGCCTGCCCGGGCACGATGGAGACGCCCACAGACCACACCTGGCCAGCACAGGGAGGGGGCTCCAGGCTCCACCCAGGGTTACAGCACAGGGTTGGGGGGTGGCATGGAGGGATGGAGACACAGAGAGACAGAGATGGAGATGGAGGTGGAGAAATGGGGACAGAGAGGCCAAGAAAGACAGAGACTGAGAGAGAGAGGCAGGGAGAGACAGAGACCAAGAGGCTGAAAGATACAGAGACAGAGAGAAGCTGAGAGATACACAGGCACACAGAGAGACAAAGTTGCCAAGAGAGACACGGAAAGGAACTGGAGAGAGATGGAGAGACTCTGAGATGCCGGGAGGGTAGAGATAGAGAGAGAGGCAGAGAGACAGCAGCACTGGGCACGCAGGGCACTCGGTGTTTTGAGGCCTTCATGACCAGCCCCAGTGAACTCCACACACCATGGCACACGGAGGATGAAGGATTAATGAAGGATCGTGAATGCATATTAATCGATTAAAGAGACAGGGGTTAGTGATGATTTAATGACTCATCCATCATTAATTAAGTGGTGGCCTCATTTATCATTAATTAATGATGAATGGTGATTGTTAGTGACTAATGATGAGGAAGATGGAAGGTTGATTGACAAGCTCAAGGCGGCCTGGAGCAGCCTGGGGAGGGGGTTCTGTGAGCGCCACACGGGAGAGGGGGGTTAAGTTCCAAGGAGGGGCTGGGGGGGCTTCCGGTGGTTGCCAGAATTACCTTCTTCTTCGTACTGCTCTGCATTGGGACAGAACAAAGAGGGGAACCACGTTAGAAGGGGCAGCCCGTGAAGGGAGGAGGAGGATGAGAGGCCAGTGTGTCCCGGCCCTGGACAGGCCAGCGACTGCCCCTGCCCAAGAGCGTGGAATCAGGGGTCCTCGGGCCCTGAGGAGGCGCTGGGGAAGGCAGAGGCTCTGGTGATGATGGTGGCTTTTGGGGGGCTCGGGGGTCCTGGATGCCCACGTCCCACAGTGGGCATGAGAGAAGCAGAGAGACAGGACCCAGAGCCTGACCTGCAGGCCCCTCAGGACCATGTGGCCACACTTCGGGGAAAAGACGAGGCCCCCCACTTGGACAGCTGTTTTCCGGGGGTCACTCAGAAGCCACCCATGGGATGCAGCTGATGTAGGGCTGTCAAGGGGACACAGGGTATGCACAGTCCAGCCCCCTGCCCACATGTGAGCCTTCCTTCTAGAGCAGGAAGTAGAAAGAAAATGGCTGTTACACTTACCCTCCACCTGTTCACTGTGGGGCAGGGAGAGAGAGAGAAAGAAAGAGAGAGAGGTAGTGAGGCTGGGCTTTGCTTGGACTTGTGCAAGATAGCGCATGCTCCAGCCCCACAGAAGCCAAGGGGCCAGGGTCCCGAGCCAGGCAGGGGGCAGCCACCAGCTGGGTACTCACACTTCCTCGTCAGACATGGTGAAGGTGGGTGGTTTCTGCAGAGAGAGATTCAGAGAGAGAGAGAGAGAGAGGATGGAAAGAGAGTTACGAGCTGCCTGGGTGTAGGATGGGGGATGGGGTCTTGGAGCAGCGCTGTGGGGGACCGCGGGCAGGGTTTGGGGGCCAGCTCTGGCCTTGGGTGAGTCCACCTCCTTGGGCCTCCCCTTTCTCCAGGGCTCCTGGCCCCTCCCAGCTCTTGGCGCCCCAGACTCTGTCCCCTCTTCCTGCCCTGGCTCCAGACTGGAGCTTGGAATCTTGGAGCTGGAAGGGATGTTGGAAGGTCGTGGCGTCCACCCCCACCCAGGGCAGACATCCTCTCCGTGGCGTCCCCTGAGGAGGGTCATCCAGAATGCAGGCCGTGTGCCGTCCAGCCCGCTCTAGACACTGGAAAGGTCCCGCTGATGGAGCTGAAACCTGTCTCTGGGTGTTCTCTGCCCAGTGGGTGTAGGTGGGGTCTCCCTGGGAGCCCCTGGATGACCGAGACTGGCTCCCCAAGATGAGTAATCTGCTCACCCTACCATTCCCCATGAGAACCCCTCTTCCCTATTTGAGCCCAAAGCTCCCTTCTGTGCCTGTTTTCCTATGGGGTGCCCAGAGTGTGTCCCACCACACCCCTCTGAGGACCCCTCCTCCAAGATCACAGAGCAGGGAAGCTGTTCCTTCTTGTTACCCCTGTACCCTGAAAACATTGAGGCTGAGCCCCAGAGCACGTTGGGTTGGGTCTGGGCCGCTTCCCGTGCACCCCCCCGGGCCGGGCTCTGTACAAGGCATACTTGGACTGCAGGAGCCCACAGAACAGCCCCCCCATTTCCCTCCCTGTGGCCGCTTTCCCTGGTCCCGGGGATGCTCTGGATCTGTCCCTGTCTAGGGGAAGCTCCATGCCCAGGACTGGCTGCCCTGTCCATGTGCGGTGGTGGCGCCAGGCCAGCATGCTGGGGACCGTCTCTCTGTGAGCTGGCCACCGTGCACACTGGGCGGCCAGGCCTGGGGAGGCTCTGAGCAGCTGCACCGGCATGTTGGCCAGGGTTTTAGAAAACAAAGTTCATTACAACACAGTACAGATTACTCGAAGACAATAGCTACGGTCCCCCCTGGGAGTGTTGTATAAGGAAAACACACGTTCATCAGCTAAAAATGCATCTACGTTGCACTGCTGAGGTGGGAACCGTTTTCCAAACCCTCTGTCAAGAATGTTAATTTTCCCAGAGCAACTTAAGCTCCATGCAAAATTACCCAGCAGATAGCTGTCTTCCAGGCAACGGGGGTAGCTTTTTCCTATCCCAGAATCTCTTCCTGAGACTCTGCTGCCCCTCAGGTTAAGCCTCTTGTAACTGCCACGGCTGGGCCAGGCTCTCCTCAGTCCTCAGCCCCACGAGCCAGTGTTGTCCAGGCCCCCGGTGTGACCCAGTCCCAGGCTGCCCACCAGCCCCTCGTGCTGTCCTCCCAGCTGGTTCAGGCCCCAAACGCCACAGACTCCTCTAGGGCCATCCTCTGTAAGGAGGAGGAGGGTCAGTGAAGGGAGGGAGCGGAGCCTGGCCCCGCCCTGCTGTGCCCAGCCCGACGCTGGCGGGGCAGACACCTGTCGGCTGCCACAAGATGGGGGCAGCGTGGCCCTCGCCTGGGGTGGGTTATTTATAAGGAGCCAGTGGCAGCTGAGGTGTCCAGAAATAGGCAAGACGTTTCTGCCCAGAAACCCAAGACGTGGGTGAGGCGGGTGTGACAGCCCAGCCCTCCTTGGCCCACAGCTGCCCCCTCACCCTCGGGCACCCAGGCCCTCCCCAGCTCCTCATATTTCCCTCCTGTCCCCCCAGGCCAGAGTCACATGGGTGCCCCAACACCCTCAGGCAGGGTGACCTCCAGGCCCCCCGACGTGCGCTGGAAAGGCCCACTCTCCAAGTGGGGAAACTGAGGCACCTGGTTTTCTGCTGAGCGCCTGGAAGCAACACAAGGCTGTTCTGTTCCCCCCAGTATGGCCTGTGTCATTGCCTCTGTTGCGGGGAGGGGCTGGTGGCAGGGGTGTGCTGGGGGCAGGGGTGTGCTGGGGGCAGGGGATGGCATTTCAACAGCTGAGACGCAAAGCAGGTGTCCAGTTAGTGCCTGCCTTGGAGGGGCTGCGTGAAAATAACCTATGCGGTCAGTTTCTTCGGGCACGTATGCATCACCTTTCCCTCCTTGGGAGGTGACGGGGCCAGGGCAGGGTGGGGAGGCAAAAGCCGCTGCCCCTTGCTTGCTGTGGCCCTGACCATGCCCCCAGACCTGTTCTCCACCCAGCCAACCTTTGCTTTGCCCCATGTCCCTCCGTGGACTTCAGGAGGGGCAGCCAAGGCCTGATCAGACGGCACAAGTCAGGGGGACCGTGTCCAGGGCAGGGAGGGTGGGTGGGGGCTCTTACGAGCGCCAGCTTCTCCAGCCTCCAGCCAGGGGGACGCGATGAAGCCCAGCCCCTCACTCTTGCCCCGTCCTGCCCCAGTCCAGCCCCTGTCCACTTCTGTCCTGCACCTCCAGACGCTGGCCCCCAAGGCTGCGTGGGCTTTAGACGCCCCCACCCCAACACACTCGGGCTGGCCATACAGGAGCCCCTGCCCTCCTGTCCTCGTTTTCATCTCTACAAAATGGCGGTGTTGGAGGCCCAGGTGCGAGAGCTGCATGGCAAGGCCAGGACGGGCCTGGGCAAATGTCTGCATGGCGACCACAAGCTGGCAACCTAAGCCCTGGCAGCACCCCTGCACAGCCTCTTCCCTGCCGCTCACAGCCCGCACCTCTCTGCCTCCTGCCCTCAGGCCACTCCCTAGCACTGAGCTTCCCTGAGCCCCGACTTGCCCCCTCCTGGCCTCCCACACTCTGCCTTCTTCTGCATCCTCCCGGTGCTGAGACCATCACACCACCATGTCCGCATCCCAGACTCTCCGGACGCTGGAGCAGCCACCTGGGGGCTCCGAGCCATGATGCTTCGAGATGCTCGGCACCACACGGACCTGGGACCTCAGCGCCCCAGGACCCCAGAGTGTCCCTGGAACGAGGGGCTGTCCACCCGCACGCAGGAGGCCCCGTCGGCCCCAGTCCTGGGTGGCCGCTCCTGCCTATACCCACCTGCGGGTCGAGTGTGAGAAGGGCTGGAGCTCCCTGTGGACAGCACCGGCTGCAGGCACTGGCGCCCGGCTCACACCCTCGTGTTATAGTGACATTTGATCTTCCTAGGAGCCCATTGGCCAGTGACTGGGTGGCCGGGGTGTGTGCGGAGTCTTGCTGGGGGGGGCTATGCCCGTGCAGGCCCCTTACCAAGTATAGGAATGGCCAGAGGAGGAGGCTGAAGGAGGCCAGGATGCAGAGGACGTGCTTGGAGAAGGAGGCAAGGTCCTCCCTCCGCCTCCAGGAGGTGTCAGCTGCTATTTTTACTCCCAGCAGCGGGTACATTCTGGATGGGCTGAGGAGGGAGGAGGAAGGTGTTGGGTGGCCCCGGGGCACCAAGCCGAGGCTCTCTTTGGGCCAAACTAGTGTGGGGGTCCCCAGAGCCAGGCTGCCGGGTTTCCCACCCCCCCGCCCCTTCTCTCTGAGATGTTCTGTGGGAGTAAACATTTGTCCAGGAAAAGGGTCCGCACAGCCGGGGTCCCCTCCCGCCGCCCGGCCCAATGCCCCAGGCCCTTCGCTGTCTCCCCCGGGGAGGAAGCAGCCTGAGGCCTCGGAGACCCCCCATGGAACTGAGGCCAGGCCCCCACCCTATCTGAGACCCTCTTAGAGGCCAGCTCTGCTTTCCTGGCTAGACACCGTTGGGGCCTACACAATAAGCGGGCGAGGGACATGGCCAGGCTGGCTGCAGTCCGAGTCTGCCATACCTCCCCCCGGGGCTGCTGCCATTGCAGGGGGCTACACATGGAGTTTGCTGGGTAAGGGTCTGGGTCCTCCCTCTAGGCCCTTTCTAACCCTGGGGCCCCACCCTGGGCACTCGCAGTGGCCGTTACCATCTGTGCCAGCATCTCCCACAGGCTCATTGTGGCGTGTGGAGACTGGTTTTCTTTCCTCAGGACTCCAGGTGGCACCGTCCGACTAGCAGACATCCTTCCTGGCCTCTGATGGCCTGTATGCTGGCCAGTGAGGCCACCAGATTGGATAACCCTGCCTCTTGGATCAGGGAAACTGAGGCACCAGGTGGGGGAGAGCAGTCTGGCACCCTGACCCACCCCCTCACTCCCCTCAGACCCCACAGGCTGAGCGTGGGCGGTGGTGTCTGCGGAACTCTTCGGTTCAGGCACAGATTGGTTCCTTCTTGGCCAGCGCCCAGGACAGGGGTGAGTCCCGAGAGGCACAGATGAGGTCCCTGTCCTCCCCAGGCTTAGAGTCAGGGACAACAGGATAACCCGGCAGGGGCTCACAGTGCCCTGGGGCCGGGTCGGGGGCCTTCCGGAAGGCTGTGGTTGGCACCTCATTCCACCCCTCCATGGAAGAGCGAGGCCGCAGAGCCCAGGGACAGGCAAGGTGTGCCTGGGGTCACACGACAAGGCGGGCTGGCCCCAGGCTGCCATTTCAAAGGACAGGGCCGGTCCCCTGCCTGCCTCCCGCTGAGTGCCCGGCACTGGGAAGGCTCTTGGAGCTGGGGTTGCTGGGAACGTCGCCGTCCTCCTGCTCTGGGTCTGTGGCTTCGTCTGCATTCCACGCCTTCCCCTCCCTGTCCATGTCCTCGATGGGCAAGGCTTTGGGGGCCACAAACAGCCCTGGCCCCTGGATATCTGTGACCAGCTTCCTGCCCACTGGGGACATCTGCAGAACTGCTCCCTCAGAGGCACGTGAGCGGGTCCCTGGGGGTCAGCGGGCCCACCCCATCCTCTCCCATGGTGGGGCCAACCTCCTTTTCCAGGCTCGCTCTGCCGGCTTCTCTAACGGAGCCCTGAGCCCACCATTCTGGTTACACGTGGTTCAGTCTGCAGGCCTAGGAAGCCTGTGCCCACCCAAGCCCTCACCCAGGCCAGGGGTCCTGAGGGGCGCACCTGAAGGTGGGTGTGCCATAACCCTGCACTGGCCCCGTGTGGCCAGCAGGGGAAGGTGCTGCCCGCCCAGCTCCTGGAGCTTTGGCAGGCGCTCTCCGCCCAGCCAGCTGAGGTCAGAGGGATAGGGCAGGTTTTATTTTGGGTATCGGCGACCTCCCCCTCGGGCGCTGGGCCTGAGGCGTAGCAGGGACTGCACAGAGCAGGCACCAGCGGCCTCGAGGGCCTGCACCAGGTAACCCATGCCCTGCTGCCATCTGGCCGGACCGGGATGGTCCAAGGAGAGGAGGCAGGGCAGGGGCCTCCTGGGGGACTGTAGACCTGGGTGGGGGCAGGGCACAAGGGAGGCCCAGCCTGGGTTGGGGACGCATTTCCACCCAGGAGGAGTCTGAGGACGGACCACGGGGCCTTGGCTCTAGGGCAGTTGTTGGGGGATGGGGGGGTTCTGAAATTGGCAAATGCTGAGCCAAGCCCAGGGAGTGGGGAGCAGGCTGTGGGAGGGAGGATGGCCTCCTGAGTGTCTTGGCTGCAGCTCCCTGCCTGGGTGGCCCCCAGATGGTGGCCGGGGCCCCTCAATCTAGGTCCCAGCACCCAGTGCGCATGGTTGGGGGTGGTGGAGACCAAGAGGGTCCTGAGCCTCTCCTCATGCCCTGAGCTGACCTGAGCCCCCAGGCTGGATCCAGCCTGAGGCCGCTCGGCCCAGCTGTGGGCTCAATCACTGCCAGGCCCAGGACAGGAGCAGCTGACACAGCACTTGGGAACTGAGCTGCTCCAGCCCTAGGTAGCTGCCTCCCCACATGCCTAGTGCTTCTGATTTTGCAGTTTCATTGACTCGTTCTGCAGATATGATGGGTGTCTTCTCTGTGGCTGGCCTAGGGGCTTGTAGCAAGGGTCACAGGGTGTCTGGTGGCTGCTCTGGCAGGCAGGACAGAGGCTAGGGGCTTCATCTGCCATCCCTGGCCAGGGGCCTCTTAGGCTGCAGGCCTTTTGAGCCTCCTGACCTCCGCATTGGGCATGGCCTGACCTCCAGGTTTCCAGGAGCAGGGGCATGGGGTTGCTGTGGCCGTGGACGGGAGGCTGCATCAGAAACACAGCAGGGCTGTGGCTGGGTAGAGCTCAGAGGGACAGGCCCTGGGTCCTTGTTCTCGAGGCTGAGCCGAGGGGTGCAGATGATCTGACAAGGGGCCAGGGCTGGTCGGGGGCGGGGTGGGCAGTGGCTGCCTCCTCAGCACTGCTGACCCCAACTACCCCCTGCCCCTGGTGCTGTCCACTCTGCACCCCAGTGCTGAGTGCCCAACTGTGGCCTTTGGGCCTGCCTCTCGGCTGCCCTTGGTCACCGTCCCAAGCGGATCAGGTGGGAAACAAGGGGAGTGCTGTCACTGGGTGGTTCCCCAGCTGGGGAGGGTGGCCTGGATCCTCTCTCAGTGGCTGGGGCATCTGAGAAAGGATGGGGGCACGTCACCTCCCTTGTGTGGGTGGTGGCTCTGTCGAGGTTTTGCTTTTCTGAACTGTGTGTATTCATGAGGCAAGCAGGGTTTGACATGAAGCCTTCAGAAAATAGTGGCTGTGAGGACCCAAGGGAATGGCAAAGTGAAGTCCAGAACATCAGAGTCTGGGGTGCTGCTCCTCGAAGGGACTTCCCAGACGCTGAAGGCTGCAGGGCTGAGTGTCAGGGCCCAGTGCAAGACCTGGGAGAGGAGGGACAGGAGGGAGGGTGTCCCCAGGCTGTCTGCTATTTCACACAGTTGTCCATTCATCCACCCATCTATTCATTCCCATGCATTCACTCTCACCTTCACCACTTCCTTTCCTTCCTTCCTCCCTCCTTCTCTTCCATCATCCATCCCTCCGTCTGTCCATCCTTTCAACCACCCATACAATCACCTACCCATCCACTCATCCCTCCATTTCATCTATCCCTCCCGCCATCCATCCATCCATCCATCATTAGTCTATCCATCCATTCATCCACCCACCTATCCATCTATCTACCCATCCATCTACCTGTCTATCCATCCATCCATCCATCTCTTCATCTATCCATCTACCCATTCATGCATCCATCCATCCCTCCCTCCCTCCCTTCATCCACCCTCCCTTCATCCATCCATCCCTCCCTCCATCCATCCATCCACACATCCACTCATCACCCCAACACACACACCTCCCCACAACACACACACACACAGAAACATCACCCCCCCAAAACACACACACATAACATCACCCCCCACAACACACACACACAGAAACATCACCCCGCACACACACACATACAAATAATATCCCCCCCAACACATGCACACACAGAAACATCACCCCCCACAACACACACACACACAGAAACATCCCAGGTGTGTGACCCCACAACACACACAAAGAAACATCATCTGAGGTGTGTGACCCCACAACACATACACACACACGCAGAAACATCATCCCAGGTGCGTGACCGCACAACATACACACACAGACACACACACACAGAAACATCATCCCACGTGTGTGACCCCACAACACACAGACACACACATACAGAAACATCATCTCAGATGTCCTATCCCACAACACACACACAGAGAATAACATCATCCCCAGGGATGTGATCCCAGAACACACACACATAGCAATATCATCCCTAAGTGTGTACACCCCACAAGACACACACACACACAGAGAAACATCATCCCAGTTGTGTGGCCCCAGAACACACACACACACACACACACACACAGAAACATCATCCCAGGTGTGTGACCCCACAAAACACACAGACACAGAGAAACATCCCAGGTGTGTGACCCCATAACACATACACACACACACTCACAAACATCATCCGTGTGTCCCCACAACACACACACAGAGAAATATCATCCCCAGGTTTGTACACCCAACACACACATACACAAACATCATCCCCAGGTGTGTGACCTCACAACACACACACAGACACACACAGAGCAACATCATCCCAGGTGTGTGACCTCACAACACACACACACACACACACACACACAGAAACATCTCCAGGTTTGTACACCCACAACACACACAGAGCAACATCTCCCCAGGTGTGTACACCCCACAACCCACACACACAAAGACACAGAAACATCCCAGGTGTGTGACCCCACAACACACACACAGAGCAACATCATCCCCAGGTGTGTGACCCCAGAACACACACAGAGCAACATCCTCCCCAGGTTTGTACACCCCACAACACACACAGAGCATCATCCCCAGGTGTGTGACCCCAGAACACACACACACACACACACACACACAGAGCAACATCCCCAGGTGTATATACCCTACAACACACATAGGCACATACACAGAGCAACATCATCCCTGGTGTGTGACTACACAACACACACACACACACACAAAGAAAAACATCTTAGGTGTGTGACCCAACAACACACACACAGACACACACACAGAGAAACATCATCCCAGGTGTGTGACCCCACACACAACACACACACACATAAGGAGCAACATCATCCCAGATGCGTGACCCTACAACACATACAGACACACAGAGAGACATCCCAGGTGCATGACCCCACACACAACACACACACACATACAGAACATCATCCCAGATGTGTGACCCTACAACACACACACACACACAGAAACATCATCCCAGGTGTGTGACCCCACAACACACACCAATGTGCACCGTGGGCCTGCACCCCCACAGCAGGCCTGCACATGGGAGTCTCAGCTACGCTGCGCCCAACCAGGCGTGTTCATTGGGTAATGCACAGGTGGGAACCGGGGTACGCCCGGGTGAAATCTGTTGGTTGGATGTCACCAATCTTGCTGTGCTGCCTGGTTCTGAAAGGCCCCCCAGGAGCACCAAATGGACAGGAGGCAAGCAGCTATGCTGGGCACAGAGGTGGTCACCACCCATGGACAGGGGCTCCGTCCCCCACGCATCCTGCAATTGGGACTGGGAGTGCAGTGGGAGCCCGTGGCAGCATGACGAGGGAAAAGGAGTCCGCGATCCCAGTGCACAGCTCGTGCTCACCGCAGAGCGCGGGGTGAGGCGTCTAGGACTGGAACGAAACGACTTGGCTTAGTGGAACAGACAGGGACTGAAGCAGAGCCTCCAAACCAGAGGACACGTGAGAGACAGTGACCAAAGCTGGCCATGGACACGAGAATGCCCCAGCCAACTGTCTGCCCTCTGCGGCCAAGTCAGAACCCAACTAACTAGAAGGCGGCCCTTTCAGCAAGGGTTAGAAAGTAAAAACACACCTGAATAGCTCAGGGATCAGAGGGGACGTGGTCAGGGAGAGTGGGTGAGGCTGGAACTGAAGGAGAATGGGAGACCCCAGAGCAAAGCCCTGGGTGCAGCTAAAACAAGACAGAGGGAAATGCGAGGCCTGGATGCTTATATCAGAAAGCGGGGGCCGGGCGCGGTGGCTCACGCCTGTAATCCCAGGACTTTGGGAGGCTGAGGCGGGCGGATCACGAGGTCAGGAGTTCGAGACCAGCCTGGCTAACACACGGTGAAACCCCGTCTCTACTAAAAAAAAAACAAAAAAAAAAAAACAAAAAAGTTAGCTGGGCGTGGTGGTGGGTGCCTGTAGTCCCAGCTACTCGGGAAGCTGAGGCAGGAGAATGGCGCGAAGCTGGGAGGCAGGTTTGTGAGCCGAAATTGTGCCACTGCACTCCAGCCTGGGCGACAGAGCGAGACTCCATCTCAAAAAAAAGAAAGGAGGAAAACCAAAAAACAAAGAAAACAAAGTATGGATTACCCCAGAACAAAAAAATAGAGAGGGGAAAGTATTAATAAGTATGCATCTAGTTTATGAAATTAGGAAATGAACAAAACACTAAAACCAAGGGAAAGAAAGCAATGGAAATAATAAGAAACATAGGAGGTTAATAGAATGAAAAATAAAAATTAATGAAGATCAACAAAATTAAATATTGCTGCTGTGTTGGCCGGGCGCAGTGGCTCACACCTGTAATCCCAGCACTTTGGGAAGGCCGAGGAGGGCAGATCACTTGAGCCTAGGAGTTCCAGATCAGTCTGGGCAACATGGCAAAAACCTATCTCTACAAAAAATGAAAATAAATTAGCCAGGCGTGGTGGCAGGTGCCTGTAATCCCAGCTCCTTGGGAAGCTGAGGTGACAGCATCACTTGAGCCCAGGAAGCGGAGGTTGCGGTGAGCCGTGATCTCGCCACTGCGCTCCAGCCTGGGCGACAGAGTGAGACTCTGGCTTAAAAATAAATAAATAATTTAGAAATGGTTTATGTGAAAAAACTAATAAATAGTCTAACATCTGGCAAAAAAATTAGTAGAAAGAGGAAGAGACACAAATAAGCAATGTCGACGAAAAGAGGAACGTAATGACGAAGGCTGCAGAGATGACATTGTGGTGAAAGAATCCCATAAACAACTTTATGACAATTTAAAAACTGAGCAAAACAGCCCATTCCCAGGAGAAATAGAACATGGAATTGACTCAAAGTGAAGTTCAAACCTTGCATAGACTAATTCATTTTAAAGACATTGAACCTTGCATTCCGAATCAGGGGTGCAAAGACAAAAAAAAAGACAAGGAACCAGTAGTTAAACCTCCTACCAAGCAAAAAACAGCAAGAATTTTTTTCAATTACATTATGACCAAGGGGGTCCTTTATTATTATTTTTTTAATTTTACCTTTTTAAAGAGATGAGGTCTTGCTCTGTCACCCAGGCCAGAGTGCAATGGTGAGATCCTGGCTCACTGCAGCCTCAAACTCCTGGGCTCAAGCGATCTCCCCCACCTCACCCTCTCACATAGCTGGGACCACAGCTATGTACCACCACACTTGGCTTTTTTTTTTTTTTTTTTTTTTTTTTAGAGATGGGGTCTCACTCACTATCTTGCTCAGGCTGGTCTCAAACTCCAGGCCTCAAGTGATCCTCCCAGCTCGGCCTCCCAAAGTGCTGGGATTACAGGTGAGACCCACCATTCCCGGCCTCGGGGGTTCTTTTTAATGTAATAATAGTTGTACATCAGAAAACTGAATGATGTAGTGATTCACAACACATAAAGCATGTAAAGACTACAAAAAATTTTGGATAAAATATAACACCACTCATAGATAGACATTCTGGTCAACTAAGAACAGAAGGGAGGTCCGGGCGCAGTGACTCACGCCTGTAATCCCAGCACTTTGAGAGGCCGAGGCAGGCGAATCACTTGAGGTCAGGAGTTTGAGACCAGCCTGGCCAACAGGGTGAAACCCCATCTCTACCAAAAATACAAAAAAAATTAGCCAGGCGTGGTGGTGGGTGCCTGTGATCCCAGCTACTCAGGAAGCTGAAGTAGGAGAATCGATTGAACCCGGGAGGCAGAGGCTACAGTGAGCTGAGATCGTGCCACTTATTAATTTATATTTTATTTTATTTTAATTTGATACAGAGTCTCACTCTGTCACCCAGGCTGGGGTGCAGTGGCACAATCTCGGCTCACTGCAACCTCTGTCCCCCAGGTTCAAGCAATTCTCCTGCCTTGGCCTCCCTAGTAGCTGGGATTACAGGCGCCCACCACCACACCCAGCTAATCTGTGTATTTTTGGTAGAGACAGGGTTTCACCACATTAGCCAGGTTGGTCTTGAACTGACCTCAGGTGATCCACCCTCCTCAGCCCCACAAAGTGCTGGGATTACAGACGTGAGCCACTGCGCCCGGCTAGTAGCAAGGAACATTTGTTCAACAAGATGTAAAAACCACAAACCAGAGAATAAAGAGATTGGTAAATTCAACAAGAAATAACTACAGTTTTTAATAAGTGAACTTCTCTTCATCAAAAGACACCATAAACCAAGCCAAAAAAAACAAGCCATCTTTTGGGAGGAGATGTTTGTAACACATATCACTGATCAAGAATTAGTTTTCACTATCTAAAAAGAAGGTAGGACACCATTAGAAAAAAGGCAAGCAACTGAATAGAAAAATGGGCGAGAGGAGGTGACAGGCAGCTGGCAGAGAAGAGAACCTGAATGGTCAGCACACCCATGAAAGGGGAAACCAAATTAAAACTGCAAAGTGGATGAACAAAATATAAACATCAGTCTGGAGAAGGAAAAGTTCATTTCTGCAGAACACCAGCTCAGCGGAGGTGAAATGATAGCGTTAAGAATGCACCATTTTGCAACCATTGATGGGATCGTTGATTGAGACAAGGATTGTCACTGGACGCCCAAGTCGCAGGTGAAAGTTAACGGGGGTCAGAATGTTCAGTTTCGAAGAACCACCTGATTGATTACTTATAAAGTTAAAAGGGTGTCTTGAAAATAGAGAACCCCAGCCAGGCACGGTGGCTCACGCCTGTAATCCCAACACTTTGGAAGGCCGAGGTGGCTGGATCACTTGGTCAGGAGTTCGAGACCAGCCTGGCCAACATGGTGAAACCCTGTCTCTACTAAAAATACAAAACTTAGCTGGACGTGGTGGCGGGTGCCTGTAATCCCAGCTACTCAGGAGGCTGAGGCAGGAGAATCCCTTGAACCCGGGAGGCAGAACTTGCAGTGAGCCGAGATCATGCCACTGCACTCCAGTCTGGGCAACAGAGCGAGACTCCGTCTCAAAAAAAAAACACCACAATGGCGCCCAGTGACATCTTGGCCAGCGTGCAGGGTGCATCCCTCAGTCCGGCATTTGCATTGCTGGGCACAGATTGCTGTTGGTCACTGCAAAGAATCAGAAAACCTCCACACATTCACCAAGAGGAGAATGGACAGGTACACCGTCGTGTATTCATAGATGGGTTCTGCACGATTACAGCTGACCTGCGGCTGTGAGCCACCAATGGCGAAGTCCCGGACACAGCAACCACATTGGGGTGGGGGTGAAAGAGTTGCAAAAGGAAAAATCATGCTACTTACATGAAATTTAAACAATAGTTTTATATTTTAAAATATCACTTGCACCTGGATATACAGAACACACACTTATGATGAAACGTCCCTGCCAGCAGAGCAGAGGATTCCACCACAAAGGAGCTGCACAGAGCCCTCAACTCAGATGAAGCCATCACGTTGTATTTCTTCTTCTTCTTCTTCTTCTTTTTTTCTCAGATAGGGTCTCACTGTGTTGCCCAGGCTGGAGTGCAATGACACCACCACGGCTGACTGCAGCCTCAACCTCCCAGGCTCAGGTGATCCTCCCATCTCAGCCTCCTGAGTAGCTGGAACTACAGGTGCCCACTGCCATGCCTGGCTAACTTTTGTTTTTGTTTTTGTTTTTGAGACGGAGTCTTGTTCTGTCGCCGAGCTGGAGTGCAGTGATGATCTTGGCTCACTGCAACCTCCGACTCCTGGGTTCAAGCAATTCTCCTGCCTCAGTCTCCCGAGTAGCTGGGATTACAGGCGCGTGCCACCACGCCCGGCTAATTTTTGTATTTTTAGTAGAGATGGGGTTTCACCGTGTTGGCTAGGATGGTCTCGATCTCCTGACCTCGTGATCCGCCCACCTCAGCCTCCCAAAGTGCTGGGATTACAGGCATGAGCCACCGCGCCCGGCCCCAACTTCTGTATTTTTTGTAGAGACTCACTGTGTTGCCCAGGCTAGTCTCAAACTCCTGGACTCGAGCCTCGCAAAGTGCTGGGATTACAGGTGTGAGCCGCCGTACCCAGGCCCAACTTTTGTATTTTTTGTAGAGACTCACTGTGTTGCCCAGGCTAGTCTCAAACTCCTGGACTCGAGCCTCCCAAAGTGCTGGGATTACAGGCGTGAGCTACCATGCCCAGCCATGTTGTCTTTCTTAAGCTAAGTGGGGGCTGGGTAGATGGGGGCTCTTCCTAACTTTATTTATGCCTACTGGCATAGTTTGAATAGTTCCTAATTGTTAACTATAGGGGGAAGGGCATTTGCTAAAAGTCAATTCTTGTTTCTGAAAGCAAAACAACACGAAGGCTCAAGAAACTATAGAAAACTATAAATAAGCACTTCCTTTATCTCCCCTTGCTGGGGGAACACTAAGGCGTTCCAGCCCAAGACAGGAACCAAAGAAGGATGCCTGCTTTTACCATTACTGTTCGACCCTGGTCTGGAAATGAAGGACAATGCCAATGATGTGAGGCGGAAATGAGACGTATAAGTTCTGGAAAGGAGGAGCCAAAACAGCACATTCCTAGGAGCCCCCAGAGAGTCGGCGGAAGAGTTTTCAGAAAGAATGAGAGAATTCAGGAACGCGGCCAGATGCAAAATACATATTTTAAATCAGTTTTTAAAATTATCTTCCAACAACCACCAGCTAGAAGATAAAGTAGAATTTGAACATTTTTTACTCTAAAAAAACCCAAACAAGAGTATAAAGTACTTAGCGACGGTCCTCTTGAAAAGTGTTTGGAATCTGTAGCAAGAAAATGACAAACTTGAATGACAAATGTAAGAAAAAAACTTTTGAAAAAACAAAAGAAAAAAAATGGGTAGGGAGTTTGACTCTCACAAAAAATCATTTCTTTCCAAATCAATGTGTAGCCTTATCAGATTTTCAGCCAACATTCTAGTGAGTTTATTTGGGGGTGGGGGTGGGCGGGGGTGGGGAGATACTTGGCAAAAAGAAGCTGAAATTCGTACAGGAGAAACACGAAGGAACGGCCAAGAACATTTGGAACATCAGAGCCGAATTCAAAAGTGAAGGTGATGTAGCAGATTCATATTTAGAGCTCCCCGCAGACCAGCAGTCAGACAAAGCGTCTTTGGCCCTGGCCCTGTTAACTCTCACAGCAGGCTGAGGAGGTAGATGCTCTTATCCTTGGAGTCTTCCCAGAGAGCAAACTGAAGCTCAGAGGGGGTTGAACAAAATCCTGAAGGTCACACAGCTACGAGGCAGTGCAGTCAACTCTGAGACCGTGACTCCTGACTTCACAGCCACATCTTCTGTAGGTCGTAACACGGATCCTCATTCCACAATACCTATCCCGCAATGTTGTGTATGCACGGGAACCTGGGGGTGGCACGGTCGAGGGAGTCTGGCGGGGATATTTCATAAAAGAGGTCGAGAAAATCAGGTATGCACTGGGGAGGAAAAAAAGGCAGTGAGATTTGCTCTCCACATCAAATGCCAAAATACATTCCAGGTGAATTACAGAGGCTACGACATGTGAAAAAAAAAATGGTTAAAAATAAAGCTAGAGGCCGGGCGCGGTGGCTCACGCTTGTTATCCCAGCACTTTGGGAGGCCGGGGCGGTTGGATCACCTGAGGTTAGGAGTTCGAGACGTGCCTGGCCAACATGGCAAAACCCTGTCTCTACTAAAAATATAAAAAAATAAGCCGGGCATGGTGGCGGGAGTCTGTAATCCCAACTACTGGGGAGGCTTAGGCAGGAGAATCACTTGAACCCTGGAGGCCGAGGTTGCAGTGAGCCAAGATTGCGCCACTGCACTCCAGCCTGGACAACAGAGCGAGACTCCATCTCGAATAGATAAATAAGCTAGAGAGATGTGTGCTGCACACTTATCTGCTTTCATGCTGGGGAACAATGTTTCCAGCTTTAGAACAGTGGAAACATGATGGAAGAAAAGGGCAGCTCAGCCCATTTCACCACTTCACCATTTCAAGTTTCTGTCTATCCAAACATGTCCACCAAAATTAAAAGGCAGATTTCCACTCCTGGCTGAGATGGGGTAGCAGGGACTGGATTTATCTTCCTGCCTGAAACAACCAAACAGCAACACAGAACAGACAAAATACACAGGACAATGAAACAACCAAACAGCAACACAGAACAGACAAAATACACAACACAATGGCTCTCAAGATCCCACACGTGGGCCGTGCACAACAGTGCTTCCCGGGCTGGGAATTGGCCTCAGGGGCCTCTCGCTGCCCATGCACTTTCTGGTGGGTTTCCAGGCCTCAGTGCGGGAAGCGGGAGTTGAGGTGGAGCCCACAGAGTCCCTGAGCTGATGAGACAGAGCTGGGGGTCTCCAGGCAGCTGAAGTTCGTGAAGCTCAGAGAGCTGCCCAGAGAGAGAAGCTGAGACCCGAGAGTCCCCCTGGAGTATTAGGGACTGAGCCATCAGCACATCCCAGGGAAAACGTCCCAAGGCGGGAAAGCACAATCCGAAAGGACTAGAGAGACCAGTGCCGGGAGCTCACATGGACCTAGGAATTGTGTCTGCTCCCACCAGCCTCAGCAGAAAACCCTATCACGCACAGCGGTGGGGGGCTCAGAAACAGCTTGCCTCCATAGTGGGGAATAGTTAGCCCACACTATTCCAGACCTCCCTTACAAACGGTAAAAGTAATACTTGAAAGGATCAAACTGCTTGCAGATAAACAGCTACATTCCAGAACAAAGCTCAGGAATATTTGTGGAAATATAAAAGTATCTAGCTCCCACCCGAGTTAAAGTTTACAATGTCTGCATTCCAATAAAAAATTATCAAAAAGACAAAGAAGCAGGAAAGGGTGACCCATAAAAAAGAGGAAATATCAGTCACTCAGAGCCAACTGTGGGACGTTAAAGCTAACAACTAAAAACCCAAGTCAACCCCTAAAATAACAAAACAAAGAGTTACAGCGAAAAAGCCAGCAAACAAGATGATGTAACGAATAAAACTTCTCATGAACGCAAAAGGAGGCAGAAAAAGAGTAAAGGGGAGAAAAGAACAGATGTGACAAATAGAAAGCAAATAACAAGGTGACAGACTCTAACCTAACCATACCAGTAAGCACATTAAATATCAATGGGCTAAACTCCCCTATTAAGAAGCAGAGGGGCCATGCATGGTGGCTCACTCCTGTAATCCCAGCACTTTTAGAGGCTGGTAGAGGAGGATCCCTTGAGTCCAGGAGTTCAAGACCAGCCTGGGCAACAGAGGGAGAACTCATCTCTCCAAAAAAAAAAAAAAAAATACTTTAGCTGGGCGTGGTGGCATGTGCCAGTAGTCACAGCTACTCGGGAGGCTGAGGCAGGTGGATCCCTTGAGCCCTGGAGGTCAAGGCTGCCATGAGCTGTGATTGCACCAATACACTCGAGCCTGGATGCCAGTGAGACCCTGTCCCCCCCACAAAAAGAAAGCAGAGGTTGTCTGATTGATAAAAAAGCAAAGCCCAACTCTGTGCTGCCTGTAAGAAATATGGTTTAACTGGCCAGGTGTGGTGGCTCACACCTGTAATCCCAGCACCTTGGGAGCCCAAGGTGGTAGGATTGCTTGAGCCCACGAGGTCAAGAACACCCTGGGCAACATTTCTACCAGGGTTTGGTAGAAACCCCGTCTCTACCAAAAATACAAAAATTAGCCAGGCGTGGTGGCACACGCCTATAATCCCAGCTACTAGAGAGGCTGAGGCACGAGGATCGTTTGAACCCAGAAGGCGGAGGTTGCAGTGAGCTGAGATCACGCCACTGTACTCCAGCCTGGGCGACAGAGCGACACTCTGTCTCAGAAAAAAAAAAAAAAAAAAAAAGAGAGAAGGCCGGGCGCGGTGGCTCACGCCTGTAATCCCAGCACTTTGGGAGCCTGAGGCAGACGGATCACCTGAGGTCAGGAGTTCGAGAGTAGCCTGGCCAACATGGCGAAAACCTGTTTCTATTAAAATTTAAAAATTAGCTAGGTGTGGTGGCGTGTGCCTGTAATCCCAGCTACTCGGGAGGCTGAGTCAGGGAGAATTACTTGAACCTGGGAGACAGACGTTGCAGTGAGCTGAGATCGCGCCACTGCACTCCAGCCTGGGTGACAGAGCAAGACTCGGTCTCCAAAAAAAAAAAAAAAAAAAAAGAATTCTCAAGCAATGACCTTGCTCTCAGCTTAAGGAAAATAGAAAAAGAAAAGCAAATTAAACCCAAAGTGGGCAGAAGAAAGGAAATAGTAAACATCAAGTAGAAGCTGATAAAACAGAAAACAATAAATAATAGAACAAAATTGAGAAAACCAAAACTTGGTTCTTTAAGAATATCAGTAATCCTGATAAACCTTTAGCCAACTTGATGGGGAAGGGCCCGGGGAAAGGAGGAGAAGGATAGAAATTACCGATATCAGGAACAAGAGAGGCAGCGGGAGTACAGGTTCTGCAGAGATTAAAAGAATAAAGAGGCTGGGCGCAGTGGCTCTCGCCTGTAATCCCAGCACTTTGGGAGGCTGAGGTGGGTGGATCACCTGAGGTCAGGAGTTCGAGACTAGCCTGCCCAACATAGTGAGACCCCCATCTGTACTAAAAATGCAAAAATTAGCTGGGTGTGGTGGCACGCTGGTCTCGAATTCCTGGCCTCAAGTGATCCACCTGCCTCAGCCTCCCAAAGTGCTGAAATTACAGGTGTACAGATGTAAGCCATTGCACCTGGCCTTAAATTTCTTCTTTTTTTTTTCTTTTTTGAGATAGAGTCTTGCTCTGTCGCCCAGGCTGGAGTGCAGTGGTGCCACCTCTGCTCACTGCAACCTCCGCCTACCAGGTTCAAGCAATTCTCCTGCTTCAGTCTCTGGAGTAGCTGGGATTACAGGCATGCACCACCATGCCTGGCTAATTTTTTGTATTTTAGTAGAGACGGGGTTTCACCGTGTTGCCCAGGCTGGTTTTGAACTCCTGAGCTCAGGCAATCCACCCGCCTCGGCCTCCCAAAGTGCTGGGATTACAGGCGTGAGCCACTGCGCCCGGCCAAGTTTTCTCTTTAAACGGATGGCATCAGAAGTGGATCTGGCGTAGAGCTTCCAGCGGCCCCCAGGAGCTCTGACTGACCAATGGAGGACCCACAGGGCCCACTGTGCCCTCTGCTCTCTCAGAGCAGCTGGGGATCGTGGGAAGTTCTCTCTTGGATTCCAAAGCTCCATGGATGTGTGTTTTGAGCCATCTGAGTTTGCTTGAGCAAATTTTTTTATCTAAGCTGGGTTCAGAAGTCGTGACAGAAACTGGACTGGGTCCAGGATGGAATCTGATTTGATCATTCACTGGCTTGGATGCAGTTAGAGGCCTTGTGTGTCTTGACTGGGTCAGGCGGAAACTGGCTGTAAATGGCAGGGCTGCAGGAGGTGCACACTCCAGCTTTTGGACATTCACAAGGATGTTCGTGTTCTACTCTCTTGGTTTCTTTTTCTTGCACACTAAGGCAGGGAAAAATCATTGCTCAGTTGATCACGAGGATCTAAGAGCCAAAGCCAAGATTTAATGTAAAATGGGATCCTTCATCTCTGAAAAACCGAGCACCTTCTGGCTCGTATGTCCGTACGTGTTAGGTCCCGGACGCGGCAGATGTTTACAGAAATGGTGGCATCTTACTAAAGGTGAATGAAAATTACGGTGGGATGTTCCAAGTGAACACCACTGCACTTTAAGAAGTGCACCTAAAAACAAGGGCTCCTAATTAGCCTCATCAGGGATGCCAATTGATGTGAAGAAGCTTCTAAAATGATTTCAGTATTTTTACTCCCTCTTTTAAAAGTGTCTGCACAAAAGGCAAATGAGGCCTGGCAAGGTGGCCCATGCCTGTAATTCCAGCACTTTGAGAGGCCAAGGTGGGAAGATTGCTTAAGCCCTGGAGTTTGAGACCAGCCTGGGCGATACAGTGAGACACCCGCCCCCCACCCCCCGCTCCACAGCTCCCCACTATCTCTACGGAAAAAAAAAAATTAGCCAGGCACGGTAGCACTCACCTGTAGTCCCAGCTGCTTAGGAGGCTGAGGCGGGAGGCAGAGGCTGTGTCTGAGGCGTGTGAACCAGAGCGACTCCATCTTGAACAGGGGCTGGGTAAAATGAGACTGAGTCCTACTGGGCTGCATTCCCACATGGTCAGGCATTCTAAGTCACTGGATGAGACAGGAGGTCGGCACAAGATACAGGTCATAAAAACCTTGCTGATAAAACAGGTTGCAGTAAAGAAGCCGGCTAAAATGCACCAAAACCAAGATGGTGACGAGAGTGACCTCTGGTCGTCCTCACTGCTACACTCCCACCAGCACCATGACAGTTTACAGATGCCGTGGCAACGTCAGGAAGTTACCCTGTATGGCCTAAAAAGCAGGGGTGGGGGGCATGAGTAATCCACCCCTGGTTTAGCATCTCATCAAGAAATAACCAAAAAATGGGCAACCAGCAGCTCTCGGGGCTGCTCGGTCTATGGAGTAGCCATTCTTTATTCCTTTACTTTCTTAGTAAACTTGTTTTTGCTTTGCGCCGTGGACTCACCCTGAATTCTTTCTTGCACAGGATCCAAATCCAAGAACCCTCTCTTGGGGTCTGGATCAGGACCCCTCTCCTGTAACAATTGCAGTGAGCTATGATGGCACCACTGCACTCCAGCCTGGGTGACAGAGCAACACCCTGTCAAATAAGATAAAGACAAAATAAGATCATAAATATAAATTAATTAAGACAAAGAAAAAGCTTAAGTGACCAATTGATAAGAAAAAATGAATCTGCTGAGCTTTTGGCCTGGTTACTATCCCATACAGAAAGCTATCCTAGATGAAGTGTGTCTAAAAGGTCTCTCAGATCCAGCAGGCTTTACTTCAGATCCACCCACGCTGAGCCCAGGCCGAGGGAAGCCTTTCTTTGCCTTATTCCTTAATGGGTCCCACCCTGTACTCAGTAATTTCAGCTAAGAAGCAGTAGCCACATTAGAAGGACCACCTATCCACAGGTTGGTGTGAAAGTAATTGTGTGTTTTTTTTTTTTTTTTGAGATAGAGTCTCACTCTGTCGCCCAGGCTGGAGTGCAGTGGCGCGATCTCTGCTCACTGCAAGCTCCGCCTCCCGGGTTCAGACCATTCTCCTGCCTCAGCCTCCCGAGTAGCTGGGACTACAGGCGCCCGCCACCACGCCCGGCTAACTTTTTGTATTTTTAGTAGAGACGGGATCTCACCATGTTAGCCAGGATGGTCTCGATCTCCTGACCTCATGATCCACCCGCCTCGGCCTCCCAAAGTGCTGGGATTACAGGCGTGAGCCACCGCGCCCGGCCATAATTGTGGTTTTTGCAATTACTTTTCAACCAGCCTAATAACTAAAATGCACCTTTCTGACATTCAACGGCTACCTTGAAACCATTTTGTGAAAGAAATTTACATCTCCACAAGACATTTCCATTTGCAACGTCTGGGAGGGACATCCCTTTGTTTTAAATTTACGTAACAAGTCTTACCTTTGTTTAACGTGTTTTTCCTGGCCATGTTGTCTTCACTGGGCCTTGCTTTTTTCTTGGTTGAGCAAATGATGATGGTACAGTATTTAAGCTGAAAGTCTCAGCTTAAATAGCTTTTCATATATACATTTTCTGCCTTGTTTCACCTAAGAGTTATCTTTTTTGAAGGCAAATTGTTCCCTAGCTAACGATTGCTTAGGATGATAAAACAAGTAATTAGAAGATTGATAGTCTAAAGGGGGAAAAGAAAACTATTTGAAAGCTGGCAAATGAAAATTCTTTCTGAAATCTGTAAGATCTGTTTCTATCTGTGTCTGTTATGACTATATGTCTCTCTGTATGACATGTATCTGATAATATTTAGGAAAAAGCTGAAACCACCTTTGCATTGTCTCTTTGACTGAGACGGTGAGAGACATCTAACTTAATTGACTCCATCTTGCCTTTTTTTTTTTTTAGAGGTGGTGTTTTGCTCTTGTCGCCCAGGCTGGAGTGCAATGGCGTAAACTTGGCTCACCACAACCTCTGCCTCCTGGGTTCAAGCGATTCTCCTGCCTCAGCCTCCCAAGTAACTGGGATTACAGGCATCTGCCACAACGCCCGACTAATTTTGTATTTTTTTTAGTAGAGATGAGGTTTCACCATATTGGCCAGGCTGGTCTGGAACTCCTGACCTTGTGATCTGCTCACCTCGGCCTCCCAAAGTGATGGGGTTACAGGCGTAAGCCACCGTGCCTGGCCCTTCCATCTTGCTTCTAACCTCCTTGCTTATTCCTGTCCTTGCTTATTCCTGGGAGTAGGCTGAACTAACTTTGGGAGAAACTTAGTTTATAGTTTAAAACAAAGACGATAACAGCCTTTCCCAGTGGAGAGAGCTACTAAGGGCCCCTATAGTATCCAAAAAAGAGAGAGACAGAAGTATTTGATAAATTAAATTACATGGGAAGCACTGCCAAATAAGAAATGATGTTTAACCTTATTTGAGATATTGTTTGTGAATACGTCATTAATATATGCTCCAAAATTGTATGGGGTTCCTAAAATTCTGATACATCCGGGTATATGCTGTCACTCTTAATTACAGTTAAGTTATTGTAGGCCACAGAAGTAATCAAAATTCCTTGTCAGTTCTTCTTTAACCATGACCATTTTACGTCATTTCCAGAGTTAATTGCTTTTTTCTGACGTTTCTGAAAACTCACAAACACACACAGTCCTACAATATTGAGTCCTCCAGGAGGTTCGTGAAAGGAGAGAAAGGACCCTGATAAGCCCTCTTGAATAGGCTTCTGATAACTTTAGTGTAATGTCATTTGGACTGGGTAAAAATTCCCGGAACTCTAATGGAAAGATTGACTGGTTTATAAAATTGCTAACCTGGGCAGGACAAAAATTAATTGAATACCAAGAAAACACTTTGCCAGCTTTTCATGCTAAATCAGCCAGTACTGATATTGTTTAGATACCCAATTTGAATTAAATCCATCGTCCAAGTCAAATTACCTATGATAACCCTTCTAATAAACAGTGCTATGCACCTGAACTGGAGAAACAAAATTGGTATTTAAGAAGATATAAGTCCAGCATCAAGCATGGACACATGGACAGCCAAGATGGCCACCTGGTCCTTCCTGTGTCCTTGAAGCTTCCACTATTAAATGCTCTGCACTCCATGATTCATCATGGAAGAGACAAATTAATCCAAATTTTATATATATATGTATATATAATATACATATATATATTTGACATGGTGACCGTTGTAAGTTGTTAAAATGGTTTACGACCAATGTTTGGTCTGCCAAACCCATAATCCTGGGAGGACAATCGAAACTTCCATTACACTTCTGCTACTTGATGGGCCATTGAAACATTGCTGGAGGGATTTCCTTCAATTGTCATTTTCAATGCGTGTTTTCTGGTTATATAGAAGCTTTCCCAGGCAAGAGCACTGATGTTATAGCAGTAGCTAAAAGATTATTAGAAAATTGTTTTTCTCATGGGACGTCCCTTGAGAAATCTCCCATGATAGATGTACTTGTTTCACTGCTCAAGTGGTAAAACTGTTAATAACTTGTTACAGATACAATAATATTAAGCAAGGGAAATGAATGAACTGGGCTGCCTTGGTCAAGGGTGTTGCAGGTGGATGGCCGTCGGGTCCATTTCCAGTGGAAAACATAAGTTGGTGCCTTATGAAATAGTCCCTGGAAGTCCTATATAGAACCTCATGTATCTTCCACTCCTCAACTCCGATATGGCTAAAGGCTCCTAGGCCTTAATGCATTATGCCTAAGTATATTTTCACCAGGTACAGAAAGCTTTTCATGGTCCACTGAGGACCCTATCAAACGCTTCACAATCTAGAACCCAGACATTTGGTTTTCTGAGAGTATCACAGAAAGACTGCCCTTGCCACCCACACTGCAGTGAAATTCTAGGACTTTGAACCCTGGGTTCGTTATCTCACCGCTCAAGAGGGCATCGCCAGACTCCAGCAACTGCAGCCCCATTGGAGATTTTAAGGTAAAGCTAATCAGGGAAGTTTCTCCCCAGAAGCAGCTGGCATCCCAGATATGGACAGCTTTTTCCCAAGAACTTGAGACTGTCATGCCTCTGAATAATAGAACTAAAAAGGGATCTCTTATGTGCACTCATGGGGTATACTTTTATTTGTGGAGGATTTTGCAGCCAATCCTATATGTGGACAACCTTTTGCCTTGACAGTTGGAAGACGAAGGGCCAATGTAGGTGAAAAAAAAAATTAGCTCACTCCAAGTCTCACTCTGTTGCCCAAGCTGGAATGCAGTGGTGTGATCTCAGCTCACAGCAACCTTTGCCTCCCAGGTTCAAGCGATTCTCCTGCCTCAGCCTCCCAAGTAGCTGGGATTACAGGCACCTACCACCAAGCCCAGCTAATTTTTGTATTTTTAGTAGAGACAGGGTTTCACCATGTTGACCAGGCTGGTCTCGAACTCCTGACCTCAAGTGCCCACCTCGGCCTCCCAAAGTGTTGGGATTACAGGCGTGAGCCCCTGTGCCCGGTCTGGGTGAAAAATGTTGAGGGTGCCTTTGTTGCTTCCCAATCAATCACAAACAACATCGCTCCACTCCTCTACATCACAGCTTAAAGAGAACTCTGGCAGGAGCTTCACTCTTCTAGATGGGCACTGTTTGTGAGGCCTCTTTTTCCATGGTTTGGAGTAAATGAGGCAAAGATTTAAAATGTATCCCTCTGCTGGGCGTGGTGGCTCACGCCTGTAATCCCAGCACTTTGGGAGGCCGAGGTGGGTGGATCACAACGTCAAGAGATCAAGACCATCCTGGCCAACACGGCAAAACCCTATCTCTACTAAAAATATTAAAAATAAGCTGGGTATGATGGCGGGCGCCTGTAATCTCAACTAATCGTGAGGCTGAGGCAGGAGAATCGCTTGAACCCAGGAGGTGGAGGTTGCAGTGAGCCGAGACATGGCTGGCGCCGCTGCACTCCAGCCGACGGAGCGAGACTCGGTCTCAAAAAAAAAAAAAAAGTATCCCTCGTAATTGGCTCTGGAACAGATTCTACTCCAAAGGCTATGGTTACACAACAGTCTTTAAATTCTCTTGCTAAAGGTGTGTGGGATGATAGACTTGCTCTGGATCCCTTACTAGCTAAACAGAGGAGCGTCTGTGCCGTTGCCGATGCTTCTTGTGGCACATGGAGGAATGTATCAGGTATTAGAAAGGTTCGGTTGTAGGGGATTAACAAACAGGCTGCTTGTTTGAAATGAGTAGACTCTTTATCCAGCTAACTCTCTGATCTATTTGATTTTCGTTGGTTTGCTTCATGGGACCCCACCTAAGGAGCATGCTTCACATTCTTGGTATTAAATATGATCTTCCTGATGGTCATAATACTCGTCTCCCTGGCGCTCTGCATTCTCTCCGGAGTTTTAAATGTTTGCATGCAGCCATCTGTAGGATGCTAAATGGTGTCTCTTTGACTGGAGCAACAAGAACTCAAAGAAACACAAGGCCATGAGGATGTCGTAACCTAGGTACGAATGACATTCTGTGACCGGAAGCTGGAAGTGGCGGTGACTGAGGGTGGTGCCAAGGCCCTAAGGCTTGGCTACACTTTCCACTAAATGAGAACCTGACCAAAGGCAGGGAATTTTTAAACAAAATTATAAGAGGCCATTGTTTTGGACTGAGCTCCCGCAAGAGGCCCCAACGGACCAGACCAAACCCAGATGGAGTCACGCAAGCTAAACGCAACACCATCAAACCGAAGCTTTACGGAAGCAGATAGGTCCTAAGGCAGACCAGGGTTTGTTTTTCTGAGCACATGAAATTCCAGCACAAGGAGGTTCCTCTCTATCCCTTACAAAAATATATAACCCGAGGTCCTCGTTCCCACTTACGAAACCCATTGTTCTGCTATTTCCCAGTGGGGCTTGGGACCAAACAAGTACATTTACAATGGCGACAGGGACACCAATGTCTAAAGGGGGAAATCGTTAAATTAAGCTTGGCGTAAAGCTGCCTCCTGACATAGTTTATGTTCCGCCTTCTCCATCCACTGTGAACTGAAACCTCACTGGAGACGTAAACAGACTGAAGCCTTCCCTTGTGCCACTCACCAGGTTTCCGCTCATCAAGGGTGCCGGCCATTCCAACCGTGTTCAGATAAGGCAAGCATGGAGCTGCAGCCCCTCTGGCGGTTTCTGTGCTTTGCTTCCGTTTTCTGTGCCTCCTTTCCCTTTTCTGTCCACCAATCTTCAGCCACACGGCAGCACCAGAGCCTCTCTGAACCTATTTTGGTTTGGGGGCTGCCCCATTAGCGAGTGGTTCTTTGCTTAATTAAACTCTGTTAAATTTAATTTGTCTAAGGTTTTTCTTTTAACAGTACAGAAAAAGCATTTGAAAAATCCAACGTCGGTTCCTGATTTGTTTAAAAAACATCACTCAGTAAATTAGGAATAGAGGGAACTTCCCTAACCTAATACAGGATATCTATGAAAACCCCACAACCGATGGCGGAAGACTGAACAGTTTCTCACTAAGAACAGAAAGGAGGCTGGGATGTCCGCCCTCATCACCTCCGTCCAACATTGACCTGGAGGTTCCTGCTCGTGCAATTAGGCCCCCAAAAGAAATAAAAGCCATACAGACGAGAAAGGAAAAAGAAAACAATCTTATCTACAGATAACGTGACCATCTAACCCGATGGAATCAACAACAAAAGAAAAACCTGCAAGAACTACTCAGTGAGATTAACAAGGTTGTGGAATAACAAGACTGATATACAAAGTCCATTGTGTTTCTATAAAATGGTAATCAACTATCAGATATTGACATTAAAAATACCACTTCCTAACTGTATAAAAATAGACAATACTTAGAGGTCAATCTGACAAAAGATGTGAAAGACCTCCAAATTGAAAGAGTAAAAAATCCTTGGAAGAAGTGGAAGAAGACCTGAATAAATAGGGACATCCAAGGTTCGTGGATTAGTAAGTTCAATACTGTTAAGATGTCAACTCTCCCTGCATTTATAGAAATTCACAGGTCCATTCTAAAACACATATGGAAAAGCAGAGGAGGAGAAGAGCTAAAACAATCCGGAAAAAGAACACAATTGAAGAGCTAACATTCTAAGAATTCATATAAGACCAGTGTAAGCAAAACTTGAGTGATACTGGTGTAAAAATATTCAAGTAGATCCAAAAGAAAACGGTCCAGAAATCAGCTTACACACACAGACTGATGACTTTTTTTCAGGCAGGGTCTCACTCTGTTGCCCAGGCTGGAGTGCAGTGGTGCAATCTCTGCTCGCTGCAGCCTCAAATTCCCAGGCTCTAGGGATCCTCCCACCTCAGCCGCCCAAGTAGCTGGGACCGCAGGCACCCACCACCATGCACAGTTCAGACTTTTGACAAAGGTGCAAAGGCGACTCGGTGCACAACTGTAGCTTCTTCAAGAAACCATGCTGCAGCAATTTCATATTCTGGAACAACTGGATCTCCATATGCAAAAAGAAAAAGAAGAATAATTTGCATTCGTACCTCACACTATACACAAACATTAACTCAAAAAGGATCGTGGGTCTAAATGTAAAGCTGGAGCCATAAAAACACAGGAGAAAATCTTTATGGCTCTGGATAAGGCAAAGATTTCTCAGACATGATACCAAAAGCACAATTCCTAAAAGAACAAATTGACAAACTGAAATTCATCAAAAATGTTTAAAATTTGCTCTTCAGATGGTTAACGGTGAGAGGACAAGGCCACCAACCAGGAGAAAAATCTTTGCAAATCTATTTCATCAAGGATTGATTCAGAATATATACAAAGAACTCTCACGGTGGCTCACGCCTGTAATCCCAGCACTTTGGGAGGCTAAGGCAGGCGGATCACTTGAGGTCAGGAATTCGAGACCAGCCTGAACAACATGGTGAAACCCCACCTCTACTAAAAATACAAAAATTAGCCCGGCGTGGTGGCAAATGCCTGTAGTTCCAGCTACCTGGGAGGCTGAGGCAGGAGAATCGCTTGAACCCAGGAGACGGAGGTTGCAGTGGGCCAAGATGGCGCCACTGCACTCCAGCCTGGGCAACAAGAGCAAAACTCCATCTCAAAAAAAAAAAGAAAGAAAGAACTCTCAAACTCAACAATAGGAAAACAAATAACCCAATTTTACAGCAACGGGCAAAAGATCTGAACAGATGCTTCCCCCAGCAAGATGTATCAGTGGTGAAGTAGCACGTGCAAAGCTGCACGGCACCCCTGGTGCCGGGAGACACGCAAGCCAAAATCACAGACCGCACCCTCCACGTCTAGGAAGGGCCAAAGTCAGCGAGATGAACCATTCCAACTGCAACAAGAAATGAGAGCTAGGCCGTTTCTGAACAAGTTTCACACACACCTCCCACGGCATCTAGTCGTTTTATTTCTAGGCCTCTCCCCAAGAGTAAAGGAAATGTATGTCCTTCTGAAAACCTGTGTGTGAATGTAAATGGCCACATTACTTTCCATCATTCAAAACTGGAAACCACCCTGATGTCCACCAAGAGACGAACAGATGAGCGGGTTGGGGTGTACCCATGCTGTGGCAATAAAAATGAGTGTTTACAACAGACACAGCAGCAAGCATGGATCTCAGAATAGTTATGCTACGTGACAGAAGTCAGACAAGGAGTGCGTGCGTGCTGCAGGATGCCATTTATGTAACACTGTAAAAAAGCACAAACCCTTGGGTGCAGGGCTCATGCCTGTAATCCCAGCACTCTGGGAGGTGGAGGCAGGGGGGGTCGCTTGAGCCCAAGAGTTTGAAGCCAGCCTGGGCAACATAGCAAGACCTCGTCTCTACAAAAAAAATCAAAAACTTAGCCAGGTGTGGTGGTGGGCACCTGCGGTCCCAGCTACTTGGGAGGCTGAAGCAGGAGGATCCGTTGAGCCCAGGAGGTTGAGGCTGCAAGGAGCTCTCATTGTGCCACTGCACTCCCAGCCTGGGAAACAGAGTGAGGCTCTGACACACACACACACACACACACACACACACTCCCACACTCCCAGCCTGGGAAACAGAGTGAGGCTCTGACACACACACACACACATTCCAGCCTGGGAAACAGAGAACTTGTCACACACACACATACACACAAACACACACACACTCCCAGCCCGGGAAACAGAGTGAGGCCCTATCACACACACACACACACACACTCCCACACTCCAGCCATCCACCCACCCACCTACCCATCCACTCATTCATCCCTTCCTCCATCCATCCTTCCCGCTCTCTGTCCATCCATTCATCTATCCCTTCACCCATCCATCCACCCACCCATCTACCCATCCACTCATCCATCTCTCCATTCATCCATCCACCTATCCATTCACTCACTCACCTATCTATCTATCCGTCCTTTCATCCATCCTTTCATCTACCCATCCACACATCCATCCCTCCATTCATCCATCCACCTATCCATCCATCCACCTGTCCATCCACTCTCATCCATCCCTTCATCCATCCATCCATCTACCCATCCATGCATCCATCCCTTCATTCATCAATCCCTCCATTATCTATCTATCCATCCATCCAACCACCTACCCATCCCTTCATTTATCGCTCCTTCCATCCATCCATCCACCCACCCACCTACCCATTCACTCACTCATCCCTCCCTCCATCCCCCCTCTCTCCCTCTGTCCATTCATCCAGCCATCCCTTCATCCATCCATCCACTCATCTACCTATCCACTCATGCATCCCTCCTTTCATCCATCCACCTATCCATTCACTAACCCATCCATCCATCCATCCAGCCAGCCAGCCAGCCAGCCAGCCATCCTCCCACCCACCCATCCATTCACCCACCTATTCACCCACTCATCCATCCATTAGTCCATCCATCCACCCACCTGCTTACCCATTCACTCATCCATACATCCCTCTATCCATTCATCCATCCCCTATTCATCCACTCACCCATCCCTCCACTCACCCACCCAACCATTCATCCACTCACCCACCTACCCATCCATTCACCTGCTTATCCGTCCACTCATCCATCCATCTATCAATCCATCCATCCACCCACCCACCCACTTACTCATTCACTCATCCATATGTCCGTCTATCCATTCATCCATCCCCTATTCATCCACTCACCCATCCCTCCACTCACCCACCCAACCATTCATCCACTCACCCACCTACCCATCCATTCACCTGCTTATCCGTCCACTCATCCATCCATCAATCCATCCATCCACCCACCCACCCACTTACTCATTCACTCATCCACATATCCCTCTATCCATTCATCCATCCCCTATTCATCCACTCACCCATCCCTCCACTCGCTCATCCAGCCATTCATCCACTCACCCACCTACCCATCCATTCACCCACCTATCTGTCCACTCATCCATCCATTCATCTGATCATCTATCCATTCGTCCACCCACCTACCCATCCATCCATCCACCCACTTGCCCACCCAGCCATTCATCCACTCGCCCACCTACCCATCCATTCACCCACCTATCCATCCACTCATCCATCCATTAATCTATTCATCTATCCATTCGTCCACCCACCTACCCATCCATCCATCCACCCACCCATCCACCCATTTGTCTGTTTTCCAAACCTTCACTGAGCACCTCCTGTGTGGTGTTGGGGGAGGCCCCGAGGTGGATCTTGCCCTCAGTGGGTGCGAAGTCAAGGCACAGAAGTTTATATTGGGCTAGTCCTGGTTGGGGTAGGGATATCACAGACATTCTGGAAAAGGAAGCCCGGACCCCACCCATTGTGTGTGCTCTGACTTAGGCCACCAGAGAGCTTATGTCCTGGCGTCTTATACTGCAAAGGCCATGAGACAGGTCAGACTGCCTGAACCCAGAGGCCACAGCATGCTGTGCAGTGTGGGAATGGGCTGGCCACTGGCCCAACATTTCCATCCTGGCCAGCCCTGCCCCCTTAGTGAGTACAAGACAGCCAGCACATGAGAATACACAGGGAGCTTTATTATACAAAATGGCGGGGTGGGGGGCGGCAAGCAGCGGGGGACGCAGCATCAAGCATCCTGCATGGCCGTTATCAGCCCTTGACCTGCAGTTTCTCCTTGGATCTGGGGGGGTGACCCACCCTCTCTGCACAGGCTGTGCCTCAACCTCCTAACTTCCTAGAAGGCACTTGGCCTCTCCAGGGGTAAGTCCCTTTGGCCAATGATCAGGAGTTTCTTTCCTCCCCCAAGTAACAAGAAGCGGAGCTGGGTGGGGAGGGCGGGGGCGGTGGTCAGAGAGTGGAAGGGCAGAGAGGCTAAAGGGTCCAGGAGCAAAAGGAGGTGGCAGCGGATGGCATCAAAGAGGCGAGGGTAGGTCATGCTGGCAACAGGAAGCAACTTCTTAGCCAGGGCCGGGGGGCGGGTGTCTGGCTGGAATCTCCCCTGGGTACATGGAGGGTGCCAGCCGGCTGGACCTGCAGACCCAGGAAGCTGGAACATAGGCATGGGGTGCAGGGGGCATTAGGCTAGGGTCCAGGGAGGGGCCACAGACCTGCCTCCTGCAAGCCCACAGAGCCTGCTCCCCGAGCCTCTCTCTGCTGGCCTCCCTGCCCTGCCCACACCCCCACTCCACCACAGGAGAAGACGTCCTGCCTCAGAGGCCTGCTTCCCAGTGCGAGCACTTGTGCCCTGGGTCAGGACCTCTGGCTGGAGACCTGACTCCTGGTGGAGGGAAGGCGGCCTGCCTGCCAAGCAGCCTGCCCACCCTGGGAGCTAGAACTGGGGTTCTCGTGGTTCCTGCAGTCCCGTCATCCAGAGGAGGCCGGTAGCTGAGAGCAGTCCTAAGCAGGCTCCTTCCGCCCCCACCCCTCCAGCAGCTCTGTTCTTGCCTTGGCAGAGCCAGCCCCCACCAGCGGCAGCCCCCAGGACTCCCTCCTTCCCCAAACCAGAGAGCCTCTGGCTCGGACAGATGCCATTTGTCAATGTCCTTGCAAACACGTGGTGCCCAGAAACCAGGGTGGGCGGCTTGGCCGGGCCACCCCAGACAGGAGGTCTGCGGGAATATCCCATTTAGCATAGCTCAGCGAAAACTGCTCCCACCTTCCGGCCAATCTACCTCTGATGATGCAGCCTCGGCTTTCCCAAGCCTCTTGGCCGCCACCCCTCACCGCTGGCTCGCAGCGGACGCGCCTGTGGTTGAGCCGGCGACAACAGGGCGCCCCTCACGTGTCTGGGGGCAGCCGCTCTTCCAGCCCTGGGCTTGGCCAGCAGCTGGCCAGGGGCATGCCTGTCACTTGGGGCTCACCCGCGTCTCCGTCTCCCACCCCAGCCCACACGGTGTTGCGGCCTGACCCAGGCTGTGTACTTGGGGCCTGCTTTGTGCTGGGGTGGCATGGAGGACAGAGCCCTGGAGGCAGGTTCTAGCCCCATCCCTGGAGGGACTCGGCCTCTGTGGCCTCATTTCTACACTAGGGTGATGGTGGGGCCACCCCAAAGTCCCCAAGGCACAGTCGAGCTCAGCATGTCCCTGGCAGGTTCTGGGTGCTCAGGAAGCAGAATACTCAGGCCTCCACACCCCTGGCCCCAGGTCCTCCTTGGACCACAGGAGACACAGGCCTCCCACCTCAGGAGGGAGGAGGGCTGGCCTGACCACTGTCCCTCCCACCCTAGGACACAGTCATGCTCATATCGGCTGCGTCGATGGCACCCGAGGTGTGCGGCCCAAGCCTCCAGGGAACCCCTGGACCCCCACCGCCCCTGCTGCCCAAGCCAGGGAAGGACAACTTGCGTTTGCAGAAGCTCCTGAGGAAGGCAGCCCGGAAGAAGATGATGGGAGGCACACACCTCGCTCCACCCAGGGCCTTCCGCACCTCCCTGTCCCCCGTGAGTGAGGCCAGCCATGACCAGGAGGTCACAGCCCCGCACGCTGCTGAGGGCCCGCACCCCGCCGAAGCCCCACGCCTTCCTGAAGCCCCACGCCCCGCCGAGGCTCCCCGCATGGTGGCTGCCCTACCCCGCTCCCCGCACACCCCCATCATCCACCACGTGGCATCACCCCTGCAGAAGTCCACGTTCTCCATCGGCCTCACCCAGCGCAGGATTCTAGCTGCTCAATTCAGGGCCATGGGGCCCCAGGTTGTAGCCTCGGCCCCAGAACCTACCCGGCCCCCCAGTGGCTTCGTCCCTGTCTCTGGGGGTGGGGGCACCCACGTCACCCAGGTGCACATCCAGCTGGCACCATCCCCACACAATGGGACCCCTGAGCCTCCCAGGACAGCCCCAGAAGTGGGATCCAACAGCCAGGATGGAGATGCCACCCCAAGTCCCCCCAGGGCCCAGCCCCTGGTCCCAGTGGCTCACATCCGCCCACTGCCCACCACAGTCCAGGCTGCCAGTCCCTTGCCTGAGGAGCCCCCTGTACCACGGCCGCCACCCGGCTTCCAGGCCTCAGTGCCCAGAGAGGCTAGTGCCAGGGTTGTGGTGCCCATAGCCCCGACCTGCCGCTCGCTGGAGTCCTCACCGCACAGCCTGGTCCCCATGGGCCCTGGCAGAGAGCACCTGGAGGAGCCCCCGATGGCTGGCCCCGCCGCTGAGGCCGAGCGAGTGTCCAGCCCTGCCTGGGCCTCATCCCCTACCCCACCATCAGGCCCTCACCCATGCCCTGTCCCCAAAGTTGCACCCAAGCCCCGGCTCAGTGGCTGGACGTGGCTCAAGAAGCAGCTGCTGGAGGAGGCCCCAGAGCCTCCGTGCCCAGAGCCGCGGCAGAGCCTGGAGCCAGAGGTGCCCACCCCCACAGAGCAGGAGGTGCCTGCCCCCACAGAGCAGGAGGTGCCCGCCCTCACCGCACCCCGGGCCCCCGCCTCCCGGACCTCCAGGATGTGGGATGCCGTGCTGTACCGCATGTCAGTGGCGGAGGCCCAAGGGCGCCTGGCAGGGCCCAGCGGTGGGGAGCACACCCCAGCCAGCCTCACCCGCCTGCCCTTCCTGTACCGGCCTCGCTTCAACGCCCGGAAGCTGCAGGAGGCCACCCGGCCCCCTCCCACAGTCCGCTCCATCCTGGAGCTGAGCCCCCAGCCCAAGAACTTCAACCGCACAGCGACTGGCTGGAGGCTCCAGTGAAGTGGCCAGAATGGCCCCCAGAGCCCAGGACCATGGGATGGACAGAAGAAGGGGCTGAGGCTCTAGCTGGGGGCCCATAGTTGCTGCATGAAGATGCACCAGGGCCCAAGGGGCATGGGGTGCAGGGCAGCCTGGGAAGGGCACATGGGGTGCTGAGGGAAGTCTGCATGGTTAGGAGGGTGGTCAGGTGGACGGGGCAGAGAGGACGAGCTGGAGCCCCTGGGCTGCAGTGGTGTGAGGGGAACAGAGAAGGGGTCTGCGTCGGGATGTAGGATGGGGGCCTTGGGATGAAAACTTTAGGTAAGATGGCAGAGGACTGCATCTACTGACCTAGCCCAGGCTCCTCAGGGGCCTGGGCCTCTCACTGATCCTCCCTTTTGCTGTCACCTTTTGCTGTCAAAGGTTTGGGGCCAGATCTCTGCTTGCTGAGGCATGGGTGCGGTCAGGCTGGCTTGGCCATCGGCGTCAGGAGCAGTCAGCAGTTTTGCTGCCTGTGCTTCCTGATGGCAGAGCCAGATCCTGGGACTAGGGTGCAGGGGGGAGCCCTCAGCCAGCGTGGGACTTGGCACCAATACAAGTGCTCAGGGGCAGGCAGGGAGGGGCTCATCAGGGGTGGAGGAGGGCCCAGCGTGACCTCTCTCTCGGCCCACCTCTGCTTCCCCTACCTGGGCTGACAGCCTGAGGGGGCAGAACTCGAGGGATTCGCTGGTGGGACAGCGAGGGTCTCAGCACTGGCCATGCCCAGGCTTTGACAGCTGGATGAGGAGGGAGCCCTCAGTCCCAACCCTATGGGAACAGCTTGGCCAAGCGGGACAGAGAAGGGGCTGTGGCCCTGGTGGGGAGAGTGGAGGGGCCTACTCAGCAGTCAGCCAGGCTCTGGTGGGGGTGGCCAACCACAGGAGAGGGACACAGAGGTACCAGAAAAAGCCTCTGCCACAGCTGCTTGAGAGTCAGGGTTTGGCAGGGGAAGATGGTAGGAGGACAGCTGCCCCACCCTGTGGTGTGATGGGTGCTGGAAATGGAGCCTGGGGCCCAGGTCACTAATAAATGTGTGTCTCACCATGGCAGGAGTGGCACTGCTCTGTCTGCAGCATGGGATGGGGAGGGCATCAGGACCTCTGAATCGCTCTCGGCTGGGACAGGGAGTAGGACCTAAGTTCCTGCCCCTCTATGGACCCTCAGCATACAGATGGTCAGGGAACCTGGGCTCCATGCCACCTGCTTCCTTCAATGCTAGCCCTGTGGTGGCCAGGCTGCCCCTCACTTCCCTCACGAGCCCTGCTGTGGCTTTTGGGGAGTCCCAGATGGGAGCCTTGAGCTTCCCTAGTGGAGCAGTGGCTGAGCCGGGCTGACTCTAGTGAAATGAGCAGAGAGTTTGAATCTGGTATCAGGTGAGAGAGGCAGCATCTGCACAGGACTGGGAGACTGAGCTGGTCTGGGTTCTGGCCAACTCGGAGTCCACCCTTGTAGCCTGCAACAGGGCTCCAGGCAGCCTCCAGGTTGCCAAGTTCCCAGCACAGTGCACGTGTGTGCACCTCATCCCCTTCTGTGAGTTGCCAGGGACTCACCGAGATGGGACGCCTAGGGAGCCGGGCCCCCTTCCACAAGCACCTTCTCATACTTCCCATGCCCGGTGGCCACAAACTTATACCTCTTCCCAGATGGGGTGCTCTGTTGGGAAAGGAGACCAAGAGTGAAGGTGAGAGCAGCAGAAAGGAGATGATGCTGCCTCCGCCTCTGGGAAGCCCTCCCAGATGCACAGAGGACAGTCCCTCTTTGCCCTCCCCTGCTGCACCCACCCTGCCTGCACCAACCACATTTAGGCTCTACCTTAATTGTTGATGAGGTCTTGGAGCCTCCCTTCTGCTCCCAGAGGCTTTTCTTGCTCATGTCTCCAGCCACAATATCCTGGGGGCAGCAGAAGGGTATGTCACAAGGGCAGACCCCTGGATCTTGGGGAGTAGAAGCCCTGGGCCCTTCTCTCCCGCCTTGCCTTACCTGGCCAGGGGGCCTGGGATCTGCCTACCTAAACTTTTTCTGTGTGATCCCAGTGGAAGAGGCAGGGAAAGGAATAAAGGTGCCATCTACCTCCACTCGGACAACACAGCCTTCTACACCAGCAAGGGTGAACCCAACCCTACTGCAATACCTCAGGGTTCTGTATACCCACATTCATCCTGGACAGTCCCATGCTTGTCTTAACAAGGAAACCCGGCCTGCTACTAAACTCCCAGGCGCTGGCTCTGCAGCCCAGCCTTGCCCCTGGAGGGGACCTTACCTTGCAGGACGGAGTCTTGGCCGCAGACTGAGCCTGTACCTCACCCGTCTCCCACCGACTCTTGGTACTGGCCACAGCCATGCTGGGCAGCTCTATGGAGGCCTGGCGGGCTAGCTTGGGGGTCCGGCCAGCGGTCTGCAGAGGAGGAAAAGCATCAGGATTACCTTAGTGGACAGCCACCGTGGTCACATCAGAGGGTCACACTGGGCAACCGTCTGCTTTGTGTTTGTGTTTTCCCTGGGAGCGCTTTCCCAATGCAGCCCCAGAGTGGGGATCACTGGAAAGATGAGCCTTCCTCCATTCGATGCAGTTGTGAGACACCTCCCTGTCCTGAAGAGCATCAGGGAGATGATGGCGCACAGGACAGATGTGGGTCTGCCTCCATGCTCCTCATGGGGTAGGGCTGGGGGACCATGGGATGGATGGAGGGACATTGAATGGATAGAGGGACAATGGTTAAATTTCAGAGTATTGGTTGGATGGAGGAGCATTGATTAGATGGAGGAGTATTGGTTGTATAGAAAGGTGTTGATAGATGAAGGAATATTGATTGGATGGAGGAGTACTGATTATATGAGGGAGTGTTTGTTAGATGGAGGGGCATTGATTGAATGGAGTAGTATTGGTTGGATAGAGCCGTATTGGTTCAATGAAGGGGCATTGATTGCATGCAACGACGTTGATTGGATAAAGGAGTATTGGTTGGATGGAGGGGCACTGGTAGGATGGAAAGGTATTGACTGGATGGAGGAGCAGTGAATGAATGAAGGAGTATTGATTGGATGGGGAAGTATTGGTTGGATGGAGGAATATTGATAGGATACAGGAGCATTGATAGGACGGAGGAGTACTGGTTGGATGGAGAGGCATTAATTGGATGGAGGAATATTGGTTGGATAGAAGGATGTTGGTTGGATAGAGGAACATTGATTGCATGGAGGAGTACTGGTTGGATGGAGGAGTATTGGTTGGTTGAAGGGGGATTAATTGAAATCAGAAGTATTGCTTGACTAGAAGGGCGCTGATTGGGTGAAGGAGTAAAGTATGGATGGAGGGGCATTAATTGCATAGAAGAGCACTGATTGGATGGAGGAATACTGGTAAGATAGAGGAGTGCTTGTTGGATAAGTGAGTACTGGGTGGATGGAGGGGCACTGGGTGGATGGAGGGGCACTGATTTAGTAGAGTGTTGGTTGGATGGAAGGATACTGGTTAGATGGAGATGTCCTGATTAGATAAAGAAGTATTGGTTGAATAGAAGGGCATTGATTGGAAGCAGAGGCATTGATTGGGTGAAACTATTTTGGTTGGATGGAGGGAAATTGATGGGATAGAAGGCCATTGATTGGGTGCAAGGCATTATTGGATGGAGGGGCATTGACTGGATGAAGTTGTTTTGGTTGGCTGGAGGGGAATTGATTGAATGGAGGAGCACTGAATGAATAGGGGTATTGATTGGATGAAGGTGTATTGGTTGGATTGAAGGGAGTTGGTGGATGAAGGACTATTGGTTGGATGCAGGGACATTGACTGGATGGAAGAGTATTGGATGATTGGATGGAGAGGTACCGATTGAATGGAGGGGCTGGCATGTGGGACTGGCATTGGTTACATGGTGAGCCATTCATTGGATAGATGAGTATTGGTTGGATGGAGGGTATTGGTCAGATGGAGAAGCATTGATGGATGGAGGAGAATTGATTGGATGGGAGGGACATTGATTGGATGGAGGGACATTGGATGCAGAGGCACTGATTGGATGGAGTAGTATTGGATGGAGGGATGAATCTTGATTGGATGGAGGGGCACTGATTGGATTAAGGAGTACTGGTTGGATAAAGGGGGATTGATTGACTGGAGGAATATTGGCTGGATAGAGGAGCATTGATAGGATGAAAGAGCATTGATTGGGTGGTGGAGTACTGTTCCGAGGGGGGCATTGATTGAATGGAGGAACACTGAATAATTGGAGGAGTATTGGTTGCAGGAGTATTGGTTGTATAAAGGAACATTAATTGGATGCAGAAGCATTGATAGGATGGGAGATTATTGGTTGGATGGAGTAGCATTGATTGAAAGGGGGGGCATTGATTACATGGAGTGACATTGATTAGATGGAGGGGCATTGATTGGGTAGAGGGGCACTGACTGGATGGAGAAGCATTGGTTGGATAGGGTGTTGGTTGAATAAGGCGGCACTGATTGGATGGAAGGGCGTTGGTTGGATGAAGGAATGGTGCCAGGATGCAGGAGGGACCTGACAGCAGAGGGGAGCCAGGTCATACCTCGATGGCCTGGGTGTATTGTTCCAGCCACTGATCAATCTTGGAGATGGGCAAGTCTGGCTGGGATTTCTTCACACTGTTACTGGAGGGTAGAAGATGTGTCAGGCCCCATGTCTCCCACAAGGCTTCTCCCAACCTGCCCAAGCCTCTCCCAGAGCCCCCCTCGGTCTCCAGATCTCTACCTTGTGACTCCCTTCAACCCCCACTTGGTTAAACCTAAGATCTGAGCCCAGAAAGCAGACAGACAGACAGACAGACCTCTTCTCTATGGAGCGGTTTAGGGACTCGGTCCTGTCGATGAGCTGCAGAGGGTGGAGAGAGACACAGGCCTGCAGCAGCCGAGGTAAAGCCCACCCTCCATCTCCCCAGCTACTCCAACCACTAATCCAACCCCCAACCCTTATATCATGGGGGTTCGCTGAGCACCGGGCAATGGGGGGATAGCAGACAAAAGCCAGGCCTGGGCCTGGTCTTCCTGTGGCTGGCATGTGGGATTGGCCTTTTGGGTATGAGTACGGGAGAGGGGAGAAGATGGCAGGCTTTGCAGCTTAACTTACTTTGGTGGTAGGGCTCAGGGGAGGCGAGCTCTGTTCGATGGTCCCCTCCAAGACCAAGGGGCTGGGTGTCCTGGGCTGCTGACATTTCTGGTGCTAGAAAAAAAAAAACAGACATCCCAAGTGACCCCCTGCTTGTGCCCCTCCTGCCCTGCCCAGCACCTGTGGGAACAAATGCTGTTCCTTCCTGAGCCCCAGGTTCTCTGTGGCCCTGACGTGCTCCAGTTCTGGAGCTGGTGGGGAGGGACTGAGGAGTCTGGAGAGATGTCTCCGGATCTTGCAAGAGGATCACTGAGCCTTGCCCTCTCTGAGAATGTGGGCCCAGAAGGGGCTGCAAGGTCTAGGGGTGTGGGGTGCTGACCCACTCTGGGCTAGACCCACAGGGCCCACAGAGTGGTGCAGACAGCCAAGGCAGACTCATCCCTGGGGTGGGGGTACACCCAGACCCTCTGAGGTGGAGCCATCACCTCCTCCTGTTCCTCCTCAGCCCCTGCGGCCCCCAGGTTGTCCTGGACAGTGTCCTCTGGGCCTGGCCCCTCCTTGCTCAGACTCAACTCCTCCAGGTGGACTTCATCACTGTCCTCCTTTTCGTAGGCATGCAGGCCGGGCCTGTGGGTGGAAAGGGAGGCAAAGCCGTTCTAGGGCCATTGGATTGCTTGGTTGACCCCTTCCTTTTTCCAAGCCTCAGTTTCCCCATCTGTAAAATGAAGGTAGTCAGGCTACTTGAGTGCCAAGGGATCTGAGACCCAAGCCCATTGGGAAAGAAGGTCCAGTGGCCTCAGAGCCAGCGCAGTCTGCTTGGGCCCCTGTGTCAGGGCCTGAGGCCCCTGGGGAACTGCCCAGTCCCTGCCAGACAGGGCTCTACAGACTGAGGGTCCCCCAGGCACTGAGGCTGGGTTCAATCCCCAGCTTTGTGGCTGGGCCTCAGCTTGGCAGCTGCTTGCACACCCGGTTGGTCTGACGGGGTCCCCGCGAGGCCGGGCTGCTGGGGCCACCACTCCTGCTCTGCTCCCTGTGGGGGCCCTTGGGTGTTTGGGGGACTGGAGGCTGGGTCATTTGGAGGGCTAGGCAGGGGTAGGGGCCAGGTCACTGAGGAGCAGGGCCAAGGGGCTGCCGGCTGCGGGGGAGGGGAGGCCAGCCAGCTGGCAGCTTTGAGCGGCTCTGCATTTGAGCAGGACTGAACCTGGAGGAGAAGATGGGAAATTCTCGAATTTTCCATGATTTCAGGCCCCTGGGTGTGCGTGCCAGCCAAGACCCAGACCCACCCGCCCAAGGTGGGCAGGGGTCTGAGCCAGCAGCAGCCACACAGAGGGGCCATTCAGGAGCAGGTCTGTGCAGCCAGGCAGGTGCAGGGGGTGGGGTGGCGGCCGCAGAGCTGGGCTCCACGGAAGAGTCAAAGCGCCCCCTGCTGGTGGGAGCAGCCTCGCCCGCCTAGGCCTGAGGCCAAGGGAGAAGGGAGCTGCCCCATCTCAGAAAAGCAGAGCCGCTGACTCCCAAGCACGTAGGGGGGAGACTGAGGCCCAGGGAGGGGGGCGGTGGGCACTGCGCCAGGCCAGGACCAGTGGTTCTTGGGGAGTGGGAGCCTGGTTGTAGGAGGACAAGGGAGCGTCGCTCAGCAACACTGGTCCCTAGAGCTCCAGGCTGGTTTAGGGCCTCAGAGGGGCCAGGAAGGACCCTGACCAGGGAGAACTGTCAGCCCAGCCATGGGCTCTGGTCCCACTCAAGGCAAGGGGGTCCTGAGCAGGGCTGGGGTCCCAGATGGCCCAGGCCCTGCAGGGCGGGTGGGGTCAGCCCCATCATGGCCACAGATGACTGAGAGCGGCAAGGACCCCGAGCAGGGGTAGTGAAGTGGGGCTCGGGAGCAGCCCCTGTTGGGCCTGTTGGGGTTGAGACAGGCACACACATCCCCACATCTGGAAAGTGCGTCCTCCCGGCCGACTCTCCGGCATGCACATCTGGAAATACCTGCTCCCCTCCGTGGGAATGGAGATCAGCCAGCCCCGAGGGAGGAAGGGGCGGCGGCGGGCTCTCAGCCTCCATTACGGAAGCGGCCGCAGCTGTGTGCTGATGTGGCAGCACCCGGCCTGGCCTCGCAGCTGCCTGGATGGGGCCCAGGGGCCCTGGGGAGCCCCAGAATGAGGTTTCCTCGCGGCCCCTCGCCGGCCACCATGCTGTCTCGCCCTCTTCCTCCCTCCCCTCCTGTCTCCCCCTTTCCTGGCCATGGGGGCATTTCAGGCTCTGCTTGGAAAGGGGAGGATGGGGTGGCTGCTCAGGCGCAGGTTGAGGGCCTGAAGGGAGCTCCGCGGTGCCCTGCTCTGCCCAGCGCCCGCCCTCGAGGTCCAGAGGGAGCCCTGCTCTGCCCAGCGCCCGCCCTCGAGGTCCAGAGGGAGCCCTGCTCTGCCCAGCGCCCGCCCTCGAGGCCCTCACTCACCTGTCCTCTTGCTCCCCCTCAGGACTCCTGCACTGGGGGGGCTCTCCGCTGTCCAAGGCGCCCTGCGCCCCCTCGTGCTGCTGCCGCTGCTCTGGCCTCTGGGACCAGTCGCCAAAGCCCTCGTCCTCATCCAGTTCAGGGGCCTCCGAGGGCTTCAGGCTGAGGCTGAGGGTAGCAGGGGGGAGCTTAGGCCTGGGCGGCTGCTGCCTCCTCTGCCCAGGGCCCACACTCACCTCACGGCGCCCGCTCAGGCCCTGGACTCCAAGTGTGGGAGACCCTGTCTGCCACAGAGCTGGCTCTGGGCTGTGTCTCCTGTGGTCAGAATACCTGAGGGCAGGGCTATGCCTCCCCCGTCAGTTCTGGGGCAGCCTGAGAACTGTGCTTCCTCCATCAGTCCAGGACTCCTTGAGGCTCAGCAGGGCTATGCCTCCTCCATCAGCCTGGGGCTACCTGAGGGCAGGGCTATGCCTCCCTCATCAGTTTGGGGCTCCCTGAGGGTAAGGCTGTGCCTCTTCGATCAGTGTAGGGCTCCCTGAGGACAGGGCTGTGCCTCCCCTGTCAGCCTGTGGCTCCCTAAGAGCAGGGCTGTGCCTCCCCCATCACTCTGGGACTCGCTAGGGCAGGGCTGGGCCTCCCCCGTCAGCCTGTGGCTCCCTAACAGCAGGGCTGTGCTTCCCCCATCAGTCTGGGGCTCCCTAGGGCAGGGCTGTGCCTCCCCCATCATCCTGGGGCTCCCCAAGGGCTGCCCTGGTCCCCACATGAGGACCCTACATGAGGTCCTCCTAAGCCCCGACTTCTCAGGCCTCCCATGTGGCAGGGGGAGCCCCTGGATAGCTGGGGCCCTTGGTGGGGGTGGCCAAGGGCCTGACTATGGTGACCGCTGAACCCCACTCTGCCCAAGGCTGCTGACTTGGAGAAAATGGAACAAAAGAGGCCAGAAGGAAGGGAAGCATTATTGGAAAAACAGCCCAGCCCAGCCGCGGAGGCCTCCTGGGCCCAAGGAGGAAGCAAGCCAGCCTGGCCGCCAAGTTGGACGTGGCTCTGTGAGTCACTGGCGGGGGAGTCTGGTGGGGGGCTCGGCCAGGCTGCGTGGCTGGGGTCAGAGGCGGTCCGAGCAAGGGCCAGGGCACGGACACAGAGCCTGGGTCAGCGCCCAGGAGGCAGCCAGGTATTGGCAGACCCTCCTCTAGGGCTGTGGCCACCCTCGCCCCAGGAGCACTCACCCACTCCCACGCCTGCTCCTGGGGGCCCTTCCTCGCTCTCATCCTGCACTGGAACCCCCAAGCCCAGGCCCTTGACCTCCCCCTCTGCCCAGGCCCCAGGGTACACGGATAGGGGCTAGAGCCCAGGCACGCGTTATGGGGCTGCTCACAGCATCTCCTGCTTCGGCCGCTCGGGGACATGGCCGCCTCCCTCCTCGTCCTGGGCCTGAAGCTGCCTGTCTCTCTCATGCTGGCATTGCTCGTGGACGGCCTCCTCCTCGTCCTCCACGCTCCACTGAGCAGTGGGCCTAGTGGGGGACACAGAGGGACAGTCACGCCACAGCCGACACAGGTGCTGTTTTGCACCCATTCCTCCCATCTACACAGGCCTTGCTGGGGCCACACGGTGCAGGCAGCCCTGTCCACGAGGTCAGTCCCAGGCCGGCCCTCAGGCCTCACCTTGTCCATCTTTAAATAGAGGCTGCCCACGTGGTCATGAGGTGCCCTCTGGCCCAGGCGAGGGTCCTGGGGCCCTGTGAGGATCTGGGCACCCCTGTGCCCTGTGGGGATGAAGGTGGGACTCCAAGGCCCATTCAAGCCTGAAGAAACTCAAGGACAGGACAAAAGGCCCTCTGTCCCCCTCTCCCAGCCTGCCTCCCTCCCTAAGTAGAACCAGGACCTAGACCCAGGTGACCCTGGAGGGCCCAGGAAGAAGATACTGGAGTCCAGGGAGACTGGCCGCAGCCCACCGCCAGGCGGCACCTCCACCCCACCTGCGGGTGCTCCCTCCTGCACCCCAAAGGCAGGGCGTGTTGGAGAAAGGGGAGGTCGAAGGCTGAGGAAAGGAGGGCCTGAGCACGTCCAGGCAGGACACCTCCTGTCCCACCACCAGCCCCGCTCACAGAAGCTCCGCAGACTCATGGGTCCTGCCTGGGCCTAACCCCATAGCTGGGGGCACCTTACAGGGTCGGCTCACCCAACCCCACCCCATCCTTATTTCAGAGCCCTCTGCGGAGTCTCTCTGAGCTGTTTCTTTTGTTTGTTTGTTTGAGACGGAGTTTCACTCTTGTTGCCCAGGCTGGAGTGCAATGGTGTGATCTGGGCTCACCACAACCTCCGCCTCCTGGGTTCAAGCGATTCTCCTGCCTCAGCCTCCTGAGTAGCTGGGATTACAGGCATGCACCACCATACCCGGCTAATTTTGTATTTTTTAGTAGAGACAGGGTTTCTCCATGTTGGTCAGGCTGGTCCTGAACTCCCGACCTCAGGTGATCCGCCCGCCTCAGCCTCCCAAGGTGGTGGGATTACAGGGATGAGCCACCGCACCCAGCCGATTGAGCCATTTCAAAAATGGGGAAACTGAGGTAAGGGAGTGCTTCTGCCCTCAGAGCCTGAAACCATGGCTTCTTGGGGTCCCACGCGCCCCCCTCAGGGACAGAGGTAGGCACAGGCTGGCCTGGACCTGGGCATCAGAGCCCCGGCCCAGCAGCTCTCAGATGGTCCAGGTCCTGCAGACACCGCAGCCTCAGCTGTCATGGCCCTGCCTCCCATCGCCCTCCTAGAGCCTGAGAGGGGGTCCAGGGTCTCTACACTCCTACAGGGCTTATTATCCCAGACCCAGGGAGGGAGCCCAGGCCAGAACAGGGAGCAGGGCTGGGGTCTCCCCACTGGGGTCTCAGTTCTTCCCGGCCAGTGGCCGCTGCCTGACCCTGCAGCCTGATCCCCACTGGGCCCCAGTCCCCTGGCCAGACAGCCCTGCCAGCGCGTGATCTAATCTCTCCTAGGTCTCCCCTAAGCCTCTCAGACAAAAGCCAGGCCCTTCCACAGGCCCGAGTTCAAGGCCCACTCCCCCCACCGAAGCCACAGGGGACTCCAGCCACGCAAACCCAGCCGCCTGTGCACCCCGCCCCCCGCGCCCCCGAATCCGCCTGCCTGTCCTGCTCCTCAGAAGTGCCTTCAACTCCCGGCCCCCGAGGAAGCCACTTAATTCCCCACACCTGGCTCCCATCATCCGGGCAGATGAGGCCCAGCTTCCCGCTTCTGCCGGCCTCCGCATGGCTGGGGGCTGCTGGGCCTTGTTCCACCTGAGGAGGCAGAGCCTGGGGCGCAGGGGCCCTCGTGCTCACTCACGCCCCAGCCCCTCCACACAGAGGGCGGCGCAGGCTGGGGCAGAGTGTTGAGGAGGTGGAGGGGTTCCATGGAGGGGAAGCCTG